>NW_003315917.2:0-600000 GCF_000001405.40 Homo sapiens
ACAATACTATATATAACCTAAGCATTATCACAGAACGTAATGTAACTTTTTTTTTTTTTGAGACGGAGTCTCCCTCTGTCGCTCAGGCCGGAGTGCAGTGGCACACTCTCGGCTTACTGCAACCTCTGCCTTCTGGGTTCAAGCAATTCTCCTGCCTCACCTCCTGAGTAGCTGGGACTACAGGCGCCCGCCACCACGCCCGGCTAATTTTTGTATTTTTAGTAGAGACAGGGTTTTACAATGTTGGCCAGTCTGGTGTCGAACTCCTGACCTCAAGTGATCCGCCCGCCTCAGCCTCCCAAAGTGCTGGCATTACAGGCGTGAGCCATAGCGCCCCGCCCGTAATGTAATTTTGGGGGAAAGATATGAGTGGCTTACATTTCAAATATTTCTGAATTTTTGAGTTATCTCAACTTGAAGCAAAGGCCCAGCAGTTCGATATCAGGAGTAATAAACGGTAAAGAAAACAGAAACAAATTACAATCAAGCAATGCCAATCAGCAAGAGAGTGTGACATGGCCCTTTTTAAGCCAGAGTAAACTCTTGTGAGCTTGCCACTAACTCCCATTTTAACGAAATTATTCATTTTAGGAAACCGCAAGGTTTTTTTTTTGTTTTTCTTTAATTTTTTTAATCTTTGCAAGAGCTGTCAGATAAGAAGGTTGTATTATTTATTTGGTTCCAGATAAAATTTTGAACTATATCGAAATTATAGACTGGCTTTCTGGAAAGGAAATGGTCCTAGACAATTTATAGGCTAATGAGCAGAGACCCACCTTAACAAAATTTTGTCCCCAAAACGAAACAATAGAACACACGTGGGTGGATCCTAGTAGGGAGAAGGGGTGGGCGGGGTCAGGCACAGGGGGCGGAGCCAGCCCCACGGCGGAGGAGAGCCCAGTCCGGTCTCCGCCTCCGTGACGTCCCGGGAAGCACCGCCCACAGCTGCCCGGGACTCCAGTGATCGCCGCGGCTCGCTCGCGCCCCGGAAACTGCCCCTTCTCGGGGGTCATGATGGGCAGCAAGATGGCGTCTGCTAGTAGGGTCGTTCAGGTAAAGCAATTTGTCGCGTTTCCGCATCTTGGGCGGTAGGGACGGTGCTGACTATGGCGACGGCGTCGGGGAGTAAAGGCGGTGGCAGAGGCAGAGCGGTGACCGCGCCTCTGCGGAGGGCCAGTGACGGCGCCCGCGGGTGTGTGTGAGGATGGGACTTTGAGCCTGTTGGACCGGGCAGTGAGGTGGGTCCGGCGCCGAGGGTTCGAGCCTTGCGGCAACCGTGCAGCATCTTGGCAGGTAGGTCCTGTACCTACTGCCGGGATCCCCCGCTCCTCCGCCAGGACCTTGTTAGTCTTAGGCGTGTGCGGGTGAGGCGACCCTGGCGGTAGCCTGGCCAATCGCCGTCTAGGATTGGCTGTGGTGCCCCCGATCAGCCAATCGGAAGGAAGGCGGTAGCGGGGCGTGGAAGGAAGCGAACCCTGGATCTGACCCACTGTCCCTTCAAGGTCTCGGGAATGGTCGGGCAACTGGCCCCGCGTACTGCGTCCTCGCCGGAGCGGGTTCTCCCCAACCTCTCCAAGCGTCTGGCTACAGGCCAGATGAGGGAAATAGAAAAGTAAACTTAAGTTTAATTAGTATGTGTGTGTGTATATTAATGTGTGTGTGTGTGTGTGTGTGTGTGTGTATAAGCGTTGGTTTCACAAGCCTATTTTCCCCTGGTTTAGATAGACAGCTAAAGTAACTTTGTTAATCCACCTATCAGCTACTAACTCCTGATAGCCTTTTTATTTGTTTCTTCAGCTGTGGTTCTAACTTAGGTAAAATTATTATATAAGTGGAACACAACCTCCACTTTTGTGGTTGGTTTACATAGTCTTTGAACCCTGAAACTATATTATTTTATAATTGACTTTTATCTTTGATATGAGAAGTACATTCCGCTTTATATAAGTACATCTCTTAAAAGACCTTTTTCTAAATTCCTGAAATTGTTGTCTGAATGATAATCCTAGATCCCAGTCTTTGGTCCCATTGCAATGAATGATCCTTACTTATTCAGTAGGTAGTTACTGAGCATCAACTAGTTAAAGATTCTGTAAGGACTGAGAGACTGACAAAGGTCTGTTATCCATAATATATAACCATATGTATCAATAATATATAACAATTTAAAAATGGGTAAAAGACTTGGCGTGTTGCACAAAAGATACCCAAATGAGCAATGAACATTTTAAAAGGTGCTCAATATCATTACTTGCCAGGAAAATAAAAATTAAAACCATGAGGTCCTACACATCCACCAAAATGACTAAAATTTAGACGTCAGTGGTGATGAGAATGTGAAGCGTCTGAAACCCTCAATATTGCTGGTGGGAATATAAAATGTTATAGCCACTTTGGAAAGCTGTCAGTCTCTAATAGTTAAGCATGTATCTACCGTATGACCCAGCAATTCTACTCATAGGTTTATTGCCCAAGAGAAGTGAATGCACATACTGTCTCTGTACGTAAATGTTCACAGAAAAAAAAGAGTTACTAGCAAAGAACTGGGGTCCAGAGCTGAGGGGTTCCAGCCTGGCAGCAGGAGTGTGGCATCTCAGCAGGCAGGTACTATATATACTGCCATGGGGTCCCTGGCTCTATTTCTGATAGCCCCCAAACCACAAACAATCTCTATGTCTGTCTTTTGCATAAACAAATTGTGGTAGTTTGTTAAAATAGTACAGTCCAAAGCAATACTAACAGCTGATGTGTGCAAACAAATGAAGAAACTGTGAGATATACAGTAAGGAATGGTCTGTGCCCTTCTAACATAGGAACAAAGACCTGTACTCACCTATTTAGAATTCAAATCAGGTTCGTGATTGCGCTCTTAAAAAAAAAGAAAAAAAGAGAGAATACAACCAATATGCTAATATAATATCACTTGAGCCTAGGAGTTTGACGCTGCAGTGAACCACAATCACCCCACTGCACCCCAGCCTGTGTAACAGAGCAAGACCTGGTCTCGAAAAATAAATAATAAAGTATGTGCTAATATTATGTAATAATTACATATAACATTAGCAAAATTTGTTGAGTATCTCTGTGACAGGCCTATAAAGCTAGGACTACAGTGCCAGTTAGAGTTTAGGCCAGGCTCACTGATGTATGCCTGTAATCCCAACACTTTGGTAGTTTGAGGCAGGAGGATGGCTTGAGCCCAGGAGTTCAAGACCAGCCTGGGCAAAATAGCAAGACCCCATCTCTATAAAAATTTTAAAAAATTAGCTGAGCATGGTGATGTGCACCTGTGGTCCCAGCTACTCAGGAGGCTGAGGTGGGAAGATTGAGCCTGGGTGATCAAGGCTACAGTGAGCCATAATCATGCCACTGCATTCCAGCCTGGACAGTAGAGCTAGACCCTGACTCAAAAAAAAAAAACAAAAAAACATAGAGCTTAGAATTTGGTTGTTGATCCATATCTTGAAGGAAGAGAAGAGTGCCAAAAGACTGATTGGTACAAACTGATAGGAAGTCACAAAGCGTGGTCTCAGAACATTAAGTAAAGACAAAGCCAGCTGGGCACGGTGGCTCACACCTGTACTCCCAACACTTTGGAAAGCCAAGGTGGGAAGATTGCTTGAGCCAGGAGTTCAAGATTAGCCTAGGCAACATAGCAAGACCCCATCTCTATAAAAATTAGCCAGGCAGCCGCCCCGTCTGGGAAGTGAGGAGCGCCTCTGCCCGGCCGCCCCGTCTGGGATGTGAGGAGCGCCTCTGCCCGGCCGCCACCCCGTCTGGGAAGTGAGGAGCGCCTCTGCCTGGCCGCAGTGCAATCTTCCAAGTGTGAAGTGACAGCCTTTCTGCAGGTGTACCCAACAGCTCTGAAGAGACAGCAACCATCGAGAACGGGCCATGATGACGATGGCGGTTTTGTCGAAAAGAAAAGGGGGAAATGTGGGGAAAAGAAAGAGAGATCAGATTGTTACTGTGTCTGTGTAGAAAGAAGTAGACACAGGAGACTCCATTTTGTTCTGTACTAAGAAAAATTCTTCTGCCTTGGGATGCTGTTAATCTATAACCTTACCCCCAACCCCGTGCTCTCTGAAACGTGCTGTGTCCACTCAGGGTTAAATGGATTAAGGGCGGTGCAAGATGTGCTTTGTTAAACAGATGCTTGAAGGCAGCATGCTCGTTAAGAGTCATCACCACTCCCTAATCTCAAGTACCCAGGGACGTAAACACTGCGGAAGGCCGCAGGGACCTCTGCCTAGGAAAACCAGAGACCTTTTTGTTCACGTGTTTATCTGCTGACCTTCTCTCCACTATTATCCTATGACCCTGCCACATCCCCCTCTCCGAGAAACACCCAAGAATGATCAATAAATACTAAAAAAAAAAAAAAAAATTAGCCAGGCAGGAGGGGTAGTGTGTGGGTGTGTACCTGTAGTCCTAGCTACTTAGGAGGCTGAGGTGGAAAGATCACTTGAGCCCAGGAGTTTGACGCTGCAGTGAACCACGATCACTCCACTGCACCCCAGCCTGTGTAACAGAGCAAGACCTGGTCTCAAAAAATAAATAATAAAGTAAAACATTTTCAGACTGGCTAACAAATGAAAATCCAGTGCTATGCTATTTATAAGAGGCATAGCTAAAACTAAGATTTGGAAAGGTAAAAATAAAGAGATAGTCAACTGATCTTTGACAAAACGAGCAAAGGGAATACAATGGAGAAAAGATAGTCTTTTCAACATGGTGCTGAAAAAATTGGATATCCATCTAGACACAGACCTCACGTTCTTCACAAACATTAACTCAAAATGGATCCTAGACCTAAATGCAAAATGCAAAACTATAAAACCCTTAGAATATAACATAGGAGAAAATAAAAATAACCTTAGGTTTAGGAATGACTTTTTAGATATAACACCAAAGGCATGATCCATGAAAAATTAATTGATAAGCTGGACTTCATTAAAATAAAAAATTCTGCTCTGTGAGACACTGTCAAAAAAAGGCAAGCCACATATTGGGAGAAAATACTTTCAAAAGACATATCTGATAAAAGACTATTATAGAAAACATAAGGCTGGGCACGGTGACTCATGCCTGTAATCCCAGCACTTTGGGAGACCAAGGCGGGCAGATCACCTGAGGTCAGGAGTTCGAGACCAGCCTGGCCAACATGGCAAAACCCCATATCTATTAAAAGTACATTTGTATAAGTATATAATACATATTTACATGCCTATACAGTTAGACCTAACTTACAAATGGTTTATTCACGTATTTGGCAACTGTTACTTGGGCATTTACCATGTAACAGGAATGCTACTGCAGAAGTGCTTAGTTTTCTGTCTCTGACTGTCCAGGAGCTTAGTGCTCTTCTATAATCATTGGCTAACTTATCTGTCCTCTGAAAACATAAGGAGAGTTTTTAACTCAGACTTTGGAATTTGGGAAAGGTTCTTAGAGAAGAGTGACATTTGAGCTGTTGTAAAGGATAAGCAGTCAGAAGGATAGGCATGGAAGTGGAATGGGATAGGAGGGAGATTTCATGGCAGAGGACGTAAGCTGTAGATGGAATGAGGATAAATAGGATGAATTGGGGAAAGGAAAAATACTTCAGAATACTTGGAGCAATGGGTACATAAGACAGTAGGGGAGAAAGGCTGGCAAAGTAGGGAGAGGCCAGATCACAATGGGTGTTGTGAGTGCCAAAGAAGAGTTTGAACTTTATCCTGAAAGCTGTGGAACATTTTTCAAACTTCTTTTTTTTCTTCTTTTAAGTTGTAGAGAGGGAGTCTCATCTTCTTGCTCAGGCTGGTCTCAAACTCCTGGGCTCAAGCCGTCTTCCCAAAGTGCTGGGATTACAGGCATGAGCCACTGACCTCAGCCAGTTTTCAAACTTCTAAATAGGGGAGTGATGATAGGATAGATAGAACATTCTCTTAAGAAGCTTGGCTATGAAAGTGAAGAAACAGTTAATAGAGAAGTTTTTTTTTTTGAGACAGAGCCTCTCTCTGTCACTCAGGCTGGAGTGCAGTGGCTCGATCTCGGACTTCCACTCCAGGGTTCAAGCAATTTTCTGCCTTAGCCTCCCGAGTAGCTGGGATTACAGGCGCCCACCACCACGCCCGGCTAATTTTTTTATTTTTTTAGTAGAGACAGGGTTTCACCGTCTTGGCCAGGCTGGTCTTGAATTCGTGACCTCATGATCCACCCGCCTTGGCCTCTCAAAGTGCTGGGATGACAGGCGTGAGTCACGGTGCGCAGCTTTTTTTTTTTTTTTTTTTTTTGAGACAAAGTCTTGCTCTTTCACCTAGGCTGGAGTGCAGTGGCACAATCTCGGCTCACTGCAACCTCTGCCTCCCAGGTTCAAGCGATTCTCCTGCCTCAGCCTCCCGAGTACCTGGGACTACAGGTGTGTGCCACCACGCCTGGCTACTTTTTTTGTATTTTTAGTAGAGACGGGGTTTCTCCGTGTTAGCCAGAATGGTCTCGATCTCCTGACCTCATGATCCACCCACCTCGGCCTCTCAAAGTGCTGGCATTACAGGTGTGAGCCACCATGCCCGGCCGAGAAGTTTTTTAGCATGGAAGACTTGAGCATGATTTTATGGTGAGGGAGAGAACACATTCCAGCATTTTCTCACAGCCACAGAATTACAGTGGTGAATTTTTAGGCCAATCCCATACCTATTTGCTTCTGTGCCCACATAAAATGCATAATATGTACTACAAATATATAAATATATTGCAGATAAACCCACCTCAGTCTTATTCGTTACATAGCAATTTATAGATTAGTTGAAAATAGTACTTTGTTCATTAGATTCTTAGCATTGTATATTCAGAAGATTTCATATTGACAGGTCCATTTAAGGTCCTCTGTACCACTATCTGGAATTTTACGGACAAAAATGTTAATACTTTTCAAACATCTGTTCCAAAAACAGTATTCCAAAAATATGTATTCCAGGCCAGGCATGGTGGCTCACGCCTGTAATCCCAGCACTTTGGGAGGCCGTTCGAAACCAGCCTGGCCAACATGGTGAAACCCTGTCTCTACTAAAAATATAAAAATTAGCCGGGTGTGGTGGCGGGCACCTGTAATCCCAGCTACTTGGGAGGCGGAGGCAGGAGAATCACTTGAACCCTTGAGGCGGAGGTTGCAGTGAGCCATGATTGCGGCACTGTACTCCAGTCTGAGTGACACAGCAAGACTCTGTCTAAAAAAAAAAAAAAAAAAGTATTCCTATGGGTATAGGAAAAAGACTAAAATAAAGTGCTATCAAATGTTTTAATTTGGGCCGGGCATGGTGGCCCATGCCTGTAATCCCAGCACTTTGGGAAGCCGAAGCAGGTGGATCATTTGAGGTCAGGAGTTCAAGACCAGCCTGGGTAAAATGGGGAAACTCCATATCTACTAAAAATACAAAAATTAGCGGGGTGTGGTGGCGCAGGCCTGTAATCCTGGCTACTCAGGAGGCTGAGGCAGGAGAATTGCTTGAACCTGGGAGGCGGAGGTTGCAGTGAACAGAGATTACGCCACTACATTCCAGCCTGGGTGACAGAGGAGACTCCATCTCAAAAAAAAAAAAAGTCTTTTATTTGTTTTACGTGGGTCTTGGGATTATAGTGTTTTCTTCTTTGTGCTCTTCTGTGTTCTTCCAAATGTTTTACACAGAATTTGTGTTACTTTTGTAGTCAAAAAAAGTATTCTTTAATTTTCTAATTTTCAAAATGATTGTTTTTTCTTCCCTGTTAGGTATTAATATAGTAGGGAAATAACACTCAAAACAAGTCAGGAGGCCAGGTGCAGTGGTTCATGCCTGAAATCCTAGAACTTTGGGAGGCTAAGGCAAGAAGATTGCTTGTACCTAGGAGCAGGAGGCGGAGGTTGCGGTAAGGCCACATCATGCCAGTGCACTCCATCCTGGGCAACAAGCCAGACGCTGTCTCAACAAAAAATTTAAAAAGTCAGTAAATTTCTGCCGGGTGCGGTGGCTCACACCTGTAATCCCAGCACTTTAGGAGGCCAAGGTGGGCGGATCATGAGGTCAGGAGATTGAGACCACCTTGGCTAACACGGTGAAACCCCGTCTCTACTAAAAGTGAAAAAAACTAGCCGGGCGTGGTGGCACGTGCCTATAGTCCCAGCTACTCGGGAGGCTGGGGCAGGAGAATCGCTTGAACACAGGAGGTGGAGGTTCCAGTGAGCTGAGATCGTGCCGCTGCACTCCAGCCTGGGCGACAGAGTGAGACTCCGTCTGAAAAAAGAAAAAAAAAAAAAAGGCAGTAAATTTCCAGTGTTTTTTCTTTGAGATGGGGTCTCACTCTGTTGCCCAGGCTGGAGTGCAGTGGCAAGATCTGAGCTCACTGCAACCTCTGCCTCCTTGGTTCAAGTGATCCTCCCACCTCAGCCTCCCAAGTAGCTGGAACTACAGGCACATAGCACCACATTTTTTTTTTTTTTTTTTTTGAGACGGAGTCTCGCTCTGTGGTCAGACTGAAGTATGGTGGCACTATCTCTGCTCACTGCAACCTCTGCCTCCTGCGTTCAAGCGATTCTCCTGCCTCAGCCTCCTGAGTAGCTGGGATTACAGGTGTGCACTACCACCATGCCCTGCTAATTTTTGTATTTTTAGTAGATACGAGGTTTCACCCTGTTGGTCAGGCTGCTCTCGAACTCCTGACCTCGTGATCCACCTGCCTCAGCCTTCCAAAGTGCTGGGATTACAGGTGTGAGCCACCATGCTCAGCCACCTTTTTTTTTTTTTTTTTTTTTAAGATGGAGTCTCACTCTGTAGCCCAGGCTAGAGTGCAGTGGCACGATCTCAGCTCACTGCAACCTCTGCCTCCGGAGTCCCGGTTGGTTCAAGCAGTTCTCCTGCCTCAGCCTCCCAAGTAGCTAGGATTACAGGCACGCATCACCATGCCCAACTAATTTTTGTATTTTTAGTAGAGATGGGGTTTCACCATGTTGGCCAGGCTGGTCTTGAACTCCTGACCTCGTGATCCGTCCGCCTCGGCCTCCCAAAGTGTTGGGATTATAGGCGTGAGCCATCACACTGGGCCTTGTTTTTCTTTTTGTTTTTGTTTTAATTTTTGGTAGAGACGGGGTTTCACCATGTTGCCCAGGCTGGTCTCAAACTCCTGCACTCACGCAATCTGCCTGTCTGGGCCTCCCAAAATGTTGGGATTACAGGCATAAGCCACTGCACCCAGCCAGCTTTCATTCTTACCAATCTATAAGTCATGCAACATAAACTCTACATCATCTCCTCCATTGGGTTGCTTTGAAGTGAAGTACACCTTCGATAGTACAATGAAGTCTTGTGATATATAAAGTACAAAGTTGTGTTTACCGGGTAGACAAGTTAATAATTCATAGACCAGCTTTCCTGGTTGGGGAAGAGTATAATTTAAAGTTGCTGTAAAATAGTAATTTTAACAAACGTATCTACTTATGAGGTTTAGTAGATCATTTCTTTTAGTTAATGAGATTGTTTTTCATGCATATTACTTTTCATTTAGGTAGTCAAACCACACACTCCATTAATAAGGTTTCCTGACAGAAGAGACAATCCTAAACCCAATGGTGAGTTGTATTTTATTTAAATTTCTTTTAAAATTGTGTACATGAATATTTATAAATGAGTATTTTATTATAGGCAATATTTCTCATTTTAAAATCAGTTAAGACTATTGTAGCTTAGATCAAAATAGTGCCTTATGTAGCATGCAAGTAGAAATTAACTTATGGCTGGGAGCGGTGGCTCACGCCTGTCATCCCAGCACTTTGGGAGGCCGAGGCACGCGGATCACCTGAGGTCAGGAGTTCAAGACCAGCCTGGCCAACATGGTGAAACCCTGTCTCTACTAAAAAATACAAAAAATTAGCCAGGCGTGGTGGCGGGCTCCTATAGTCCCAGCTACTCGGGAGGCTGAGGCATAGAATTGCTTGAACCCACGAGGCGGAGGTTGCAGTGAGCTAAGATCATGCCACTGCACTCCAGCCTGGGTGACAGGGCAAGACTTTGTCTCAAAAAAAAAAAAAATTATTACCTCTATTTTATTTTATTTTTTGAGACAGGGTCTTGCTCTGTCGCCCAGGCTGGAGTGCAGTGGTGCTATCTTGGCACACTGCAGTCTCCCCCTCCCGGGTTAAAGCAATTCTCGTGCTTCAGCATCCTTAGTAGCTGGGATTACAGGCATACACTAGCACGCCTGGCTAATTTTTGTATTTTTAGTAGAGACAGGGTTTCACCATGTTGCCTAGGCTGGTCTCGACTCCTGATCTCAGGTGATCTGCCTGCCTCCGCCTCCCAAAGTGCTGGGATTACAGGCATGAGCCACTCACCTGGCCTTTATTACCCCTATTTTAAAAGGTAGTGACTCAACAGAAGATGTCTCTGAATTTCTAGTGAGTTTATATGGGCAAAATTTTGTCCTACCTTTATTCTCTCCTATCCTTTAGAAGATTCTCCCATGCTTACATTTGCAGAGACTGGGAAAATAATAACCATTCCTGTTTCTCTCCTCACCAACCATCTTTTCTTTCATTCATTCATTTATCTATTCATCTAGTCAGTAAATATTTTTTGGATTGCCTTAATCCTTAGCATTTATTCAAAATTAATGGGAGAAGATTCTGAAAGGGTTCTGTTTTTCTCTGATTCCCGCCCTTTTTTAAAAAAACCAGATCCTCTGTGCCTCTCTTGATCTTTAATTCAGGCAATTTTAACACATTTTATAGGTATATTTTTAACTTATTGTAACTATTGAAGAATTAAGATGTTTAAACAAGTGTAAAGATATTGAGAAAACTACCCTCATTTACATTTACTGACTTTCTTATTCCTTATTGTAAGATATTACCTGTAAACTCCACCATGTGTTGGCCTATGAGGGGTTATGTGACATAAGCTTAAGTAGTGTAGGTTCCCCTAAAGGGTTGAATTCCACTAACTAGAAATTTCATTATTTTACATTTTTGTAATTCATTTACTTAAGACTGCCCCTTAGCTGGGTGCAGTGGCACATGCCTATAATCCTGACTACTCACAGGCTGAGGTGGGATGGCTGGCAGGATGTTTGCTTGAGCCCAGGAGTTCAAGATCAGCCTGGGCAACAAAGCAAGACCCCATCTGTAAACAATAAATGTATAAAAATTTTAAAGCTACCTCCTTATTTGTTTTTAAAAACCTTTATGAAATTATATATAGCCAACTGAGTTACTCTACAATATTTACCTTTTGGAATTATAATACTTCAAGAGTTATTTGAAGAATGACTTCATTTCAAGAATGACTTGATTATTTGATAGTATTTTAAGACTCAGTATTTTGACATCTGAACAATTTCTCTAATAAGGTCTTTTTTTTTTTTAATTTCAGTATCAGAAGCTTTGAGATCAGCAGGGCTACCATCTCACTCTTCTGTAATTTCACAACATTCTAAAGGAAGTAAATCACCAGATTTGCTGATGTATCAGGGTCCACCGGACACTGCAGAAATAATAAAAACATTACCTCAGAAATACAGAAGGAAACTTGTGTCTCAAGAAGAAATGGAATTTATCCAAGTATGTCGTTGCTCTTTATCCCAAGACTACGCAAAACACCATAACATTTGGGCTTTGGGGATTTCATTTGCTGATTTACATGCTATTCCTATTGTCTTGTCAGAGTGTGGTCAGAGCTAAGACAGGATGGTCAGGTAGGCCAAGACTATGAGAAAGAAACCATAGTCAAATCCCTCTGTAAATATGCATGATATATCAATATCAATAGATATAATCACATAAAAAACAGCTCTTTGGGGTCCTGAATAATTTTTCAGAGTGTAAAGAGCTTCTGATACCAAGAAATTTAAGGACAGGTCAACCTTGAGTCCCTTCCAGGTCTGAAATTATAAGAATTGATAAGAGGGCTGGGCATGGTGGCTCATGCCTGTAATCCCAGCACTTTGGGAGGCCAAGGCAGGTGGGTCACCTGAGGTCAGGACTTGGAAACCAGCCTGGCCAATGTGGTGAAACCTCGTCTCTACTGAAAATACAAAAATTAGCTGGGTGTGGTGGTGGGTACCTGTAATCCCAGCTACTCGGGAGGCTGAGGCAGGAGAATCTCTTGAACCCGGGAGGCGGAGGTTGCAGTGAGCCAAGGTCACGCCACTGCACTCTAGCTTGGGCAAGAGTGAAACTCCGGAAACTCCATCTCAAAAAAAAAAAAAAAAAAAAAAAAGAATTGATATGAGTACCCAAAAGTTTTGACTAATTCAAAACTATTTTTTAAAAACCAAAGATTACTTACTGAAGATTGTATAAATTTGTAAAATTGCCATCAAAACATTTCCTGAGTCAATTTAACATCTAATCTTACTGCTTTATTTTTTCCTTTTCAGCGTGGAGGTCCTGAATAACCATGGTGGCTGCTGTTTGTCATCAGACAATAGAATTGTCTTTACAATAAAGGACTTCCAAAATGACAGATGAGAAACTGTATATTAAACACCTTTAATAAATATTATGAAAAAAATGAAATATAGAAAATTTAGATGGACACTTGTATTTCCTAATTTATGTATCTTGGTCAGCTTCTCCACAAGCTTACCTAATTGTTTATATACTTTATACTTATTAAAGTATACATTTTTAAATGTTAGCCTATTAATTTACTCTTGATTATCAAACATTACCAGTGTTGAACTATTAAAAGCACACAATGTGTAGTAAACTATCATAGGATTCCCATAATTTCACTTTACTTTCTGTTTAGGCATGGAAAAATTTATCAGTCAGAATTGCTGTTTTAGGGACATGATTTTCCTGAAATTGGGTGAGGATCAGTGAAATAATTACTCTATTACTTGTTCTTAATTCTCTGTTCTCTAATGTTTTTTCATTCACAAGTTTACTGGAGTATAACTGGCTTAGTAAGTATATCCTACTCTGAATGATAAAAATATAGTCAAGCTAAAATAGGTGACTATACTATTAAGATAGAGATCATACAAAAGATTCCAAAGAAAGTCAAAAAGTGTAAAATGGAAAATAAGAGATCAAAATGAATATAGCATAGGAATAAAGATTTCACTAGAAATTGCAATTTATTATGTTTTGGAGGTTGTAAGGAAGTCTTGTTTTTTGGTTTATTTTACTGTTTTGTGATCTTGTATGCAAATCCTGATAACCATTAACCTTCTCAAACTTAATGTCTGAGAGCCTCATAAAATCAACATATTTACTTATTAAGCAGTTTATGAAACTTTAATGGGGCCCCTCCTGTGCCAAGGGTACGTAT
The DNA here is from genome assembly GCF_000001405.40 of Homo sapiens. Classification (NCBI taxonomy): domain Eukaryota; kingdom Metazoa; phylum Chordata; class Mammalia; order Primates; family Hominidae; genus Homo; species Homo sapiens. Next base: position 13,287 of record NW_003315917.2, read on the forward strand.
ATTGTGAAGTAAAGCCTCACAAAGCTAAATAAATTCTCTTCCATACCTTTAATGATTTCTAGAATATGCTTTAAAGAAGTCCTCCCTGAGAGTTAAGGGTAGGTCATGAGCAAGAAATAGAATTGGCTTTGAGTATGCTTCTGTATTTACTCAGTTGACTGTGGGTTAATTTTTACTTATTTCTACTACTCCACAGAGTTGATCTACTTCTCTTATAAATTTTTTGCTGTGGCCTAGTGTAAATGTTGTTCAGCACAAATATGAGAGTTTGATGCTGGCAATAAGCTGTTCAGGTGACTCATTGAAAAACATGATTCAGGCCAGGTGCAGTGGCTCATGCTTTGTTAATACCAGCACTTTGGGGAGCCAAGGCAGGTTGATCACCTGAGGTCAGGAGTTCAAGACCAGCCTGGCCGGCAGGTGAAACCCCGCCTCTACTAAAAATACAAAAATTAGCCAGGCAATGTGACACACACCTATAATCTCAGCTACAGGGAAGCTGAGGCCAGAGAATCACTTGAACCCAGGAGGCAGAGGTTGCAGTGAGCCAACATTGTGCCACTGCATTCTAGCCTGGTCAACGGAGTGAGACTCCATCCAAAAAAAAAGAAAAACATAATTCATTTCTTTTTTTTATTATTTAAAAATTTATTGCCAGGCACAGTGGCTCACGCCTGTAATCCCAGCACTTTGGGAGGCCAAGGCAGGTGGACCACCTGATGTCAGGAGTTCAAGACCAGCCTGGCCAACATGGTGAAACCCCATCTCTACTAAAAATACAAAAATTAGCTGGGCATGGTGGCAGGCGCCTGTAATCCCAGCTACTCAGGAGGCTGAGGCAGGAGAATTGCTTGAACCCAGGAAGTGGAGGTTGCAGTGAGTGGAGGTCACACCACTGCACTCCAGCCTAGGCGACAGAGCAAGACTCTGTCTAAAAAAAAAACAATTATTTGGGAAAATTACTTTAGCAAAAGAAAGCCCAGGGCCAGGCCGGGTGTGGTGGCTTATGTCTGTAATCCCAGCACTTTGGGAGGCCGAGGCGGGCAGATCACCTGAGATCAGGAGTTCAAGACCAGCCTAGCCAACATGGTGAAACCCCATCTCTACTAAAAATACAAAAAATCAGCTGGGCGTGGTGGCGGGCGCATGTAATCCCAGCTACTCAGGAGGCTGAGGCAGGAGAATTGCTTGAACCTGGGAGCCAGAGGTTGCGGTGAGCTGAGATTGCACCATTGCACTCCAGCCTTTCCAGCCTGGACAATAAGAGAAAAACTCCGTCTCAAAAAAAAAAGCCCAGGACCATTATTTTGCTTTCAGAAATACATTCGGATTCAGGTAGTGAAGAGTGGTATGAGTAATACTGTGAGCCAACAGTTAGAAATCCTAATACCGAACTGTGGATGTATATCTGAGGGCAATCTTTACTACAGCTGCTGCCGTGAAAGTCAGAATGAAGAAAATCTGTCACTGTTACAGAATTTGTGAGTATAGGTATGGCAAAAGGTACGCCAGTGGGAATTGCTGTCACAGGATGAGCTCCCAAGGAGAGTATTATAGACTTCTGGTGAGGCTTACAGTTAAATAGCCTGTATTTTCATTTAGAGGTTAGGCACTTAAATATATGTAATCAGCAAATTGCTTAATTTGTCCAAGTTTCCGTTTTTCTTTCCAGTACTACACAGTGGGATAGTCAGGATCAAATTAGTGTATTATCTATTACTTTGTAACAAATGACCCCAAAATTAAGTGGCTAAACTCTTAATTTCTCTGGTTTCTCTGGGTCAGGAATTCAGAAGCAGCTTCACTGGGCAGTTTTGATTTAGTGCCTAATGCGGTTGCAATTAGAAGCCACTGAGGCTACAGTCATCTGAAGGCTTGGCTGAGGCTGGCTGATCCACCTCCAAGATGGCTCACTCACAGAGCTGACAAGCCGATGCTGGCTGTTGGCAAGAGGCCTTAGTTTCTCTCCACATGGTTGCCTGAGTGAATTCATGACATGGCTGGCTTTCACCAGAGCAAATAATCCAAGCATGCCAGTCAACAGCATCCTTTTATGTTCTAGCCTCATAAATCACACTTCAGCCATATTCTATTGGTCACACAGAACAACCTGTTTCATTGTGGGAGAAGACCACACAACAGGATTAATACCGGAAGGCAAGGATCATCATGGCCATCTTACAAGCTGGCTAATACAGATGCATGGAAGTGCTTTAAACTGAAAAATGCTTTGCAAATGTGTAATGCTATTTTCTTTTTTTTTCTTTTGGTTCAAAGTGCTCAAATGATATTTTATATATACAGTATCTCACTGTCTCAGAATATCATCTAAACGCTGTCTTCATTATCCTATTTTAAATGTCCCAGAATGGGAATTTACTTGTCAGCAGCACGCTGTAATACACTGATTATCAACTCATACGCCATGGCACACTTGGGGACCTCAAGTCTCACAACGGCATCATCAGATTTAGCTCACTAGCTTCTCTCTCTCTCTTTTCTTCCTTTCTTCCCTTCTTTCTTTCTTTTGACGGAGTTTTCACTCTTGTTGCCCAGGCTGGAGTCCAATGGTGCTATCTCTGCTCACTGCAACCTCCGCCTCGCGGGTTCAAGTGATTCTTCTGCCTCAGCCTCCCTAGTAGCTGGGATTACAGGTGCCTGCCACCACACCCAACTAATTTTTGTATTTTTAGTGGAGATGGGGTTTCACCATGTTGGCCAGGCTGGTTTGGAACTCCTGACTTAAGGTGATCCACCTGCCTCGGCATCCCAAAGTGCTGGATTACAGGTGTGAGCCACTGCACCTGCCGCTCACTAGCTTATTTCTACAAGTGAGGTTAAATTATTATTTCAATGATACCTGTCAGAAGAAACTATGACAACAGCATCACTAGGTATGACTTGCCTCAAGAGAGATGGTGTCTTTTCTGCAATGTGTGAGTTTTGCCTAGACCCAAGTAATGACAAGGGACTGAAAGATAATGGCTAACATATAGTAAACACTTAACTGTCAAACATTATTCTAAGGGCTTTGCAGGTGTGAGGTCATTTAAGCCTTGGAACAATCCTTTGAGTAGATCCTATTAGGGATGAAGAAACTGGAAACAAAGTAAGTAATTTGCCCTAGTTGTATCTAGTGGCTGAATACTGATAGGGCCACTATTCAAATGCAAGCAGTCTGATTCCAGAGTTAAAAAAAATAACTAAATTATTGGCCTTGGTATTTTGCTACTTTCTTCAACATATCTCTGAAACTTAGGATTTTCAACTCTTAGAAATAACAAATATAGGCTGGGCGCAGTGGCTTACACTTACAAATACCAGCACTTTGGGAGGCCGAGGAGGGTGGATCACCTGAGGTCAGGAGATTGAGACCAGCCTGGCCAACAAGGTGAAACCCCGTCTCTACTAAAAATACAAAAATTAGCTGGGTGTGGTGGAGCAGGCCAGTAATCCCAGCTAATCGGGAAGCTGAGGCAGGAGAATCGCTTGAACCCAGGAGGCAGAGGTTGCAGTGAGCTCAGATCGGGCCAGCGTACTCCAGCCTGAGCAACAGAGTGAGACTGTCTCAAAAACAAACAAACAAACAAAGGCAGGGGGAGGGGGGCACATTTCCATGTTGACAGCTGCTCTGGCTCAGAAACTTTTAATTATCCACTAGTAGAGCCATCTGGATTACTGCAATAGTTCTCTAATAGGCCTTCTTTCTTTTTCTTGTCCCTCAAAATCTATAATATAGTCTCCCAACAGCAAGAGTGAACCTTTTAAAAGTGAGTCAGGTCATATCACTTGTCTGCTCCAATCCCTCCAGTGGGTTTTCAGTGATGACTTTCTTGTACCACCCTATTTAAAACCTCCATCCCTGCCCCTGCCCTGATTTGTTATCCTTTATCTGCTTTATTATCTCTATAGCACTTATCACCTATGTATCATAACACATATTTGACTTGTTTTTTTATCTCCTCCCATTGGAAGGCAGGGATCTTTGCTCCCTGCTATCTCAGATTCTACAATGGTGCTTGGCACATAGATAACACTCAATATCAGCATCCTAAGAGAGAGAAAAATGAAAAAGGAAAAGCACTCAATATGTTTTTGAATAAATGAATTAGTGTGTTTGTTATGACAATTTATGATAATCAAGGGGTTGGGTACTCATTACTGCTAAGTTAATTGAGCACTGTCTCAATTAATTGAGTTAATGTCTAAGCTTTCTGCATGTTTCATTTAATACCCACAATCTCCTGTGATGTAGTTCATTATTTTTTCCATTTTACCGAGTAGAAAACTGAGGACTAGAAGCTGATTCCCACAGCACGTTTCAGTTGAGTTGGATTTTGTTTTCCTGGGCCTGCTTCTTCATAAAGGGACTGGACTAAGAATACTCTTGACCAGCCCGTAAGAACTTGGCACTCGTCTCAGTAATCTGAGATAGCAGGGTTTGGCGTCCATAGCAACCACGGCGACAGGACGCGCTCGAGCAAGAACCAAAAAGCGAGAACAGGTACAAGGCCAAACTTTCTACATTCACAGACACCTACCAAACCCCGAACATGGAACACCAAATTAGAACGCTGACCAGTTCCTGGTAATGTAGAAAACACCCAAGTTAAAACGGCAACAGAGTGACACAGCAGCCATTGAAGATGCCCCACTTCAGGCACCGACAGGCGTCACGTGACGGGTGGGGAACGCCAACCGCCTGGGCCTAGCGCAGCTTCCTCCGCCCACCACGGAAGTGAGGCGGGGATACTAAAGCGACGGAGCCCAGTGGACGGAAGTGGGTGTTGGAGGCTTTAAGGTAGCTTTAAATTCGTGTTGTCCTGGGAGCTCGCCCTTTTCGGCTGGAGTCGGGCTTTACGGCGCCGGATGGCTCTGGACGTGAAGTCTCGGGCAAAGCGTTATGAGAAGCTGGACTTCCTTGGGGAGGGACAGGTGAGGCTCTCTGGAAGGACGGGGAGGGCCCCAAGCGGACAGCCCCGCGCCGCCTCCACCTTTGCGGGTTTTCCCGTGGAGGCCAGAGGTCTGGCTTGGCTGCTCGTTCTCGTTGGGGGAAACCGTCCAGACGCACTTGCTGCCCATTCTTTACATCCTGGGGGTGAATCCCTGAGGGGCCTCTCCTTGCTGAAGAGTAGCCTGGAGCTGGACGGAGACTGACCCGCCACGTTTCCAGCCGCCGCGAGTCTGCTCAGAAACTCTGGGCTCTTTGCTTCGCGAAATGTAAAAATGCAAAAAGGCAAACACAAAAACTCCCATAAACTTATGTTATTTCTATTTTTCTTTCTAGTTTGCCACCGTTTACAAGGCCAGAGATAAGAACACCAACCAAATTGTCGCCATTAAGAAAGTGAGTTACCTTTTTATGTTGTTTTTAAGTCTCCTTGAAGATGTCTGTATTATTAATTGACTGATAGCCATTTTATTAGTCTTGACCATACTCTGATAATGAGTTACTCATGTCATTTTCAGAGACAAAATAATTAATTAGTGCTTTGTGTTCCCAAACGGAACTCTAGGGTTGAACCCGTTTTAATTTCTATTGAAATGAAGAAGAAGCTGTATGTTATTTTTACTGCATAAATTCATATGTTGTGGGCAAGTACTGCCCATCTTTTCGGTCCTCAGAACTATTGGATACCATGATCTTTCTAGGTCACTGTTTATACCTCACCTGCATCCACTCAGTGTGTCGTATCTGTATTTTCTGTGTACGGATTTACCATGAAAGACTTTCACTAGCATGAACAACATTGATGTGAGGTCTAAAATGAGTTCAGTAGCTTCTTATATTCATTCAAAAGACCTGGGTCGGATTCAGTAGCTTCTTATATTCATTCAAAAGACTTGGGTCGGGCCAGCCGCGGTGGCTCACGCCTGTAATCCCAGCACTTTGGGAGGCCGAGGTGGGCGGATCACTTGGGGTCAAGAGATCCAGACCATCCTGGCCAACATGGTGAAACCCTGTCTCTACTAAAAATACAAATATTAGCTGGGTGTGGTGGCACCTGTCTGTAATCCCAGCTACTCGGGAGGCTGAGGCAGGAGAATCACTTGAACCTGGGAGGTGGAGGTTGTAATGAGCCGAGATGGTGCCACTGTGCTCCAGCCTGGTGACAGAGGGAGACTCCATCTTAAAAAAAAAAAAAAAAGATTTGGGTCATAATTACATAACTCACGTTCACCTACATTGTTTCTTTTAACCTTCAAAACAATCTATAAAGTGGTTAAAAGTAACCCTATTTTATACTTGAGGTACCTGAGACTGAGTGACTAGGTGACTTGTCAAGATCACACAGCTAGTGATTGCTGAAGCTGGGATTTAAATCCAGGTGTCCTGATGTTGCTTTTGTTACCGTTGCTACTTTGAATCTGCTTCTCCTGCTTCAAAAACCCTAACTCCTTGGAAGTTATCCATATTTAACATTAATTCCCCCTTTTTTTGGTCATCTTCCAGCCTCCAAGTACTGTCTTGCATTCATTTAAAACCTGACTGACTACTTCTTCTCAATTATTCCTGCCATAATTTTTTTATTTTTTATTTTATTTTATTTTTTATTTTTTTTGAGACAGAATTTTGCTTGTTGCCCAGGCTGGAGTGCAATTGTGCGATTTCGGCTCACTGGAACCTCTGCCTCCCGGGTTCAAGCACTTCTCCTGTCTCAGCCTCTCCAGTAGCTGGGACTACAGGAACCTGCCACCACGCCCAGCTAATATTTGTATTTTTAGTAGAGACAGGGTTTCGCCATGTCGGCCAGGCTGGTCTCGAACTCCTGACCTCAGTTGATCCACCCACTTCGGCCTCCCAAAATGCTGGGATTACAGGTGTGAGCCACTGTGCCTGGCCTTCTTTTTTTTTTTTTTTTTTTTTTTTTTTAACTTTTTTACTTTTTTTATGTCCGTGTTTTCTGGTTTATGTTTTATGATCCACCACTACAGCCACTCCCTTTAAAACCCTTAACTCTACTGAATCTTTCTTCATCTTTCTTTCTTTTGTGGTGGCGGGGCAGGAGGAGGTCTCACTCTGTCGCCCAGGTGGAAGGGTTAGAGTGCAGTGGCACAGCCATAGCTCACTGCAGCCACCAACTCCTGGACTAAAGTAATCCTTCCACCCCAGCCTCCAAGGTAGCTGGGACTATAGACACATGCCACCAAGCCTGGCCTAGTCATCTTTTTAATTCTGTCTCTGGTTCACTATATCATAGCCACACTGACTTTTCTGTCCCTGTACAAATTAAATTTATTCCAGTCCCAGAATCACAGGATCATTGCATTTGGTCTGGCTTCTTGGTTGGTATATTTTCCGTCTAGAACATGGCATGGCTGATTCCTTATCATCCAGGCTTCACTCAAATGTCTCCTCCATAGAGGCCTTTGTTCATTCCAGCTACATGTATGCCTCCCTCCTTCCCTATGCTTTGCTATATTTCTGTCATCGATGTGGCATTTGTCGAAATTTGAAATCCTCCTATCTATGAGTTTATTGTCTGTTTAATTCCATTCACACTGTACCTAGGGCCATGGCTAGTACATTTGTAGACACTGTTAAAAATGTATTGGCCTTTCAGCTGGGCGCGGTGGCTCATGTTTGTAATACCAGCACTTTGGGAGCTCGAGGCAGGCGGATCACCTGAGGTCAGGAGTTCAAGACCAGCCTGGTCAACATGGCGAAACCCCTGTCTCTACTAAAATACAAAAATTAGCCAGGCATGGTGCCCCTGCTAGTCTCCTGGCCTCAAGTGATTGTCCTTGCCTAGGCCTCCCTAATTGCTGGGATTACACGTGTGAGTCACTATGCCTGGCCTATTTCTTGAGGTGTTTTTTCTCCCCCAGTTTTAGACGTTGTCTATACTTTCTACTATGAACATTGAGGATTTGGTGTTGTAGACCTTATTCCAACACTCATAATTTCTACTCCCGTTCATTTGCTAGGATGTGTTTAATTTTATAAAAAGGGAAGGAATCAATAAATAAGTTACTCTGTACTCATTCACCTGTTGAGTCTTGGACTTTAGAAATACTGATGTATCTCATCCTTTTAAAAAGATTATGTGGAATTTGTTTCCCAATTTATTTAACCAATCACCTATTGATGGCCTTTTGGGTTATATCTCATTTTTCAGTGTGTGTCTTAAATCTGTGTATCTCAAAACAATATATAGTATTGCATACTTTTTTTTTCCTTTTTTTTTTTTTTTGAGACAGCAACTTGCTGTGTGTTTCCCTGGCTGGAGTGTAGTGGTACAATCATAGCTCACTGAAGCCTTGACCTCCTGGTCTCAAGCATTCCATCTGCTTCAGCCTCCCAACCAGCTAGGAGTACAGGTGCATGCCACCGTGCCCCACTAAATTTGTTGTTGTTCTTGTAGAGACAGGGTCTCACTCTGTTGACTAGACTGGTCTTCAACTCCTGGGCTCAAGTGAACCTTCCACCTTAGCCTCCCAAAGTGCTGAGATTACAGGTGTGAGCCCCTGTACTCAGCCAGTATTGCATACTTTAAGCTATATATGTATATTTGGCATATTCTTCTGCAACTTGTTATTCTTTTTTTTTTATTTTATTTTTTTTTTTGAGACAAGGTCCCACTCTGTCGCACAGGCTGGAGTGCAGTGGCGTGATCTCGGCTCACTGCAACCTCCACCTCCCCAGGCTCAAGCAGTTCTCCTGCCGCAGCCTCTCAACTGCTGACCTCAACTGATCTGCCCACCTCGGCCTCCCAAAGTGCTGAGATTACAGGCTTGAGCCACCACACCCAGCCTGCAACTTGTTATTCTGAGTCAACATTATTTCCGAAATCCTCTATATCGTATGATACATGTAGATCCAGTTGATTCATGCTCGTTGATTATTAGATTCCATTATATGACTACACTGAAATTTTCTATCCAAACTCTCGTTGATAAACATTTAGGCTGCTTTTTAATGTTTTCCTTTAATACATTCCTTCTCTGGATAGTCATCTGTGAGTCATCTTGTATGCAGGTTTGAGTTTCTCTAGAGAATGTATCTATAATTGAAACAAATTATGAATTGATGCTTCAGAGTATCACAACCATCAGCTTTACCAGATATGGTCAAATTGCTCTCCAGAATGATTGGACCAGTTTACTGTCCCACCACATTCTCAACATCATTTGCATTGTCAGACTTTAAAACGTTTGTCAATTACGTAGATTGAAAATGGTATGTACTTATTGTTTCAATTAACATTTCTCTGATTACTGGTAAAGTTCATCATCTTTTCTTACACTTACTGGCTTCTTAGATTTTCTCCTGTTTTCTGTTGGATTACGTACTTTTTTTGTCCTATTGATTTATTGGACTTATTCATACTTTTTGTTTTTTTTAATAGAGACAAGGTTTCACTTTGTTGTCCAGTCTGGTGTCAAACTCCTGGCCTTAAGCAATCCTCCAGCATCGGCCTCCCAAAGAGCTGGGATTACAGGTGTGAACCACAGCAACCAGCCAGAATTCTTTTATATTCTGGATATTGATCCTTTGTCAGAAATACACATTGCATATATCATTTCCCAGTCTTTGGCAAGGCTTTTAGTTTATTTATGGTATCTTTGAGGTACTGAAAGTTAAATTTTAATATGATTGAATTTGTTAATTTTTTTGAAATCTTTAAAGGCTTCCTTTTTATGTGCTTTCCTGTTTCTGGATTACAAAGAATTCTGTACTTGTAAAATTTTTAAAATATTGATTTTAATACTTAGATCTTTATTCCATCAACAAGTTTTTCCTTTGTTGTATGATATGAGGATCCAGTATTTTTTTTTTTTTTCAATAGAGACAGGGTCTTTCTATATTGGCCAGGCTGGTCTTGAACTCCTGGCCTCAAGCCATCCTCCTGCCTCAGTCTCCCAAAGTGCTTGGATTACAGGCATGAGACACTGTGCCTGGCTAAGATTGAGTATTTTTTCTTCAGTTGTCCCAGTACTATTAATAGTCTGTCCTTTTCCCAATGAGTTGTAATGCCAAATTCCCCATACCCTTGCAATACCAAGTTCCAGTATTGGAACTTGGGTCCAATTTCTGGGCACACTATTCTGTTCCAGTGGTGGGTTTGTTTGTTTTTTTTCCCATTGCTGTTGAAATATTACAGTGACTTTAAGAAGTCTTAAAATCTGTCAACTTCCATACACCTTGTTTTTCTTCTTCAAAATCATTTTGGCTACTCTATGAGACAGTTGGGAAATGTGAATCAGGAAAATTTGAATAGGAACTAGATATTAGATGCTACTGTGGCATTATTGTTAATTTTGTTAGGTGTCAAAATGGCATGGTTATGTAAGAATGTCTGTATTTTAGAGATGCTTACTTAAGTACGTTGGAGTGAAATGACATGAAGTCTGGGGTTTTAAAATATTTTAGGCAACAAAAAGGAGAGGTTGGATGAATGAAGTAAGTGTGGCAAAATATTGGTCACTGTTGAATCTGGGTGATGGAGTAGAGGGCTTTATGAAATTACTCTATTTTTTATTATGTGGGAAAATGTTAAGAATTTTAAAATCAACTGTTCTTAGCTCCTTCCTTTTTTGAGACGGAGTCTCCCTCTGTCGCCAGGCTGGAGTGCAATGGCGCGATCTCGGCTCACTGCAACCCCCGCCTCCCAGGTTCAAGCAGTTCTCCTGCCTCAGCCTCCCGAGTAGCTGGGATTACAGACACATGCCACCACACCCAGCTAATTTTTTGTATTTTTAGTAGAGACGGGGTTTCCATGTTGACCAGGATGGTCTCTATCTCCTGACCTCAAGTGATCTGCCTGCCTTGGCCTCCCAAAGTGCTGGGATTACAGGTGTGAGCCACCGCACCTGGCCTCTTTTATTTTTGAATGGTACTCTTTGTGTATATGCACCACATTTTCTTTATTCATTCATTTGTTGACAGACGCATAGATTGCCTCCAAATCTTGGCTATTCTGAATAGTGCTGCAATAAACATGGGAGTTCAGATATCTCTTGGACATACAGATTCTGTTGGCATATATACATAGCAATGGAATTGCTAGATCAAATGATAGTTCTATTTTTAGTTTTTTGAGGAACCTCCAAACTGTCCTCCATAGTGGTTGTACTAATTTACATTCCCACCAACAGTGTACCTAGGGTTCCCTTTTCTCCACATCCCTCACCAGGATTCATCCTTATCTTTTGGATAAAAGCCATTTAAACTTAGGTGAGATGCTCTCTCATTGTAGGTTTTTTCTTTTTTTTTTTTTTTTTTTTTTTGAGACGGAGTCTTGCTCTGTCACCCAGGCTGGAGTGCAGTGGCGCAATCTCGGTTTACTGCAACCTCCGCCTCCTGGGTTCAAGCAATTCTCCTGCCTCAGCCTCCTGAGTAGCTGGGATTACAGGTGCACACTGCATCACCACACCCGGCTAATTTTTGTATTTTTAGTAGAGACGTGGTTTCACCTTGTTGGCCAGGCTGGTCTCGAACTCCTGACCACGTGATCCGCCTGCCTCAGCCTCCCAAAGTGCTGGGATTACAGACATGAGCCAACGGGCCCGGCCCTCATTGTAGTTTTCATTTGCATTTTTCTGATGCTCAGTGATGTTGGCACCTTTTCTTATGCTGTCTGCCATTTGTATGTCTTCTTTTGAGAAATACCTACTCAGATCTTTCGCCCATTTTTAAATTGGATTATTAGATTTTTTTCATATAGAGTTGTTTGAGCTTCTTATATATTCTGGATATTAATCTCTTATCAGATGGATAGTTTGCAAATATTTTCTCTCATTCTGTGGGTTTTCTCTTCACTGTGTTGTTTCCTTTGCTCTGCAGAAGCATCTTAACTTGATGTGATCCCATTTGTCCATTTTTGCATTGGTTGCCTGTGCTTGTGGGGTATTACTCTAGAACTCTACCCAGTCCAATGTTCTGGAGAGGTTTTCCACTGTTTTCTTTTAGTAGTTTCATAGTTTGAAGTCTTCAACTTAAGTCTTTAATCCATTTTGATTTGATTTTTGTATATGATGAGAGATATGGGTCTAGTTTCATTCTTCTGTATATGGATATCCAATTTTCCCAGCACCACTTATTTATTTTGTTTGCAACAAAGAAAGAGTTTAATTGTCACAGGGCCAACCAAGTGAGGAAGACAGTAGATAATTCTCAAATCTGCCTCCCTGAGAATTCGGGGGCTAGGGTTTTTCAAGGATAGTTTGGTAGGCAGTGGGCTAAGGAATGGGGAATGCTGATTGGTTGGGTCTTGGATAAAATTGTAGAGAGTTGAAACTGTCTTCTTGCCCTGACTCAGTTCCTAAGTAGTGGTCACAGAACCAGTTGAGTCAGTTTCTTCATATGGGCTCCTGGTCCAAGTGGCACCAGTTGGTCCATCAAAATGCAAGGTCTGAAAGATACCCCAACCACCAGTTTTACGTTTTACAATAGTGATGTTATCTATAGGAGCAATTGTGGAGGTTGCAAAATTCTTGTTACTTTTGGCTACATAACTCCTAAACAATAATTCTAACCTCGTGTAATTTTACAAAGATGCTTTTAGTCTCTGAGCAAGGAGTGGGTTAATTTTGGGAAAGGACTGTTAATCATCTTTGTTTTAAAGCTAAACTTTAAACTGAATTTCTCCCATAGTTAGCATTGCCAACACTCAGGAATGAGCAAAGAGCTTGTGAGATTAAAAGCAAAGATAGGGCCAGGCGCAGTGGCTCATGTCTGTAATCCCAGCACTTTGGGAGGCGGAGGCAGGCGGATCACCTGAGGTTGGGAGTTTGAGACCAGCCTGACCAACATGGGGAAACCCTGTCTCTACTAAAAATACAAAATTATCCGGGCGTGGTGGTGCATGCCTGTAATTCCAGCTACTCTGCAGGCTGAGGCAGGAGAATTGCTTGAACCCAGGAGGTGGAGGTTGCAGTAAGCTGAGATTGCACCTTTGCACTCCAGCCTGGGCAACAAGAGCAAAAACTGTGTCTCAAAAAAAAAGCAAAGATGGAGTCAGCTATATCACGTTTTACTCACTGTTGTAATTTTTGCAAAGGTGGTTTCAAAAATATGCCTTTTTGGCATGTTGATTGTTGTGAGCTGGTTATCCTGAGAAACTGCAGATACAGGAGTAGTTCTGAAAAGTTGCCCTTTTTTAAGGGAAGTGTACGTTTGTAAAGGAGTATCTCTTTGACAGGGTGTCTCCCTCTCTGCACCAGGAAGAGAAGAAAGACTAGAAAGACTAAATCTCTAGAGACTGTCAATGCAGAAGGCATCAACTTAAGTCTGTACAGCAAACCTAACCTCTGCTTAAGGCACAGCACCATTTATTGAAGAAACTGTCTTTTCCTCATTGTATGTTATTGGCACCATTGTTGAAAATGAGTTTGCTGTAGATGTATGGATTTTTTTCTGGGTTCTCTATTCTGTTCCATTGGTCTGTGTGTCTGTTTTTATGCCAATATCATGCTGTTTTGGTTATTATAGCTTTGTTGTATGAAGTCGGGTAATGTGATTCCTCCCTTTTGTTCTTTTTTCTTAGGATAGCTTTGGCTATTCTGGGTCTTTGTGGTTCTACACAAATTTTAGGATTGTTTTTCCTATTTCCATGACGAATGTCATTGGTATATTGATAGAGATTACATTGAATCTATAGATTGCTTTAGGTTGTATGGACATTTTAACAATATTGATTCTTCCAATCCATGAATATGAATTATCTTTCCATTTTTTTGGTGTGTTGTCTTCAATTTCTTTCACCAATGATAGTTGTTTTTTTTTTTTTTTTTTTTTTTTGAGATGGAGTCTCGCACTGTTGCCTGGGCTGGAGTTCAATGGTGCAATCTCAGCTCACTGCAACCTGTGCCTCCCGGGTTTGCGCCATTCTCCTGCCTCAGCTTCCTGAGTACCTGGGATTACAGGCGCATACCACCACAGCTGGCTAATTTTTTGTATTTTTAGTAGAGACGGGGTTTCACTATGTTGGCCAGACTAGTCTTGAACTCCTGACCTCGTGATCCGCCTGCCTTGGCCTCCCAAAATGCGGGGATTACAGGCGTGAGCCACCATACCCGTTCAGTAGTTTTTATTTTAGAGATCTTTCACTTAATTTGGTTAATTCCTAGATATTTAATTTTATTTGTAGCTGTTGTGAATGGGATTACTTTCTTGATTTCTTTTTCAGATTGTTCACTGTGGGCATATAGCAGGGCTACTGATTTTTGTATGTTGATTTTTGTATCCTGCAACTTTTGTGAATTATCAGTTCTAGTCGTTTTTTGGTGGAGTCTTTAGGTTTTCCCAAATATAAGATCATATTGTCACCAGGTGTGGTGGCTCATGCCTGTAATACCAGCACTTTAGGAGGCCGAGGTGGGCGGATCACCTGACCAACATGGAGAAACCTCGTCTCTACTAAAAGTACAAAAAAAATTAGCCAGGCATGATGGCGCATGCCTGTAATCCCAGCTACTTGGGAGGCTGAGGAGGGAGAATTGCTTGAACCTGGGCGGTGGAGGTTGTGGTGAGCCAAGATCACACCATTGCACTCCAGCCTGGGCAACAAGAGCAAAACTCCGTCTCAAAAAAAAAAAAAAAAAAAAAGATCATATCGTCTACAAACAAGAAGAATTTCACTTCTTTGCTTGCTCTTGCTAGGACTTCCAGTACTATATTGAATAACAGTGGTGAAAGTGGGCATTCTTGGTGTGTTCAAGCTCTTAAAGGAAATCAGTTTTTCCCCATTCTGTATACTGACCATGGGTCTGTAGTATATGGCTTTTATTATGTTGAGATATGTTCTTCTATACCCAGTTTTTTAAGAGTTTTTATCATGAAGGGATGTTAGATTTTATCAAATGCTTTTTCAGCATCAATTGAAATGATTATATAGTTTCTGTCCTTCATTTGTTGATATTACATATCACGTTGATTGATTATAGCATATGTTGAACCATCCTTGCATCCCCAGGATAAATCCCACTTGGTCATGATGATCTTTTTACGTATTGTTGAATTCAGTTTGCTAGTATTTTTTGAGGATTTTTACATGAATGTACATCAGGATATTGGCCTGTAGTTTTCTTACTTTGATGTGTCTTTGTCTGATTTTGGTATCAGGGTAATACTGGCCCCATAGAATGAGTTTGGAAGTATTTACTTCTCTGTTTTTTTGGAATAGTTTGAGTAGTATTGGTATTAGCCCCCTCCCCTCCCCCGTCCTCCCTCCTTTTCCCCTCCCTTCCCCCTCCCCTTCCCCCTCCCCTTCCCCTCCCTTACCCTACCCTCTTATTTTTTTAATTTTTTTTTTCTCGCTCTATCGCCTACCCAGGCCCTGGAGTGCAGTGGCGTCATCTCAGCTCATTGCAACCTCCACCTCCTGGGTTCAAGTATTCTCCTGCCTCAGCCTCCCAAGTAGCTGGGATTACAGGCATGCACCACCACGCCTGGCTACTTTTTATATTTTTAGTAGCGATGGGGTTTCACTATATTGCCCAGGCTGGTCTCGAACTCCTGACCTCAAGTGATCGGCCTGCCTCAGCCTCCTAAAGTGCTGGGATAGCCACTGTGCCCAGCCTAGCCCTTCTTCAAATGTTTGGTAAAATTCAGCATTGAAGCCATCAGGTCTTGGGCTTTTTGCTGGGAGATTTTTTATTATGGCATCAATCTCATTACTTGTTACTGGCCTGTTTAGGTTTTCAGTTTTTTCATGGTTCAATCTTGGTAGGTTGTTTGTGTCTAGGAATGTATCTGTTTCTTCTAGGTTTTCCAGTTTCTTGGCGTATAGTTACTCATAGTAGCCACTAATTATCCTTTGGATTTCTGCGGTATTGGTTGTAGTGTCCCCTTTTTTCACATCTGTTTTTATTTATTTGCATCTTCTCTCCTTTTCTTTTAGTCTAAAGGTTGGGTAAGTTTTTTAGTGGTCAGGGTTTTTATTGGGACTGGTCATGCAGGCATTTTCTGCCTGGCATGTACCAAAAATCCAGACTTAATCATGGCGAAAGGTGAAAGGGAAGCAAGGCACCTCTTATGGTGGCAGGAGAGATTTTTTTTTCTAGAGCAGGAGTGGAAGTTTGTTTGTTTGTTTGTTTGTTTTTTGAGATGGAGTCTCGCTCTGTCGCCAGGCTGGGAGTGCAGTGGCGCGATCTTGGCTCACTGCAATCTCCGCCTCCCAGGTTCAAGTGATTCTCCTGCCTCAGCCTCCTGAGTAGCTGGGATTACAGGTGCATGCCACCACGCCTGGCCGATGTTTGTATTTTTAGTAGAGATGGGGTTTCACCATGTTGGCCAGGATGGTCTCGATCTTCTGACCTCGTGATCTGCCCGCCTCCGCCTTCCAAAGTCCTGGGATTACAGGTGTGAGCCACCGCACCCGGCCAGAAGTTTATTAAAAAGCTCTAGAAGAGTAGGAAAGAAATGAAAGTGCACTTGGGAGAGATCCAAGTGGGCAACTTGAAGAACATGTGTCCAATTTTGATGGTCTTTTCAAAACACCAACTTGTTATTTTGTTGATCTTTTGTATTTTTTTGTTTCAATTTCATTTATTTCTGCTCTGATTTTTATTATTTTCTTCTAACTTTGGGATTGGTTTGCTCCTGCTTTTCTAGTTCTTTAAGATGCATCATTGTTTATTTGAAGGTTTTGTTTTTGGTTTTTTTTTTTCATGTAGGCAGTTACAGCTATAAACTTCCCTCTGAGTACTGCTTTCCCCGTATCCCAAGGTTTTTGGTATGTTGTGTTTCCGTTATAATTTCTTTGAAGAAATTTTTCAATTTTCTTCTTCATCTGTCCATTGACCCACTGGTCATTCAGGAGTGTATTGGTTAATTTTCGTGTATTACATAGTTTCCAAAATTCCTCTTGTTATTGATTTCTGGTTTTATCCCATTGTGGTCAGAAAAGATATTTGATATGGTTTCAGTTTTTTGGAATGTTTTAAGACTTGTTTTGTGGCCTAACATATGGTCTGTCCTTGAGAATCATTCATTTGCTGAGGAGAAGAATGTTTAATCTACAGCCATTGGATGACATTTTCTATAAATATCTATTAGGTCCATGTGGTCTGTAGTGCGGATTAAGTCCAATGTGTCTTTGTTGGTTTTCTGCATTGATCTGTCCAATGGTGAAAGTGGGGGTGTTGAAGCCTCCACCTATTATTGTATGGGGTCTGCCTCTTTAGTGCTAAAAATATTTTATATATCTGAGTGCTCCATTGTTGGGTGCATATATATTTTCAATTTTTATATCCTCTTACTGAATTGACGCCTTTATCATTATATAGTGACTTTGTCTTATTTTACAGTTTTTGCTTGAAATCTATTTTATTTAATATAACTACTCCTGTTCTTTTTTGGTTTCCATTGGCAGTGAATATCTTTTTTCCATGTCTTTCAGTCTGTGTGTGTCTGTATAGTTAAAGTGTGCTTCTTGTAGGCAACAGATCTTTGGGGCTTCTTTTTTTTTTTTATCCATTCAGTCACTCTGTGTCTTATGATTGAAGCGTTTAGCCCATTTATATTCAGTGATATTATTGATAAGAACTTTTATTCCTGCCATTTTCTTACTTGTTTTCTGGTTGTTTTGTGGTCTTTCCTTCCTTCTGTCCTTTCTTCCTGTCTTCCTTGTAGTAAAGGTGATTTTCTCTGGTGGTATGTTTTAATTTCTTAATTTTTATTTTTTTGTGTATCTATTGTTATGTTTTTAGATTTGAGGTTACATGAGGCTTGCAAATAATATAACCCATTATTTTAAACTGATGACAACACTGATTACATAAACAAACCAACAAGCAAAAAGAAAACTAATAAAACTCTGCGTTTTAACTTTGTCTCCCCACTTTGTTGTACTGTCTTGAAAAATTGTTATTGTTTTTGATTGGTTCATTTTTTATCTTTCTGCTGGATATGAGTAGTTTACATACCACAATTACAGTGTTATAATATTATGTGTTTTTCTGTGTACTTACTATTACCAGTGAGTTTTGTACCTTCAGATGATTTCATATTGCTCATTAACGTCTTTTCTTTCTGATTGAAGAACTCCCTTTAGCATTTCTTGTAGGACAGGCCTGGTGTTTATAAAATCTCTCAGCTTTTGTTTGTCTGGGAAAGTCTTTATTTCTCCTTCCTGTTTGAAGGATAATTTTGCTGAATATACTATTCTAGGTTAAAAGTTATTTTCCTTCAGCACTTTATATCATGCCAGTCTCTCCTGTCCTGTAAAGTTTCTACTGAAAAGTCTGCTGCCAGATATATTGGGGGCTCCATTATATGTTACTGGTTTCTTTTTTCTTCTTGCTGCTTTTAGGATCCTTTCTTTTTCTTTTCTTTTTTTTCTTTTTGAGACGGAGTTTCATTCTTGTTTCCCAGGCTGGAGTGTGGAGTGCAATGGCATGTCGTTGGCTCACCGCAACCTCCTCCTCCCGGGTTCAAGCGATTCTCCTGCCTCAGCCTTCCCAAGTAGCTGGGATTATAGTCATGTGCCACCACGCCCAGCTAATTTTGTATTTTTAGTAGAGACGGGGTTTCTCCATGTTGGTCAGGCTGGTCTTGAATTCCCTACCTCAGGTGACCCACCCTCCTCGGCCTCCCAAAGTGCTGGAATTACAGGTGTGAGCCACAGTGCCTGGCCTAGGATCCTTTCTTATTCCTTGACTTTTGGAGTTTGATTATTAAATATGTTGAGGTAGTCTTCTTTGAGTTAAACCTGCTTGGTATTCTATAACCTTCTTTTCTTTTTTTTTTTCTTTTTTTTTTTTTTTTTGGAGACGGAGTCTTGTTTTTCTTGCCCAGGCTGGAGTGCAGTGGCACAGTCTTGGCTCACTGCAACCTCTGCCTCCTGGGTTCAAGTGATTCTCCTGCCTTAGCCTCCTGAGTAGCTGGGATTACCAGCGTGAGCCACCGTCCCCAGGTCCCAGTGTTCCATAACTTTCTTGTACTTGAATATTGGTACCTATTTCTGCATTTGGGAAGTTTCCCGTTATCCCTTTGAATTAACTTTCTTCTTTGCCTCTCTCTCTCTACCTCCTTTTTAAGGCCCAAAACACTTAGATTTGCCCTTTTGAGCCTGTCTTCTAGATCTTGTAGGCACGTCTCATTTCTTTATTTTTTTTCTTTTGTCTCCTCTGTTTTCAAATAGCCTGTCTTCAAGCTCATTAATTCTGCCTTCTGCTTTATCAATTCTGCTATTAAAAGGCTGATGCGGCTGGACACAGTGGCTCATGCCTGTAATCCCAGCACTTTGGGAGGCCGAGGTGGGTGGATCACTTGAGCTCAGGAGTTTGAGACCAGCCTGGGAGACATGGTGAAACCCCATCTCTACAGAATATAGAAAAATTAGCTTGACATGGTGGTTTGTGCCTGTGGTCCCAGCTTCTTGGGGGGGTCTGAGTGGAGAGGATGGCTTTAGCCTGGGAGGCGGAGGTTGCAGTGAGCCGAGATTGCACCACTGCACTCCAGCTTGGGTGACAGAGTGACAGAGCAAGACTCTGTTTCAAAAAAGGGAAAAAAGTGTGGGTATGGTGGCTGACACTAGTAATCCCAGCACTTTGGGAGGCCACGGTGGGTGGATCATTTAGGTCAGGAGTTCGAGACCAGCCTGACCAACATGGTGAAGCCTCGTCTCTACTAAAAATACAAAATTAGCTGGGCATGGTGGTTCATGCCTGTAATTCCAGCTACCTGGGAGGCTAAGGCAGAAGAATTGCTTGAACCCAGGAGGCAGAGGTTGCAGTGAGCTGAGATTGTGCCATTGCACTCCAGCCTGGGCAACAAGAGCAAAACTCCGTCTCCAAAAAACAAAGACTGATGCATTCTTGAGTATGTCACTTGCATCTTTCCACTCCAGAATTTCTGCTTAATTCTTTTTAATTCTTTCAAGTATTTGTTGAATTTACCTGATAGGATTCTGAATTCCTTCTCTGTGTTATCTTGAATTTCTTTGAGTTTTCTGAAAACAGCTATTTCGAATTCTCTGACTAAAAGGTCACATATCTTTCTCTGCAGGATTGACCCTTAGTGCCTAATTTAGTTCATTTGGTGAGGGTATGTTTTCCTGGATGGCCTTAATGCTTGTGAGTGTTCACTGCCATCTGTACATTGAAGAGTCAGGTATTTATTATAGTCTTCACAGTCTGGACTTGTTTGTACCATTCTTATTGGAAGGTATTCCAAGTATTCAAAGGGAATAGAGTGTTGCAATCTATGTCTTTGGTCACTGTAATCGTATCTGCATTAGGGGGTACCCCGAACCCAGTAATGCTGTAGTTCTTCTAGACTTATAGAGGTACCATCTTGGTGGTCTTGGATAAGGTCCAGAATTCTCTGTATTACCAGACTCTGTATTACCATTCTTTCTTCCCCTTTCTTCAGGCAGAGGAGTTGCTCCTGTGTCCATCAGCACCACAGGCCCATGAAGAGGGGATTATTGCCAGGGTACCACCAGTGTTCACTTAAGGCCCAGGGCTCCTCAGTCAGCTTATGCTGGATGCTGCCAGGCCTGGGACTCATCTTCAGGGTAGTGGGTTCCCCTCTGTTCCAGGGGTAGGTCCAGAAATGCCATCCAAGAGCCAAGGCCTGGATTCATGGACCCTAGTAGCCCACCTGGTGCTCTTCCCCAGGGCAACCAAGCTGGTCCCTAAGCTGCAAGACAGAATCTCCTTTACTCTTCCCTCTCATTTTCTCAAACAGGAGTCTCTGCTGGTAGCCACTACAGCTGTGAATGTGCTGTGTCATACCTGAAGCCAATATGTCTCGGAGTTTCACCTGAGGCCCATGGTGAGGCCCTGGTTACCACTGCTGATTATTCAGGGCCCAGGGGCTCTATAGTGAGCAAATCATGAATCCTAAATGGTCTACTTTAAGAAATTCTGTGGGTTTTTTTGTTTGTTAGAAGTAGAATCGCCTGTTCTGTTGCCCAGGCTGGAATGCAGTGGTGCAATCATAGCTCACTGCAGCCTCGAACTCCTGGGCTCAAGCAATCCTCCCACTTCAGCCTTCCAAGTAGATGGAACTACAGGCACATGCAACCATGCCCCGGTAACTTTTTTTTTTTTTTTTTCGAGACAGAGTCTCGCTCTGTCACCCAGGCTGGAGTGCAGTGGCACGATCTCGGCTCACTGCAAGCTCCGCCTCCTGGGTTCAAGCGATTCTTCTGCCTCAGCCTCCCAAGTAGCTGGGACTACAGGCGTGTGCCACCATGCCTGGCTAATTTCTGTATTTTTTTAATAGAGACGGGGTTTCACCATATTGTCCAGGCTGGTCTTGAACTCCTGACCTCGTGATCCACCTGCCTCGGCCTCCCAAAGTGCTGGGATTACAGGCATGAGCCGCCGCACCCAGCCAATGCCCCAGTAACTTTTTACATTTTTTGTAGAGACGGGGTCTTGCTATGTTGCCCAGACTGATCTTTAACTCCTGTACTCAAGCAATCCTCCTACCCAGGCCTCCCAAAATACTGGGATTGCAGGCATGAGCCACTTGTGTTTTTGTTTTTTTGTTTGTTTGAGACAGTCTCTCTCTGTTGCCTAGGCTGGAGTACAGCAGTGTGATCATGGCTCACTGTAGCCTGGGCTCAAGCAATCCTCCTGCTTCAGCCTCCTGAGTACTTGGGACTGTAGGCACGTGCCACCACTCCTGGCTAATTTTTAAAAATGTTGAGTAGACACAAGGTCTTGCTATGTTGCCCAGGCTGGTCTTAAACTCCTGGGATCAAGCGATCCTCCCACCTTGGCCTGTCAAAGTGTTGGAATTTACAAGTGTGAGCCACTACACCCCGCCAGTCTTTTCTTGATTACTGACAGTTTTCTAAAAAGCAGTGAGAGAATGTTCTTTACCCAGGTAATT
The DNA here is from genome assembly GCF_000001405.40 of Homo sapiens. Classification (NCBI taxonomy): domain Eukaryota; kingdom Metazoa; phylum Chordata; class Mammalia; order Primates; family Hominidae; genus Homo; species Homo sapiens. Next base: position 35,080 of record NW_003315917.2, read on the forward strand.
TATTTTGTGTAAGACTAAACCTGTTAATGTAATTTGTTATGTTTATTCAGAGTAACAACATTTTAACCATCACAATTTGTAATTTTGCTTTTTGAAAAATGTGGTGTCTAAGAGCATATTATTGGGCTTATTACCAACTCTACAGCATGTTATTTTCTGTATCTTTCCTCCCAAGTAGCCTAATTTGAAGTTACGTATTTATTTTTAATCAGGGTACCCTTAGTTATTTGGTCCACATTGAACCTTGAAAAGGTAAAATAGATTTTTCTTAATTTTATTATTTGAATGTGTAGTTCAGAAACTTAAGGGACAAGGGTAGGTATTTGATTCTCTCTTATATTGTTAATTTTATCTTTCTGATCATGATTCCTACTCTCTTTTTGCCTAGTAGGTACATATTGGTTGCTAATTGTTTTTTTTTCTGTGGCGAAGTATTTGAAGTATTTACACATTATTCATTGATTCTAAATAATTTAACACATTTTTAATATATTTGGGTTTTTTTCCGTTTCTACCAGATCAAACTTGGACATAGATCAGAAGCTAAAGATGGTAAGTATTTCATGTAATCTGACAGATAGGAAAAGTTTTCTCCTTTTTTTTTTTTTTTTTTTTTTTTTTTTTTTAAAAAGACAGGGTCTTGCTCTGTCACCCAGGCTGGAGTACTGAGACACAATCGTAGCTCACTGCAGCCTCAAACTTAGGTACTCAAGCAGTTCTCCCACCTCAGCCTCTTGAGTAGCTAGGGCTGTAAACATGTGCCACCACTTGTGGTTAATGTTTTATTTTTTGTAGAGATGAGGTCTGGCTGTGTTGCTCAGGCTTCTCTCAAACTCCTGGCCTCAAGCTATCCTCCCACCTCGGCCTCCCAAAGTGCTGGGATTACAGGCTTGAGCCACCATGCCCAGCATAAAGTTTTCATTCTCACTGAAGAAACGAGCAAAGTATGAATTAATAAGTTAGTAATGGTTCTGGATAGAGTTACTGCAGGGTCCCCGAAGAGTAAAGATAGACTCAGCATAGAGAAGGAGTATTTGGTGATTTTTACTTACTGGATATTCAGAGAAACATTCCAAATCACCCACATAAATGGAAGGCAGCAAGCTTAATTAGTTTGTCTTTCTGTCTTCATTACTGTTTTAGGTGTTACAAGCCATTGTTTTTTCTGTTTCTGAGTTTCTAATTACTTTGAAAATTCAGGATACATTTTCATGAAAGTACATAAAGCTTACTATGGAATAGATACATGAGGAAATTATTTCATTAAACTTTCTTCCAAAGTCTTATTTATTAGGATTCATCATAAAATAGCTCTTACAAAAGAGACCCATTGTCTGTGTAAGTGCCAATACTATATCTTATTTTTATTTTGTTTATTTTTTTTGAGACAGAGTCATGCTCTGTTGCCCAGGCTGGAGTGCAGTATCGCAATCTCGGCTCACTGCAACCTCTACCTCCCGGGTTCAAGCGATTCTCCTGCCTCAGCTTCCTGAGTAGCTAGGATTACAGGTGCACACCACCATGCCCAGCCAATTTTTTGTATTTTTAGTAGAGATGGGGTTTTGCCACCTTGGCCAGGCTGGTCTCGATCTCCTGGCCTCAAGTGATCTGCCCACCTAGGCCTCCCAAAGTGCTGGGATTACGAGCCACCGCGCCCGGCCTGTATCTAATTTTTAATTTTGAAATCTGTCATTTGTATTGGAAAATATACTATCTTATCACTAGTTTGCTTTTAGCACAAACAATATGCCACTAATATTTGTAGGGCAAGAGTAGGGAAGCTTATCACCTATATGCTGCACACTTATATATGTTGTTAGTCTAGTAGTGGTGTTCAGATCCTGGTATAGATAAGGTGAAATATTTTTCACCATTTGTCGTAGTCTTTGTTAAGCTATTTTAAAAGTAAAGCAATATTGGCCTGGTGCCATGGCTTACGCCTGTAATCCCAGCACTTTGGGAGGGTGAGGTGGGTAGATCGCCTGAGCTCAGGAGTTCGAAACCAGCCTGGCCAATATGGCAAAACCCCATCTCTAACGAAAATACAAAAAATTAGCCAGGCGTGGAGGTGCACACCTGTGGTCCCAGCTACTCGGGAGGCTGAGGTGGGAAAATTACTTGAGTCTGGGAGGTGGAGGCTGCTGTGAGCCGAGATCATGCCACTGCACTCCAACCTGGCTGACAGGGTGAAACCCCATCTCAAAAAAAATAAATAAATAAAAATAAAGCAATGTAAAAGAACAACAGATTTGACATAAAAATTGTCAAAGTAGCCCTTATTTTTGTGGGTAATGTTCACTATTTTCTGAGATTACTAACCTTTCTTTAAAAATATGTGTTTGTGGCTGGGTGTGGTGGCTCACGCCTGTAATCCCAGCACTTCAGGAGGCCAAAGCGGGTGGATCACGAGGTCAGGAGTTGGAGACCAGCCTGATGAACATGGTGAAACCCCGTCTTTACTAAAAATACAAAAATTAGCCGGGCGTGGTGGCGCGTGCCTGTAATCCCTGCTACTCTGGAGGCTGAGGCAGGAGAATTGCTTGAACCCGGGAAGCAGAGGTTGCAGTGAGCCGAGATCACGCCACTACACTCTAGCCTGGGCGACAGAGCGAGACTCCATCTCAAAAAAAAAAAAAAAAAAAGAAGTGTTTGTAAGGTTTGAGATTTCAGAATTATTCACTTTTTGCTTTGCCTTTTTATATAGGTATAAATAGAACCGCCTTAAGAGAGATAAAATTATTACAGGAGCTAAGTCATCCAAATATAATTGGTGTGAGTATGATCAAAACTGTTACTGGGATTTGGGACTCTGCCTTTTCTTAATATAATGGATGTTGATTAAAGGCTCAGCAAGATGACTTGTTCTGGATGAGCCTTGTAGAAGCTTAAAGGAAATACATTTTCTATCCCAGTTGTTTTGGTAGGCATTGTCTTCAAAACTATACCACTGATTAAATAAATGAAATATTGACATGTAGGCTAATTTTGTCGGAAATAATTTTGAAGTCTAGGGAGCTCTAGCATGTAGTGGCTGAGAGTGTCAACCTGAATTCAAAACCTTTCTTTCTGCCTGTGTGAGACCTTGAGTGTGTTCACTCACAACTCCCCAGAGTCCCTGCCTCATAGGGAAGTTGTGAGACTAGCCAATTGAATAGATGTAAAGTATCTGGAATAGTGCCTACCATAGAAAATGTATTCATTCATTCAATGATAGCTGCTGTTATTTAGAGGATTTCTTAAGAATCACATTTGGGACTTTTCTTTTGAATTGGAGACTGGAATGAGGTTTTCATTGGTTAATTTCTTAATTCTAACTCCAAATATTTGGGGAAAGAGGTTGGGTATTTTTTTAAGTAAAATTTAATATTTTTATGCTTCAAAATACTAATTCCTTTAGTACTGTCCAAAAAAGGACAAATGTCAAATTTAATCAAATGATTTAAGCTTTATAGGGAATTACCAACAGTTTAAATGCTTTTTAAATTTTTAAAAATTGCCTCAGTTGCTATGATACTGTCAGGTATTAAATAGTGAATCACATTTTAATTTTTTAACTTTGCAGCTCCTTGATGCTTTTGGACATAAATCTAATATTAGCCTTGTCTTTGATTTTATGGAAACTGATCTAGAGGTAAGATTAAGATTCCTGGAGAAATTCCTTTGTCCCAGTTTATCAAACAAGAACCTAAATATTTGTTTTCTACCCAAGAAGATACTGGTAGTAAAAGAAAAAAAGCTTAATTTTGTTGAAATTTGGATGTACTCTGAGGCAAAAGGATCTCTAGTTATTTTCTTCTAATCATTTAGTGATATCCCCAGTGTTACATACAAAGATTTGGATTTCATTGGCATTTCTGCCTTCTAAGTTCCCATAGCTAGTTGACGTCATTTTTGGAGAAATGAGCATTAGACCTATAAGATTTGTTTGCTTTTTTTTTTTTTTGTGATGGAGTCTCAGTCTGTTCACCCAGCCTGGAGTGCAATGGCGTGATCTCGGCTCTCTGCAGCCATCACCTCCTGGGTTCCAGTGATTCTCTCACTTCAGCCTCCCAAGTAGCTGGGATTACAGGTGCCACCACGCCCGGCTAAATTTTATATTTTAAGTAGAGACGGGGTGTCACCATGTTGGCCAGGCTGGTCTTGAACTCCTGACCTCAAGTGATCTGCCTGCCTCAGCCTCCCAAAGTGCTAGGATTACAGGCATGAGTCACCATGCCTAGCAACCTATAAGAATTTAAAATTTATTTCTGGCCAGTGCAGTGACTCACGCCTGTAATCTCAGCACTTTGAGAGGCCAAGGCAAGAGGATTGCTTAAGCCCAGGAGTTCAAGACCAGCCTGGACCCCATAGATCCTGTCTCAGCTTTACAAATTATATTAAAAAATAAAGAAACTTATTTCCATATAATCAGAGTAATGTCATTCTTTTGAAAGCCAAGTTTTTTTGTTTGTTTTTGTTTTTGTTTTGTTTTTTTGAGACAGAGTCTTGCTTTGTTACCCGTGCTGGAGTACAGTGGCGCGATCTCAACTCACTGCAACCTCTGCCTCCCAGGTTCAAGCAATTCTTGTGCCTCAGCCTCCTGAGTAGCTGGGATTACAAGCGCCCATCACCATGCCCAGCTAAAATAGAGATGGGGTTTCACTATGTTGGACGGGATGGTTTCAAACTCTTGACCTCTGGCGATCTACCTGCCTGAGCCTCCCAAAGTGCTGGGATTATAAGCGTGAGCCACCATGCCCGGCCTCTTTCTTTTAGATAAATACCTAGCAGTGGTATTGCTAGATCACAAGATTATTGATTAGTGGTATCGATCACAATATTAGTGATGCTGTTATAGATCACAATACTAATGGTATTGATCCTGGAAGGACCTATCATAATAGGCTATGGACTCACCACTAGGCTATGGATTGCACCATTGCACTCCATCCTGGGTGACAGAGTGAGATTCCCATCTCGAAAAAAGAAAAAAAAAAGAAACAAAAACGTATGCCAGAATTCAGTTGGTACAGATGTTTGGCTTTATTAATAATTATCAAAACTGGAACAATCCAAACATCCCTCATTCTAACTGTACAAACAAACTGAAATACTACTCAGGAATAGAAACACACTATTGATAAATGCAGCAACATAGATGAATCTGAAATGCATTATACTAAGTGAAAGAAGCCAGGCTAAAAAGACTATGTATTGAACCATTTCATTTATATGATATTCTGGAAAAGGCAAAATGAAAGGAACCAGAAACCAGATCAGCGGTTATGGGGGCTTTGGGGTAAAGGAAAGGAGTAAGTACAGAGGGGCCTCAGGGAATTTGGGGAGGTTACGGAACTATGCTTTGATTATAGTGGTGGTTACATGACTGGATGCATTTGTCAAAACTCATGGAACTATACACTAAAAAGGGTATGCTTTACCTTAAATCTGATTTTAAAAAAAGAAAAGGGGAACTTTTAGTTCCTAACTGATAAATCTAGAATAAACTGACATTAGGCACAGCTCATAAATAATGCCATCAAAACTCAGTCTTACGCTTTAACTAAGCTCCATTTTCTTCTCTGTTGCATTCTTCATGTGTACAGTTCTCAATATGGTGTTCCAGATGCTTCTAGGTATATGTTTGTAGAGTTTAATAATACCTGAGGAACAAAAGTGCTTTCTTTTCTTTGATTCTAGCACAAGTACTTGGCCTGGTTGATTGACTTGTCTTGTATCCCTGAACCAATCACTTGGCCAGGAGACTGCAGTGTGATAATGGGGATGCCTGGGTCATGTGCCTACCTCTGGAGGCCTTAGGTTGACTCAGTCCTACCTTAACCATGTGGACTAAGCTGAGAAGAGATGGCTTCCCAAAGGAACACTAACTGCTATTGTCAGAAGATGCAAGCAGAAACAACAGGTGTTTGCTACTTTCATGCGAAAGCAGTAGAGGACAAAGCACTGCTTTCTTTTCAAACCAGAAATGCTCTCCCTACCCATCTAACTCTGGAGATTTTGACAGGGCTTCCTGAGGAAACTTAGATAACCTCTTTTGAGAGTCTCCTGTATTGATACTTACATTTTAAGTCTGTAAATTGTTTTATGTGGTAGAGTTTATTTGAAATAATAAAGGGTACCTGTATATTGTATACTTGCTTTACAGGTTATAATAAAGGATAATAGTCTTGTGCTGACACCATCACACATCAAAGCCTACATGTTGATGACTCTTCAAGGATTAGAATATTTACATCAACATTGGATCCTACATAGGGTAAGGTTTTTAATATTGCTTCTTTATACTAGTCAAGTTTTATATAGCCAATTTGGTACATAGTGGTCTGAATATGTAAATTGTTTAACAATGAATTTATAGCTGACTGTTTTATCCCATCTTTTTGCTATATATTATTCCCTTCACTTGTTCCAGCAGTTGGTGCTGTAAGGACTCCATATTACTTTGTGAAATTTAGAACTGGAAGAGATCCAGTCCCTCATTTTTTTTTTTTTTTTTTTTTGAGATGGAATCTTGCTCTGTCACCCAGGCTGGAGTGCAGTGGCGCGATCTCTTGCTCACTGCAAGCTCCGTCTCCTGGTTTCATGCCATTCTCCTGCCTCAGCCTCCCGAGTAGCTGGGACCACAGGTGCCCGCCACCACGCCCAGCTAATTTTTTGTATTTTTTTAGTAGAGACGGGGTTTCACCGTGTTAGCCAGAATGGTCTCGATCTCCTGGCCTCGTGATCTGCCCATCTTGGCCTCCCAAAGTGCTGGGATTACAGGCGTGAGCCATTGCGCCCGGCCTCCTCATTTTTTAATAGATGAAGAGCTAAGTTGCTAAGTGACCTGACCATGGTTATATTTTTTTTCAAGGTTGGCTGCTGATAATGGACAGAGTATTAAAACATAGGTTTTGACCCAGGCATGGTGGCTCACTTTTGTGTTGCCAGCACTTTGGGAGGCTGAGGCAAGTAGATATCTCGAGCCCAGGAGTTCTAGACCAGCCTGGGCAATATAGTGAAAACTCATCTCTACAAAAAATACAGAAATTAGCTGGGTGCAGTGGTGCACACCTGTAGTCCCAGCTGCTCAGGAGGCTGAGGTTGGGGGATCACCTGAGCCCAGGAGGTGGGGGTTGCAGTGAGCTGAGACCTCACCACTGCACTCTAGTCTGGGTGACAGAGTGAAACCCTGTCTCAAAAAAAAAAAAAAGAACATAGGTCTTTTGGCTTTAAGTTCAGTATTCTTTGTGCTACAATGTTGTTGTGGGGAAAAAAATATAGAGATGGTCTTGGATTAACTCATACAATGCCAAAATACTAGAAAAGTAATGTTTCTTGTAGCTCTAAAATTCAAGGTACAAAATACAGTTTATGAAATAGTGGGAACATTCAGCTTTTAGAACAAAGCTGATAATTTAGCTAGGTAGATGCTAGCTACCTAGCTATTTAGATAAGTAGCTAAGAATATATAATTTATAACTAGTAATTCTCATATCGTAAGTTTGGAATCCCTCTTAGGTTATTGCTGATGTCTTTTTAGCATGGATTTTGAAGAATGTCATCCTCATTCTTATACATTAACAACGTATATTATGAAAGTTCATATTTATTATTAATAGTAGGAACCATTTATTGAGTGCCTACTATGAGCCAGTTACTACACTAGACTACAGAAAATATCAGATTTAATCCTCACAGAAACTCTATGAAGTATGTAAATTATGGCTTAGTGAAATTAAGTTCCTTACCAAGGTTATATATTATAACCAATCCAATTTTGCTTTGATGGGATTTTATATCAGTGGGAAAAAAATTGATTGTTTAGATTTCAGGTGTTACCTTGTTTTTGCTAAGTTTAAAGTTATGCCAACTAAATGTAGCACTACAGTGTTCTCCCCTACCCTGCTTATTTGTTTGTTTAAAACTTCCGTCATATAGGATCTGAAACCAAACAACTTGTTGCTAGATGAAAATGGAGTTCTAAAACTGGCAGATTTTGGCCTGGCCAAATCTTTTGGGAGCCCCAATAGAGCTTATACACATCAGGTTGTAACCAGGTAAGAATCTCTTAAAGCTACATGTGCAGGAGTTTGATCAGAAATGAGCATCAACTGGCTTCTCTGAACTATCTTGGCAGAGTTAAGGAATCATTGTTGATAGATACCGTCTTAAAAAATACTGCCATTTGGCCAGGCGCGGTGACTCATGCCTGTAATCCCAGCACTTTGGGAGGCCAAGGCAGGCAGACCCACGAGGTCAGGAGTTTGAGACCAGCCTGGCCAACATGGTGAAACCCCGTCTCTACTAAAAATACAAAAGAATTAGCTGGGCATGGTGGCGCACGCCTGTAATCCTAGCTACTCAGGAGGCTGAGGCAGGAGAATTGCTTGAACCAGAGAGGCAGAAGTTGCAGTGAGCAGAGATTGCACCACCGCACTCCAGCCTGGGCGACAGAGAAAGACTCCCTCTCAGGGAAAAACAAAAAACAAACAAAAAAAAAACCTGTCATTTTTATGTTAGGTATACTTTACCACGATGAAAAAATACATAGCCCCTTTTCAAACAGAGTCTAACTTAATCCTAAGACATTTACCTTGTAAATGGGAACAATTTATACTTTAACATTTTAGTTAGATAATCTAGAATTTCAGTGGATATTCTTCTACCTAATCATCTGATTTATTGGACCCATTTTTATTATGTTGGTCAGTGCTGATTCTGTATCCTTCTATGTAAATGAAAATTCTCTAAACAGAGCAATGTCTTGATATTTGAATTTTTCATATTGGTAATTATATTTTCCATTTGTATTTTTGATGTGAAAAAACAGAAAATCACATTAAATAGGAATGATAGATTTTATAATTTTTGTCCCAGTGGCATTTTGTTAATTTCCAAGACCGTTTTAAGGATCTGCAAAGATTTTCAAATTCTGTATTTTTTCTTTTTCTTTTTTGAGACAGGATCTCGCTCTGTTGCCCAGGCTGAAGTGCGGTTGTGCAAACAGTACTCACTGCTGCCTTGACCTCTTGGGTTCAAGCAATCGTGCTACCTCAGCCTTCCAAGTATCTGGGGCCACAGGCACGCCCCACCATGGCTGGCTAATTTTTTAAAGTTTTTATAGAGATGGGTTTCGCCATGTTGCCCAGGCTGGTCTCAAAGTCCTGCACTCAAGCGATCCTCCCACCTCAGCCTCCAATAGTTTTGGGATTACAGGTGTGAGCCATTGTGCCTGGCCCCAAAGTCTCTATTTTAAATTATTTTGCCACCTTCTTCCAAATAGATGTCACTGAGTATAAATCACCTAAGCCCTGAGTAAGAAGTAGGGGATGTGAGTAATTGTTTATGTAATTGCTAGAGCAGTTAAGCTCAACATTCAGGAACTCATAGAAACAGGGACCTGTGTACAAGAGCATTGTTAACAGAGCTTTCTCATCTACCAGTTTCTCATATTTTCTCTGTCTGTAAATCAAATGCTGCTGGTAAATCAAATTAAGATGAAGACTCTGGGAATTGACAATGGGATTTAGCAGTGTGGACATGACTGATAAGCTTGATAAGAGCAGTTTTGATGGAATGGTAAGGATGAAAGCCTGATTGAAAAGGTTCTCTGTGTGTGTGTGTGTGTGTGTGTGTGTGTGTGTATGTGTGTGTGGTGTTTTGTTTTGAGACGGAATCTGGCACTGTCGCCCAGGCTGGAGTGCAATGGCGCGATCTCTGCTCACTGCAACCTCTGCCTCCCGGGTTCAAGCAATTCTCCTGCCTCAGCCTCCCAAGTAGCTGGGATTACAGGCGCCCACCACCATGCCTGGTTAATTTTTTGTATTTTTAGTAGAGACGGGTTTCACTATGTTGGCCAGGCTGGTCTCAAACTCCTGACCTCGTGATCCGCCCGCCTCGGCCTCCCAAAGTGCTGGGATTACAGGCGTGAGCCACCACACCCGGCCTGAAAAGGTTTTAAGAGAGGATGGAAGAAAAGGAATTGGAGACAGTAAGAATAGACAATTCTTTGAACTGGGCAGAGAATGAGGAGGCACCTATTAGGGGAGGTAGGGTCCAGAGAAGTTTAAGACTGGAAAAATACTGGTATGTTTGTACATTGTTGGGAAAAGTCTAGTAGAAAACAAAAGACTGCTGTAGGAGAAAAAGGAGAGAACTGCAAGAGTATTATATTTAAAACTTCATGAAAGAGTATGGTATCTAGTCCTTAAAGTAAGGGATTGCCTTTAAAAACAGAAAACAGACAAGGATCGTTCATCCCTAGAGATAGAAGTGCTTTGATAATTTCATGCTAAAATGATACTAATTCTTTTTGTTCTTTAGGTGGTATCGGGCCCCCGAGTTACTATTTGGAGCTAGGATGTATGGTGTAGGTGTGGACATGTGGGCTGTTGGCTGTATATTAGCAGAGTTACTTCTAAGGGTAAGTCTAAATTAATGTACGCACTTTAATATTGTTGTTGCAGTTATTTGTTCTGACAGTTTGTATAAGAATTCTTGTCCTAGGCCAGGCATGGTGGCTCACGCCTGTAATCCCAGCACTTTGGGAGGCCGAGGCAGGTGGATCACTTGAGGTCAGGAGTTCGAAGCCAGCCTGGCCAACATGGTGAAACCCCATCTCTACTAAAAATAGAAAAATTAGCTGGGCATGGTGGCGGGTGCCTGTAGTCCCAGCTACTCGGGAGGCTGAGACAGGAGAATCGCTTGAACCTGGGAGGCAGAGGTTGCAATGAGCCAAGATTGTGCCACTGCACTCCAGCCTGGGCAACAGAGCAAGGCTCCATCTCAAAAAAAAAAAAAAAGAAAAAGAAAAAGAAAAGAATTCTTGTCCTGCCAATGTCTTTACAACAAAAAGCCTACAAATAGTCCAATTTTTAAAAAGCCAAATGTAGCATTTTTTAATGTTAATATGAAATGAGAATATCTTCCATTTAGGACAATAAGAACTTTACTGTAGAAGTTTTATACTTCAGAACATAGAAATTCACTTGTAATATGGCAGTATCTCTATAACAACTAAATATGTTCAGATAAACTTTTGTCCTCCTGAGGGTTTTTTTGTTTGGGTCTGTTTTAAGTGCGCTTTAGGAAATGTATAATACCAACCACTGCAGCTACTACTCTGTATAACTTAAGCCTTGTGTGAGACCATTATTTTAGTTCTGTTGAAACAGAACAGATACAATGTTACTATAGCATTTCTGTGACTGAGACCATCATCTTACAGTAAAAAAAATCCCCTGCTTCCCCTCACCAGAGAGAAAGATGCTGACTTGGAAACTTCTCTTTAGCTATGAAGTTTAGATCTCCAGAAAGACTAGCCCTTACGAATGATGAAGGTAAAGGGATACAGGGGAATCCTTCTGAAGCTAGTTTTTTTCTCTCCATATTCTGACCCCTGCTCTCCCTCTCCTTAAGCCATATGTATTTAAAGAAATTCAAACCAAGATTGAATAGCTTTTTTATCTCCTTGAACACAGAAAACAACTTCTGTACACCAAAGAGAAAAACACTAAACTAAAAATGTTTAGTTTAAGCATAGTGGTGGCTCACGCCTATAGTCCCAGCTACTTGGGAAGCTGAGGTGGGAGGATCACTTGTACTCAGGAGTTTGAGGCAAGCCTGGACAATATAGCAAGACCCCAATCTCTTAAAATAAAAAAAAGTAAATTCTGTGCATCATTTTGAGAAACTTACCCAATGGGCATTTGTAGAAGAAACCCACACATTCAAACTTGGAAGGTAATATGGGAATCACAGTGCTAACAGAGGGTCCTGTGAATCAGCTGGCATGATAACTGCTACTTACCTGAACATAGAGTATACCAGAAATTCACACTGAGAATTTATCAACCACCACAATCCATTCATGGCCAAGAAGAAAACAGAATTCCATAGCCCCTAATGTTATGACTGATCACTCCATTGAGAAAGCAAATGAAGAGAGACAGCAGTTGAGAGTAGACAGGTTAGAGATTGTGGACCTGTTAACAATCATACTTGGAAATTTATTAGCCATTGGCATTGTTGCTGGAATCATCTTTAAAGTTATAAGGAAAATGACATGCAGACTAAAGAATTGTACTCTTCTGCCATACCTTTTGTCCTATTTTAAGCTGTTCTTGTGCTCAATTGAAAAGGTAGAAATGTTGCCCATATGAATGCTTAGCCAGGGATCACCAGATAGTTATTAAGGATCTTCAGATAGTAATGAATACTTCCAAAATGAAAGGCAGACTGAAACAAACTAAAAAGAAACTTGGAAAAAATGGAAACAACCAAAGCAGAAGAAAATTCACCGCCCCCAGCCCCCTTTCCAAATATTCAGAGATCTAAGAGATTATAGTGCATCTATAGAATAAGCACACCATACTTTTTTAAAAGGGGAACAATAAAATAAGAGACACTTGAACTATTAAAAATAGAAGATAGCCAAAAGCAAACAAAAACAGTGAAAGGAATGGGAAAGTAAGCTGCAAAACTCTTTCATTAACTAAAATCAAAAGATGAAGAGATGGCTAGGCACAGTGGTACATACCTGTGGTCCCAGCTACGTGCGAGGCTGAGGCAGGAGAATCTCTTGAGCCCAGCAGTTCAAGACCAGCCTGGATAACATTGTGAAACCCTGTCTCAATAAAAAGATAGATGGACTATAGTAGAGAAAAGATAAAATTAACAGATTGATCCAGGATTCTAGAATGTACCAACAGAAAACAAGGAAAATGGAGGGTAGGAAATCTCAAAATAGTGAAGCACTGCTAGATGTGAATCGTCAGACTAAAAGTGCCATGAAGAGTACAATTATGAGGCCGGGCGCAGTAGCTCATGCCTGTAATCCCAGCACTTTGGGAGGCCGAGGTGGGTGGATCACCCAAGGTTGGGAGTTTGAGACCAGCCTGGCCAATATGGAGAAACACTATCTCTACTAAAAATGCAAAATTAGTTGGGTTTGGTGGCACATGCCTGTAATCCCAGCTACTCAGGAGGCTGAGGCAGGAGAATCGCTTGAACCCGGGATGTGGAGGTTGCAGTGAGCTGGAGATCACACCATTGCACTCCAGCCTGGGCAACAAATGTGAAATTCCGTCTAAAAAAAAAAAGGCCAGCCACGGTGGCTCACGCCTGCAATCCCAGCACTTTGGGAGGCTGAGGCAGGCAGATCACGAGGTGAGGAGATAGAGACCATCCTGGCTAACACAGTGAAACCCCGTCTCTGTTGAAAATACAAAAAAAATTAGCTAGGCGTGGTGGCGGGCACCTGTAGTTCCAGCTACTCGGGAGACTGAGGCAGGAGAATGGCATGAACCTGGGAGGTAGAGCTTGCAGTGAGCCAAGATCGCACCACTGCACTCCAGCCTGGGTGACAGAGCGAGACTCCGTCTCAAAAAATAAAAAAAAAAAATGAGTACAATTATGAAAATTACAAAGAAAACTTTCAAAAAAAAATTCTAAAGGCTCTGCATGAAAAAAAAAAACCTGTGCCAAGACACACTGTTGTGAAATTTCAGAATACGAAGGGGTAAGAAAAATATTTTATTTGCACAGAGAAGAAAAGCAGCATACATAGAAAAGAAAATAAAGTATTAGGGAAAAAGAATGGCATGAGCCTTCTCAACAGCAGCACTGGAATCTGGAAGTGTTCACATTGTGAGGGAAAATGATGCTCAACCTAGAATTCTTTGCCTGTTCATATTTTCAGTTTGCTCTGAGGGTAACTACAATTTATTACATCAGAAATTTACATCTAGGCCAGGCAGGGCAGCTCACTCCTATAATCCCAGCACTTTGGGAGGCCAAGGCGGGTGGATCACTTGAGCTCAGGAGTTTGAGACCCACTTGGGCAATGTGGTGAAACCCTGTCTCTACCAAAAATACAAAAATTAGCCGGGCATGGTATTGAGTGCGTGTTTTCCCAGCTACTCAGGAGGCTGAGTTGGCAGGATCACTGGAACCTGGGAATTTGAGGCTGCAAGGAGGTGATATCGTGCCACATCACTCCAGCCTGGGTGACAGAGCAAGACACTATCTAAAAAAAAAAAGAAAAAAAGAAATCAAGAAATTAGCCAGACTTGGTAGTGCATGCCTGTAGTCCCAGCTGCTTGGGAGGCTGAAGTGGGAGGATTGCTTGAGCCTGGTTGTCAAGGCTGCAGTGAGCCACGTTTGTGCCACTGCATTCCAGCCTGGGTAACAGGCTGGGGTTCATCTTTAATTGGGCTCTGCAGGCGCTGCCGCACTCTCCACCTGGTGTGTATAGGGCATTTGGGGCCTTTAGAGGGCGCACTTGCGGTCAGCAGGCTGAAGAGGCTGCGGCGGCGAAGGCTGGGGAGCTGAGCTGAGCTGGTGCAGAGACAGCACAGGAGAAAAACAGAACCGAAAAATTCACACCGAATTAGAGGAGACAGACCTTGTCTCAAAAAAAAAGTTTAGGGCTGGGTGCGGTGGCTTATGCCTGTAATCCCAGCACTTTGGGAGGCCAAGGCAGGTGGATCACCTGAGGTCAGGAGTTCAAGACCAGCCTGGCCAACATGGTGAGACCCGGTCTCTACTAAAAATACAAAAATTAGCTGGGCATGGTGGTGGGCGCCTGTAATCCCAGCTACTCGGGAAGGTGAGGTGCTTAAACCCACAAGGCAGAGGTTGCAGAGAGTAAACCAACGGGAAGACATGAGATGCAGGGAACATAAGATTCAACACAGGAAAAAGGCAGTTCAAATTCTCATTTAATAGTGAAGGAAAGTTCTGGGAAAGCAGGTATGCATCAGGCCTGGAGAGTAGCTAGTCCAGATTGGAGCAGGTGGGGTGAGGACTTCAGCAGGGGTGGCTTCCAGGAAAAAAAAAAAAGGAACCGATGGATATGATTGGTTTAGTCATATAGAAATCGATATTTAATAACTGGAATATTTAGCTTTTATATAAACCAAGTTGTCAAAGAGCAGGCATTAGGAGTTGGTGGCGGAGGGCTAGGAAATCATTACCTTTAGGAAAACCAAATTGTATAAGAAGGGGAATTAATCTTAATTTTGGCTCTGCACTGAGCAAAAGTTACGTAATTATCAAAAATGAGAGGGAGATGATGGGTCAAAGAACCAATTTTTATTATAAGTCTTTAGTACTATTTAGTGTTTTAACAAGGTTCATGTATTTAATACAAATAAGACATTTTAAACACACAGCTTAAGTCCCAAAGCAGCTCTTTCTTTAGGGAAAAATAGTTTTCTTAGTATGGATATTTTCAAACATGCAAAAGCAAAGACTAGTAAAATGAGCCTCTATCTATACTCATCAACCAGTTTCAATAGTTTCAACATATGATTCATTTTATCAGTACTCTCCCACACTAGATATTTTTGCCACAAATCCCAAACATGTAATTTTATCCATGTTTCTTTAGTATTTTTCTCTATAAGGATTCCTTTTTTTTTTTTTTTTTTTGAGACAGAGTCTTTGTCGCCCAGGCTGGAGTGCGGTGGCGTGATCTCAGCTCATTGCAACCTCTGCCTCCCAGGCTGAAGTGATTCTCGTGCCTCAGCCTCCCAAGTAGCTGGGATTACAGCCGTGCACCATGACACCCGCCTAGTTTTTGTATTTTTTAGTAAAAATGGTTTTGTGATGTTGACCAGCTGGTCTCAAACTCCTAGCCTCAATTGATCCACTCGCCTCACCCTCCTAAAGTGCTGGGATTACAGGAGTGAGCCACCACACCTGGCCATCTATAAGGATTCTTTAATCATAACCACAATACCATTGTCATCTGAAAAAAGTGAACATTAATTCCTTAATAAAATCAAGTCTATTCAGATTTTCCTACTTTTTCTCATAAATGTCTTTTTACATAGGCTTGTTCAAATTGGAGTGTGAAATCCATACATCAGACAGCTTAGTTTCATTTTTACATCATACAAAAGCACACCAATTCTTAAAATTTGTTTAAATTACAACCTTGTCCACAATTTGGCCTGCAAAGTGAGGGTACAGGTGCCCTACAAAAAACAAAAGATAATCCTTTTGGGTTTAAGAAGAAAATTAGCATGTCTAAAAATAGTTGTAATATTATTTAATATCCTTTTAGTTTTTTTGTTTTTTGTTTTTAAGATGGATTCTTGTTCTGTCGCCCAAGCTGGAGTGCAGTGGCTCCATCTCTGCTCACTGCAGCCTCCATCTCCCAGTTCAAGTGATTCTCCTGCCTCAGCCTCCTGAGGAGCTGGGACTACAGGCATGCACCACCACGCCTGGCTGATTTTTCTATGTTTGGTAGAGAGACAGGGTTTCAGCATGTTGGCCAGACTGGTCTTGAACTCCTGACCCATCTAGAGTAAGTTAGGTGCTCTTTCCATGTGGTCTAGGATCTCGTACTTACTCAACACACCGAATTGTAAATGCTTGTTTATGTGTATCAGCACTGCTTACCACCTCCACCTAAGGGGAGGGCAGGGAATGTCTCGTTTTCCTCTTTTAATTCCTGAGGCTTAGCACAAGGCCTGTTATATGGGAAGTGTTTATTAAAATTTGGAGTGAATAAAATGGATAGTAAAGGTGCTGTTTTGTTGGTTAGCAGTGGTAGGATCTAATAACGTACCCAATACACTTTGTACTAAATTTTCAATATTCGTTGCAGAGTTTTTAAGTTTTTCTTATTAAATTTATAGTATTTGTCTAACAGGTATCAAAAACCACTTTGAAGGCCAGGCATGGTGGCTGACGCCTGTAATCCCAGCACTTTGGGAGGCCGAGGCGGGCAAATCACAATGTCAGGAGATCGAGACCATTCTGGCTAACACGGTGAAACCCCATCTCTACTAAAAATACAAAAAAATTAGCCAGGCGTGGTGGCGGGCGCCTGTAGTCCCAGCTACTCTGGAGGCTGAGGCAGGAGAATGACCTGAACCCAGGAGGCGGAGCTTGAACTCCTGCACTCTAGCCTGGGCAACAGAGCGAGACTGTCTCAAAAAAAAAAAAAAAAAAACCCATCTCTAAGGCTGGCGTGGTGGCTCACGCCTGTAATCCCAGCACTTTGGGAGGCTGAAGTGGGTAGATCACTTGAGGTCAGGGCTTCGAGACCAGCCTGGCCAACATGGCAAAACCTCATCTCTACTAAAAATACAAAAATTAGCCAGGCATGGTGGCATGCCCCTGCAGTCCCAGCTACTCGGGAGGCTGAGGCAGAAGAATCGCTTGAAGTGAGGAGGAAGTTGCAGTGAGCCAGGATTGCATCACTCACTGCAGCCTGGGTGACAGAGCGAGACTCTGTCTCTCTAAAAAAAGAAAAAAATTAAAAAAAAAAAACCCACCTTGAAAAGTCTCCCTCTTACTTTCTTTCAGGTTCCTTTTTTGCCAGGAGATTCAGACCTTGATCAGCTAACAAGAATATTTGAAACTTTGGGCACACCAACTGAGGAACAGTGGCCGGTAAGCCTTTATGCATTTTCTTTGAAATGTAATTAGGACTCTGTAAAGTTCTTAAACTGTCATATACTTTATATAGTGCTGTCACGTGAATATTAAAGACATTCATTATAATATGTACTCAGAACACTTTAAATGATAAAGTATATAAAGTAAGAAGTTACAATTGTGATATACCATCAACCTCTTGTATACATGTAGTCCTTTCCCCCCACCCCAGTAATCCTGACCTCAGGGTAATCACTATTAACAATTCATTGTAAAGTCATGTTAGGAGTTTATAAGCACACTACGAACATAAAAGGGTTGCATGTTCTTTGACTCCTTGACAAAAATGGGTTCACGTCGTATATATACACGGTGTGAAGCCATTATATATATAAAACCCATTACACACACATGCACACATGTAGGTGTACATATATGTATATATGATGTTTCTCTTAGATTTTTTTAAATTATTATTATTTTTTTTAATAGAGATGGGGTTTCACCGTGATGCCCAGGCTGGTCTCAAACTCCTCGTCTCAAGCAGTTCTGCCTCAGCCTCCCAAAGTGCTGGCATTACAGGCATGAGCCAGCGCACTTGGCTAACATGATTTTCTAAATAGTAATTGCTTACTGATGTTTCTCTTTGATTTTTTAAAAATTAAACTTCTTGGTGGGTGCGATGGCTCACGCCTGTAATCCCAGCACTTTGGGAGGCTGAGGCGGGCAGATCATTTGAGGCCAGGAGTTTGAGACCAGCCTGGGCTACAGAGTGAGACTCTGTCTCCAAAAAAAAAAAAAAAAACTTCTTATTTTGAGAATATTATTCACGTGCAATTGTGAATATATAATTCACAATTATATATTGTGGCTGGGCACAATGGCTCACGCCTGTAATCCCAGCACTTTGGGAGACTGAGGTAAATGGGTCACTTGAGCCCAGGAGTTTAAGACCAGCCTGGGCAACATAGTGAGACTTCGTGTCTATAAAAAACAAAAATTAAAAAAATTTAGCCAGGCTTGGTGGTGCACACATTATGGTCCCAGCTACTCAGGAGGCTGAGGTAGGAGGATTGCTTGAGCCCAGGAAGTCAAGGCTGCAGTGAGCTGTGATTGCACCACTGCGCTTTACCAGCATGAGTAACTGAGTGAGTCCCTGTCTCAAAACTATAATAGTAATACTACAGACATATTTCACGGACCCTTTACCTAGCTTTTACAAGATGGGAGCATCTTATAAAATCAGTACAGTATCACACCAGGATGCTACAGTCAAGATACAGAATATCACCACAAGAATCTCTCATGGTATTCTTTTATAGCTATGCTTACTTTCCTTCTACCTACTCCTTAACTCTTGGCAATCACTAATTTGTTCTCCAGCTCTGTAATTTTGTCATTTCAAGAATGTTATGTAAATGGATAAATGGAATCACACAATATATAACTTTGTGGGATTAACTTTTTCATATCCATCATAAATGGAAGTTCATTCAGGTCATTGCATGTTAATAATTCATTCTCTCTTTTGTTAACTGCTGAGTATTGTGTGGATTTATTTCAGTTTCTTCAACCGTTCACCCATTGAAGGACATCTATATTTGTGTTGTTTCCAATGTGGGGCTATTACCAATAAAACTGCTCTAAACATTTATGTACAGTTTTTTATATAAGAATATATTTTTATTTCTCTGGGATAAATGCCCAGGAGTTCAGTTCTTGAGTCATATGGTAGTTACATATTAATTTTTAAATAACCTGCAAAACTCCAGAGCAGCTATACTGTTTTACATTCTCATCAGCAGTAAATGAATGCTCCAGTTTCTTGGAATCCTCTCCAGCATTTGGTGTTGTCACTTTTTAATTTTAGGCATTCTAATGAGTGTGTCATGATAGCTCATTTTGATTTTAATTTTCACTGCTCTAATGGTTAATGGTGTTGAATATCTTTTCTTGTGGTTATTTGCCATCTTTAGTTAAATGTCTCTTCCCCATTTTCTGATTGGATTCTTTGATTTTTGACTGTTGAGTATTGAGAGCTCTTCATATATTCTAGATAGTAGTCCAAAAAGTGTATGTAGTTTGCAGATGTTTTCCCTCGTGCTGCCTTTTCATCCTCTGCAAAATTGTAATCAGGTTTGTCACTTTTTCTTTAATTGATCATCCTTTTGGTGTCAAGTCAAAGAGCTCTTTTGCCCAGCCCAAAGATTTTTTGACAATTTTTTTTTCTTTTTTTTTTTTTTCAAGACAAGATCTGGCTTGTTGCCCAGGCTGCAGTGCAATGGTGTGATCTCAGCTCACTGCAACTTCCACTTCCCAGGCTCAAGCCATCCTCCCACCTCAGCCTCTTGAGTAGCTGGGGCTGTAGGCATGCACCACCACGCCCAGCTAGTTTTTGTGTTTTTTGTAGAGACAGGGTTTCTGCATGTTGCCCAGGCTGGTCTGAAACTCGTGAGCTCAAACGATTTGCCCACCTTGGCCTCCCAAAGTGCTGGGATTACAGGCATGAGCCACTATGCCCTTGGCTGTGACAATTTTTTTTGTATTTTTTTCTACAAGTTTTGTAGTTTTATACTTAAGTCCAAGATCTGTTTAGAGTTTACCTTTATATGATGTGTGAGACTTAGGGCAAGGTTCAGTTTTTGTTTTTTTTTTTCTTTGAGACAGTCTCACTCTGTTCCCCAGGTTGGAGTGGGGTCTCACTTTCTTGTCCAGGCTGGTCTCGAACTCCTGAGCTCAAGTGACCCTCCTGCCTCAATCTCCCAAAGTGCTGAGATTACAAGCGTGAGCTGCCACACCCAGCCAAGTTCAGATTTTTGCACATGTATGTCGAAGTGCTCCAGCAGTATTTGTTGAAATGATGGTCTCTTCATTGATTTAGTTTTTCACTTTTTTCAAAAATCCTTTTGGCAGATTTGTGTGGATTTCTAAGTCCTTTATTGAGTTCCATTGATTTATGTATCTCTCTCTCTGCCAATACAACAGAGTCTTAATCAAAGTAGCTATATGTTAAATCTTGAAATCAGGTAAAATGAGTCCTCCCACTTTATTGTTCTTTTTCAAAATCATTTTAGCTACTGTAGTCCTTTGCCTTTCCATATAAATTGTAGAATAATTGGTCCTATATCTAAGATAATTTTGCTAGGATTTTGATAAAAATTACATTAGACTTGCAAATCAATTTGAGGATAATTAACATCCTTCCTCTGTTGAATATTCCAATATGTGAACACGATATGTTTCACCATTTATTGAGATCTTTTGATGACTTTCATCAGCATTGTATAGCTTATAGCATATTACCCTATACATGTTTTGTTACATTTTTCACCTGTTTCATTTTTCTTTTTGGGGTGATTATAAATAGTACTGTGTTTTTAATTTTGATGTCCACATATTTATTGCTAGTGTACAAAATTACAATTGATTTTTAAATTTTCAATTTATATCCTTTTCAGCCTTGTCTTACTACTAGTTCTAGGACTTTTTAATAGATTTCTTGGAATTTTCTATATAAACCATCATATCACCTGAAAATGATTTATTTCATTTGCAATCTATATGCCTTTAATCCTTAAGTTTGAATTACAAAATTATTTTTACAGGACATGTGTAGTCTTCCAGATTATGTGACATTTAAGAGTTTCCCTGGAATACCTTTGCATCACATCTTCAGTGCAGCAGGAGACGACTTACTAGATCTCATACAAGGCTTATTCTTATTTAATCCATGTGCTCGAATTACGGCCACACAGGTATTTTGGTGTATCTTTTTTATACTAGGAAATATAAAAATAATCTTAACTGTAGCATTGATAAAAATAGAATTTCATAAAATTAACATTTTTTAAATACTGGAAAGATGTGTTTTTGTTTTAAGAAATAACAAACTTTGTATCTTTTCCCCAAACTACAAACACTATTAAGACTGAGATTAAATTATATGCACACAGAGATACAGGAGAGTTTACACTTATTACACTTGCTTAGGGACATTTAAATACATGTCTATTTCACATAATTGGCTTGTAAATACTTTACTTAGAAAAAGAAAACCAAGGCTTTTTATTTGTTAAGAAACTGGTATATTTCAGTTGAGCTCTTACAAATTCATTTAAATCTTGTAGCAATGCTGAAAGTAGTTTGTTCGGCTTATTTTTTCTTTCCTATATAATGCAATCCAGGTATGCATGCTGATCATTTTCACATTGAGAACATGGTAATGGGGAGGAAATGGTATAGTCAGATATAATTGTATGCTTACAAAAGCTTGAAAAATATTTGAAATAAAACAAAAACTGAAACTAACTGCTGTTTAAAGGAAATAACAAACTCATGAAAAATTTGGAAGACCTAGAATAACTTAGGGCAGAGCACTGTACAACACAGTGCAGTGATTTTACCTCATGAAGGGAGAGACTAATGAAAGTGAGATCACAGGTCTTTATGGAAACATATTAATGTACAGTAATATTAAGCATACAAAATAGATTTTTTTCTCTTTAGGTTTGTTCCAGGCTACAAAATCATTGTTTAATGCACTTGCTTGTATAAGCCTTCTCTTTTTAGCAATGTGTGCTATGTGAATATATATGGAGATGGATGGATGGATGGAAGGATAGATAGATATAGATGGATAGGTAGGTAGGTATATGCTGGGTATTTACCATTAGAATTATTCTCCTAATTTCTTTTTTAAAAAATTTTTCTTTATTATTTTTATGTCCATGTGTACACATACTCTTTTAATTTCAAACAAGTAATTTGTTGCCTTTTCACTCATACTTCTATGTATATTATTTCCATCATAATAAACTTGAGACCACATTTAATTATCTAGAAAATTGTTTTCATTGGTAGTATAGTTTGAAACTTAACAGAAAAATACTAGTTGTTGTATTTGGGTTGTATTTTAATAGAATGAAGTTTTTAAAGTGAGTTTTGTTTCATGGATGTCTTTATTAAAGTTGGAATGAGGTATTTTCTTAGATCTTTAGCCCAGAATTAGCCTAATTTGCATATAGAACTGCTGTGATTTAGAAGTAATGCTTTAAAAATGCAGCTGTAGGCCGGTGCATCGGCTCACACCTGTAATCCCAGCACTTTGGGAGGTGAAGGAGCAAGGATAGCTTGAGCCCAGGAGTTGGAGCCCAGCCTGGGCAACATGACAAAACATCATCTCTACAAAAAGTAAATAAATAAAAAATGAAAATGCAACTGTTGAAGTAAGGAATCTCTAAATTACTGCAAATAATATTGGGAGTGGTGAGGAATGCTTGCAAAGTTTATATGGGCTTCATCTTTCTTAAAGGATTATCCTAAAGGAAGTATTTATTTATTTATTTTTGAGACGAAGTCTTGCTCTGTCACCCAGGCTGGAGTGCAGTGGCACGATCTTGACTCACTGCAACCTCTACCTCCCAGGTACAAGCGATTCTCCTGTCTCAGCCTCCCTAGTAGCTGGGATTACAGGTGCACACCACCATGCCTGGCTAATTTTTGGATTTTTAGTAGAGACAGGGTTTCACCATGTTATCGAGGCTGATCTCAAACTCCTGACCTCAGGTGATCCATCTGCCTCGGCCTCCCAAAGTGCTGGGATTACAGGCATGAGCCACCCCGCCCTGCCAGAAGTATTTTAAATCATTGTAGCCACTGGACAGCACTATGCTGCTGATGTAAATAGACAAGCATGTGAACCCGGGAGGTGGAGGTTGCAGTGAGCCAAGATTGTGCCACTGCACTCCAGCCTGGGCAACAGGGTGAGACTCTGTATCCAAAAAAAAAAAAAAAGACAAGCATGACCTGACAAACTTGTCATTTAGGATATAATTATTTTTATCAGAATTGTGGACCCAAGTCAAGAAAATGTATTGTATCTACAGCACTATAGTAGGGGGAAAAAAAGAGAAAATGTATTATAGAACATTGGCCTGGTAATTAATAGAAATAATCTTGGAGAAGCCCTTCCAAGTAAAATTTCTGTCCATTTGCAATGGATTGTTGAATTAGAATCCATTGGTTCCAACCTACTGTATTTTTTAAAAAGCCTTATTTTTTAAGAATTTATATTTTACATGACTTGGAATTTGAATATATATGGATAGTGTGGCCAACTTGTAAGTTCTTTTTAAGTTTCTCTCTTTGCATTTTGAACTGTAGAGTTCAATATGTAGAGAATGGAAATGTACAATATTTCACTAAGGATAGCTCATAATTAGTATAGGTTGAGCATCCTTAATCCAAATATCCGAAATCTGAAATGCTCCAAAATCCAAAGCTTTTTGAATGATGACGTGATGCCACAAGTGGAAAATTCTACACATAAGGACATTAACAAAACTTTGTTTTATGTACAAAATTAAAAATTTTGTCAAATTAAAAATATTTTATAAAATTACCTTCAGCCAGGCGCGGTGGCTCACGCCTGTAATCCTAGCTCTTAGGGAGGCGGAGGCGGGAGGATAGCTTGAGCCCAGGAGTTCAAGACAAGCCTGGCCAATATAGCAAGACCCCATTCTCCACAAAAAATAAGTGTAAAATTACCTTCAGTTTATATGTATAAGCTGTATATGAAACATAAGTTTCATTTTTAATCTTGGCTTCCATCCCCAAGGTACGTCATGTATATGCAAATATTCCACAGTCCAAAATCTGAAGCACTTCTGGTCCCAAGCATTTTAGATAAGATATATTCAGCCTGTATAGGCTATTTAATTATGGAAAAATTAGAAGGGAGTCTTTTTTTCTTTTCTTTTTTTGATACGGAGCCTTGCTCTGTCGCCCAGGCTGGAGTGCAGTGGTGCGATCTCGGCTCACTGCAACCTCTGCCTCTGGGTTCAAGCGATTCTCCTACCTCAGCCTCCCGAGTAGTGGGGACTACAGACATGCACCACCACGCCCAGCTTATTTTTGTATTTTTAGTAGAGATGGAGTTTCGCCACGTTGGCCAAGCTGATCTCGAACTTCTGACCTCATGTGATCCACCCGCCTCAGCCTCCCAAGGTGCTGGGATTACAGGCATGAGCTACTGTGCCCGGCCAGTCTTTTAATGGAATTATCAGCCAATCTTAGGATCCTAGGTATTTATTTGTAGTAATTTCCATTTGCAAATACTTGACATTAATTTTGTTTTGTTGGGAATGAGGGCATTCACATAGTATTTTTAATGCTCCCTATAATCTTGAAGGTAAGATTTTCCTTAACACATTTCAGATACTCACCTACCTTACTTTTGGTATCTTTTCTTTTAAAAGGCACTGAAAATGAAGTATTTCAGTAATCGGCCAGGGCCAACACCTGGATGTCAGCTGCCAAGACCAAACTGTCCAGTGGAAACCTTAAAGGAGCAATCAAATCCAGCTTTGGCAATAAAAAGGAAAAGAACAGAGGCCTTAGAACAAGGTAAGATTCCCACTTTTAAAAGAAATTAAATGAATTTAGAAAACTCCAAATAGCTCGTGTATGGCTAGCGACTGAACAACAGCAAAGAAATGTAGCTTGCTAGCTATTTAATTTTTATAAATTTAATTGTATAAAGTAGAGAGACTGTGCTGTTTTAGGTATGTTTACTTTCATTGTGAATACTTCGGCAGCTTTTGTGTATACCTCAGAATTATGGGAACTATGTATGTGTACCTTGTTCCCTTCATAAATTCCTTCTGTAAACTACATGCTAAATGTTTAACAAGTGCTACTGGAAAAAATGTGTCAGTGAAATAATGTAGTTGGAATGCAGTGACTGGTTAAAATTGCTATGAGAATGTGAACTTTGTTAAATGTGAACAACTTTTTTTTTTCTTGTTCTTTTTGCTTCCTAGGAGGATTGCCCAAGAAACTAATTTTTTAAAGAGAACACTGGACAACATTTTACTACTGAGGGAAATAGCCAAAAAGGCAAATAATGGAAAAATAGTAAACATTAAGTAAATGCTGTAGAAGTGAGTTTGTAAATATTCTACACATGTAAAATATGTAAAACTATGGGTTATTTTTATTAAATGTATTTTAAAATAAAAATTTAATTCTGGTTTTTCTGATTAGAGTGCAAAAGTGAGAAAAGTTCAATACTCTTGAAATGTAGAATTGAAAATGCATTAGGGAAAACTTAATAAAAATTATTACCAGTTATTTGGAAGATCTGACCCATATAGTATCACAAATCTGTAGTAGCATGGGTAGTGTTTAAAAATAAAAATGTTGGCCGGGCGCGGTGGCTCACGCCTGTATTCCCGGCACTTTGGGAGGCCGAGGCGGGCGGATCACAGGTCAGGAGATCGAGACCATCCTGGCTAACACGGTGAAACCCTGTCTCTACTAAAAATACAAAAAAAATTAGCTGGGCGTGGTGGTGGGCGCCTGTAGTCCCAGCTACTCAGGAGGCTGAGGCAGGAGAATGGCGAGAACCCGGGAGGCAGAGCTTGCAGTGAGCCAAGATGGCGCCACTGTACTCCAGCCTGGGTGACAGGGCAAGACACAGTCTCAAAAAAAAAAAAAATGTAGTAGTGGTGTAGTAAATACTACCCAAACTTAACAAATATTAATATACGGAATGTACTAAAAAAAGAAAACATTACAGATAAAATTGAGATTCCCCCCAACCTTTTTTCTGAGGCGGGGGACAAAGTCTCACTCTGTCACTCAGGTTGGAGTGCAGGGGCACAATCCCAGCTCACTGCAAACTCTGCCTTCAAGTGATTCACTTGCTTCAGCCTCCCGAGCAGCTGGGATTATGGGCACGCACCACTACACCTGCCTAATTTTTTTTATATTTTTAGTAGAGACAGGATTTCACCATGTTGGCCAGGCTGGCCTCTAATTCCTGACCTGAAGTGATCTGCCCACCTCGGCTTCCCAAAGTGCTGGGATTACAGGCATGAGCCACTGCACCTGGCCAGAGGTTCCCTCTTAAAAATTCACTTTATTTTATTTTATTTTTTTTTGAGATGGAGTCTCGCTCTGTCACCCAGGCTGGAGTGCAGTGGTGCGATCTTGGCTCACTGCAACCTCCACCTCCTGGATTCAAGCAGTTCTCCTGCCTCAGCCTCCCAAGTAGCTGGGGTTACAGGTATGCGCCACCACGCCTGGCTAATTTTTTTTTTTTTTTGTATTTTTAGTAGAGATGGGGTTTCACCATATTGGCCAGGCTGGTCTCGAACTCCTGACCTTTTCATCCACCTGCCTTGACCTCCCAAAGTGCTGGGATTACAGGTGTGAGCCACCGCGCCCAGCCAATACTTCACTTTATTTCTATTTTTTCCTTTTCACTTTCCCCAGAGGGAAATGACTCTATGAAATTGGTGTGTATCTTTCCATGATTTTATGCTAGTATTCTGTAAGAGTGCATGTAGTGAGATGCATAACAATGTACAGCATTGTTTTGGGTCTCAAAATTGTATATAAATTGATAGAATCTCTCTCTCCTTTTTTTTTTTTTTTTTTTTTGTGAGATAGTCTCTGTTGCCCAGGTTGGAGTGTAGTAGTGCAATCATGGCTCACTGCAGCTTCGAACTCCTGGGCTCAAGCCATCCTTCCACCTCTGTCCCCAGTAGCTGGGACTACAGGTGCATACCACCATGCCTGGTTAATTTTTTTTTTTTTTTTTAATGAGACAGAGTCTTGCTCTGTTGCCCAGGCTGGAGTGCAGTGGTGCAATCTCAGCTCACTGTAACCTCTGCATCCTGGGGTTCAGGTGATCCTCCTACCTTAGCCTCCCAAGTAGCTGGGATTACAAATGTGTACCACCATGCCCAGCTAATTAAAGTAACACAAATGTATTAGCTCACAGTTCTGTAGGCCATATATCTGGCTCAGCTGTGTTTTCTGCTTAGGGTCTCACAAGGCCAAAATCAAGGTGTTAGTCAAACTAGTTTTATTTGGAGGCCCCTGGAAAGAATCTGCTACCAAGCTCATGCAGGTTTGTTTTTTTTTTTTTTTGGAGATGGAGTCTTGCTCTGTCGCCCAGGCTGGAGTGCAGTGGCACGATCTCGGCTCACTGCAACCTCCGCCCACTGGGTTCACCCATTCTCCTGCCTCAGCCTCCCGAGTAGCTGGGACTACAGGTGCCCGCCACCACGCCCAGCTAATATTTTGTATTTTTAGTAGAGACGGGGTTTCACTGTGTTAGCCAGGATGGTCTCTATCTCCTGACCTCGTGATCTGCCCACCTTGGCCTCCCAAAGTGCTGGGATTACAGGCGTGAGCCACCGTGCCCGGCCGCTCATGCAGTTCTTATAGTTGCAATTCTTGTGCTCCATTGCCCCCATTTCCCTTTTGACTGTTAGCCCAGGGCCTCTCTCAGCTTCTTAAGGAAACTTCCATGCCTTTGTCCTGTGGCACTCACCACAGGACAGCAGCAGTGCATCAAACCCACTCGTGCTTCAAATCTGTCTGACTTCCTCGTGTGTGTGTGTAGACAGGGAGCTGCCAAGGGAGAAGCAGCCAAGCAGCTAAGAGTCCAGGAGATAATAGCGCCAAAGGGATCTGAGGACACTCAAAATGTGTCTAACACGTGAGGCAGGATAGGAGTGTATTATTCCGTTCTCAAACTGCTATAAAGAATACTACCCCAAGACTCAGTAATTTATAAAGGAAAGAGGTTTAATTGACTCATAGCTCCACATGGCTGGGCAGGCCTCGGGAAACTTACAATCCTGGCAGAAGGGGAAGCAGGCATGTTTTACATGGCAGCAGGAGAGACTACCATGTATAAAACCATTGGATCTCATGAGAACTCACAATCATGAGAACAGCATGGGGGATACCACCCCCATGATCCAGTCACCTACCACCAAGTCCCTCCTTCAACATGTGGGAATTATGGGGATTACAATTCAAAATAAGACTTGGGTGGGGACACAGCCAAACCGTATCAGGTAGTCAAGGAAATGACCATTTTCTCATGACCATACAGCCAACACAATAAACCTCAGCATTCACATTGTAATTGAGCTCATTTAAGCAAAGCTATCTTCAGTAGGGACTTTCCCTTCTAGAGAGCATACACATTTTGATTTTACCTGTCCTCAAACTGATCCTTTGCACATGATAATAATAAAAAACACACCTCTAGGTGGAAATTTAAGATGCTACTGAGACATGTGGTGTATGAACAAGCATTAACAGCTACTGCACCTGTGCAGAGGACCACCCAGGACATGATTACTGCAACACCTCACCTCCTTATGAATAATAATGCAAAACTCCCATAAAGGGAGTTTCTCCAGCAATAATCAATGCTGTCTCACCCTTACGAGCAGCCGGCCCTGAATTCTCTCTCTCAGGTGTACTGTCTGTTCTGCACCTAACTTTCAAAATACTCCTTTTCTTTTGCAATAAATTATGCTGCATCTCCTTTGCTGTCTCATTTAAATTCTTTTAAACCAAGAAGACAAGAACTGAGGTATCACAACAGCTGTCAACACATGCATTTTGCTTTATTCATTTGCTTTATCTTATGGATCTCTCCATTTTGTAGAGTATTCCATTGTATAGCTGTACAGTAATTTAGATAAACTTTTGTATTGATAGCCTTTTCTTTTGGAGATGGGGGTCTCACTCTGTCACTCAGGCTGGAGTGCAGTGGCACAATCACAGCTCACTGCAGCCTCAAGCTCCTGGGCTCATGCCATCCTCCTGCCTCAGCCCCTGAGTAGCTGGGACAACAGGTGCATGCCACCATGCCTTGCCGAGTTTTTGTATAGATGGGGTTTCACCATGTTGCCCAGGCTGGTCTTGAACTCTGGACTGGTCTGGACTTGAGATTCAGACCAGATCTGTAAGCCACTGCACCCGGCCTTGATAGCCATTTGTTTTCATACACAGCAGCAATTAGTAGCCATTTAAGATATCTGTGCGCCAGCCTACAAGAAATACAAATGTACAGGGTAAAATCCTAGCTGGATCAAATATGAGCTTTGTAAATTTTTAAAAACTTTTTTATTGAGTTGTGGTTTATGCCTGTAATCCCAGCACTTTGAGAGGCTGAGGCAGGAGGATCCCTTGAGGCCAGGAGTTTGGCACCAGCCTGAGCAACACAGTGGGACCCTGTCTACACACACACCCCACCCCCACACACCCCAATTCACATACCACAAACAAAAAAACTCCTAGAAATCACCTTGGCTCAGGCAGCTTCTTCAGATTCCTGAGACCCCATTTCCTGGATCATCACAACCATCTCACAGGATGCAATGAAAAGAGCTGTTAAGCACTTTGTAGACTTGGCTACAAATCTGTGCAGATTTGGTTGCAAAATGTTACTACCCTGACAAGAAGCCATGAACGCAGCCGGCACTGACTCAATATACTTCTGCCAAGGTCCCACCATCAAAACTGTCTTATTGAAGTTAACTTAAGGAAATTGTTATTTCTAAACTTCATATGGTAAATGAAAAATACTGAACAAGGCAAATAAAACAAGATAAATGAATTCCAGAAATTAACATTCAGTCAGTCCTAGGTATTGTTACTTTTTAGAGCATTAAGATACATTGCTATATTGTTGATTTAGCCAAGCTAAGATCCCTATAGTCAATCAAAATAGTTAAATAATTTTTTGTTTTTCCCAAAAATCATTATTTTTTGTTTTAGGATGTTGGCAAACACTGTAATGTGTTTTGTTTTTTTTTTTGAGACAGAGTTTCGCTCTTGTCGCCCAGGCTGGAGTGCAATGACACAGTCTCGGCTTACCACAACCCCTGCCTCCCAGGTTCAAGCGATTCTCCTACCTCAGCCTCCCAAGTAGCTGGGATTACAGGCATGCGCCACTAGGCCTAGCTAATTTTTTGTATTTTTAGTAGAGATGGGGTTTCTCCATGTTGGTCAGACTGGTCTTGAACTCCAGCCTCAGGTGACCCACCCACCTTGGCCTCCCAAAGTGCTGG
Organism: Homo sapiens; assembly: GCF_000001405.40. NCBI lineage: Eukaryota > Metazoa > Chordata > Mammalia > Primates > Hominidae > Homo > Homo sapiens. The sequence continues at coordinate 65,337 of NW_003315917.2, forward strand.
GATTTATAAGCATGAGCCACCATGCCCAGCCTGTAATGTAATTTATAAATACAGTAATGTAATTTATAAATAAAATGTCAACACAGAATACTAATTTCTTGTAGAAAATGTAGAAAATAGGCTGGGTGTGGTGGCTCACGCCTGTAATCCCAGCACTTTCGGAGGCCAAGGCAGGCGGATCACTTGAGGTCAGGAGTTCAAGATCAGCCTGGCTAACATGGTAAAACCCCGTCTCTACTAAAAATACAAAAATTAGCTGGGCGTGGTGGCACATGCCTGTAATCCGAGTTACTCGGGAGGCTGAGGCAGGAGAATTGCTTGAACCGGGAGGCGGAGGTTGCAGTGAACCGAGATCACACCACTGCACTCCAACCTGGGTGACAGAGCAAGACTCCATCTCAAAAGAAGAAAAAGAAAATGTAGAAAATATTTGATTTAAGCGACCTCCTAAAATTTAGAAATACCTAGGAAACATACAACTTCTCAAGATGCAGCAAAATTTACAAAATCATTTTTCAAAGTATCTCGATATAAACAACTCTCAGTTCCAATTTCAACTGGCTTGTCTTTAAAATATGATACTTGATGGCAAAGAATGGGATCTTTTAAGAGTTCTATAGTTTGGATCTATTTGAGAGTGCTGGATTGAACAAATGCAGCCCACAGAATTTAAAATGCAGACACTTGAATGTATAGGATCACCCAAAACAGAGAATTCTGAAGTCTTACGCCAGGGGTTGTTGAAAGGGAAATTCTCTTTTATAGGATTTTTTTCTTTATTCTCGTTTGAAGCAGTGTCTTTGTCTTCCAATGCCCGAGCAAGCATGTAGCTAACTTTTCTTTGATGAGCCAAAGCTTCTTCTTTATCATTAAGCTGCATGCACAGAAATTAAACATGTACAAGTTAGTCAATAAATCACAGAATATATTCAGAGAAAGGAGTATTGTACTATTTTATCAAGTTATTCAACCCTAATATTCATACTGATCTGTCCATCAGTATGAATAAATTAGGTATCACCTGATCCCCAAACATTATACTACATGTTATTCATGAATCTTTTTTTTTTTTTTTTTGAGACGGAGTCTGGCTCTGTCACCCAGGCTGGAGTGCAGTGGCACTATCTCCACTCACTGCAAGCTCTGCCTCCCAGGTTCACACTATTCTCCTGCCTCAGCCTCCCAAGTAGCTGGGACCACAGGTGCCCGCCACCACACCCAGCTAATTTTTTGCATTTTTTAGTAGAGACGGGGTTTCACTGTGTTTGCCAGGATGGTCTGAATCTCCTGACCTTGTGATCAGCCCACCTTGGCCTCCCAAAGTGCTGGGATTACAGGCGTGAGCCACCGTGCCCGGCCAATTCTTTTTTTTTTTAAGACAGGGTCTGGCTCTGTTGCCCAGGCTGGAATGCAGTGATGCCATCTTGGCTCACTGCAGCCTCTGCCTCCCAGGCTCAAGTGATTCTTGGGCCTCACCCTCCCGAGTAGAGTAGCTGGGACTATAGGCGTGCACCACCACACCTTGCTAATTTTTGTAGGCTGGTCTCGAACTCCTGGCCTCAAGTGATCCACTCGCCTCGGCCTCCCAAAGTGCTGGAATTACAGATGTGTGCCACCATGCCAGGCTGACAATTTTTTTTTTTTTTGAGACAGAGTCTCGCTCTGTCACCCAGGTTGGAGTGCAGTTGCATGATCTTGGCTCACTGCAAGCTCCGCTCTCCTGGGTTCACACCATTCTCCTGTCTCAGCCTCCCATGTAGCTAGGGACTACAGGTGCCAGCCACCACACCTGGCTAATTTTTTGTATTTTTAGTAGAGACAGTTTCACCGTGTTAGTCAGGATGGTCTCGATCTCCTGACCTCATGATCCACCCGCCTCGGCTTCCCAAAGTGCTGGGATTACAGGCATGAGCCACTGTGCCCAGCCCCGACGATTATTTTTTAAAAATAATTTTTTAAAAAAAAAAACAGAAGACAGCATTGAAAATTTTGCAAGTCATCTGGAAATGAAGGGAAAATATAGATCTATATGAAGTGTGTATATATAGGTATATAATATCAACATATAAAAAATATATCAACGTGCATATTTATAAAATAATGTTGAAGTTATTTGTATATAAAATTGCTTTCATATATTTGTATGCAAATATATAACAGTCTAGAGATAAGTATGTTCATATAACCTGAGTCTCAGTGTCTTAGTTTAGTCATTCCATGTGGAATGTGGGTAGCAGGACTGTAAAGGATATAATGTGTGAGGAAATGCCTTGAACACTTTAAAAATGCCTCAATAAACAGGCAGACTTGTCACAAACTGTATATATATAAATGTAGATGGCAAAGCTGGCTGGAGTTAACTACAGGAGCCCCCTGTTTTCCAAGATGGAGCCTTTAAACCTGCACAGAAAGAATATGAATGACGAGAAAAGATGAGCTGAGGGAGATAAAGATCATGAAGGTAGAGTCTGGTACTCCAACTGGGAAAAGGACATAGAAGGCAAGTGCAAGTCTAGAGAGATAAAGAGTTGAATTAACAGGAAGCAAATAGATTAGCTTAACCTAGGGGTGTCCAATCTTTTGGCTTCCCTGGGCCACACTGGAAGAAGAAGAATTGTCTTGGGCCACACATAAAATACACTAACACTGGCTGGGCATGGTGGGTCACGCCTGTAATCCCAGCACTTTGGGATGCCGAGGTGGGCAGATCACTTGAGGTCAGGAGTTTGAGACCAGCCTGGCCAACATGGTGAAATCCTGTCTCTACTAAAAACGCACACACAAAATTAGCCAGGCGTGGTGGTGGGCGCCTGCAGTCCCAGCTACTCTAGAGGCTGAGGCAGGAGAATTGCTTGAACCCGGGAGGTGGAGGTTGCAGTGAGCCGAGATCGCGCCGCTGCACTCCAGCCTGGGTGACAGAGACTCTGTCTCAAAAACCAAACAAACAAAAAAACCAAAAAACAAACAAAACAAAAAAATACACTAACACTAATGATAGCTGATGAACTAAAAAAATATATATATATATCAAAAAGATCTCATAATGTTTTAAGAAAGTTTACGAATTTGTGTTGGGCCACATTCAAAGCTGTTCTGGGCTGCATGCTCCCCACGGACCGTGGGTTGGACAAGCTTGGCTTAACCATAACCTGCAAAAAAAAGCAAAGACACTAACCAAATCTATGAGCATCTTAAGGACCTCTTGAGGACTGTCCTGGTCTTCCATCCTCTTAGAACTGTTTTCTGAAGGGAGCATACCCAACAGTCTCTGCCCGAAGGTCTTCTTACTCCTTGGTGATGGAAATCCTAAAATTGAACATGAGAATCCAGCTGAGACATTAAAATATCCTCACTGATATACTTCCAGCAAAAGAGGTAACTTGATCTCTAGGACAAGTGAGTCCAGGAGCACACAGTGGAATGTAGTGAGCAGAGCACAGCCTTCAGAGCCAGGAGCAATGCAGGTGAGAGGCAGCAAGAGTGCCGCCCTGCCATGCGGCACAGCCACCCCTCTGTGCCAGCTGACACACAGGCCACACAAGAACACAGTCCATGTCACTGGATCATCACAGTCTTCAAGAGCAGCCAGAAATGCAGATCTGTCATGACATCTTCCAATTCTAAATGTCAGCCACTAGTCTTATTGTTTGACTACACTAAGCCAACCTAACAAAACATGTCTGCAGGCCACAGGGGGCCTCTGAGCCATGCAAACTCTGCTTCCGAACCGCAAAGACCTGGACTTGAATCCTCATTCAGCCGCTTACTAACTGTATGACCTCGGGTGACTTTTCTCAGCTTGATTTCCTCATCTCTAAAATGAGAATAGCATTACCTTCTTCTCAGGGAACTGTGCCATTAAATAATAAATCACACGGGCTGGAGAAGGGGAAGTGAGGAGTTACTGTTTCATGGGACAGGGTCTCTGTAAAGAAAGATGAAAATGTTCTGGAGCTGGATGGTGATGAAGGTTACATTACAATGTGAATATACTTAATACCACTTAAAAACAGTTCAAATGGTAAACTATATATATATATATATATATATATATATATAATTTTTTTTTTTTTTTAGATGGAGTCTTGTTCTGTCACCCAGGCTGGAGTGCAGTGGCGCAATCTCGGCTCACTGCAAGCTCCGCCTCCCGGGTTCGCGCCATTCTCCTGCCTCAGCCTCCCGAGTAGCTGGGACTACAGGCGCCCGCCACCACGTCCGGCTAATTTTTTTGTATTTTTAGTAGAGATGGGGTTTCACTGTGTTAGCCAGGATGGTCTCGATCTCCTGACCTCATTATTCGCCCCCTCTTGGCCTCCCAAAATGCTGGGATTACAGGCGTGAGCCACCGCGCCCGGCCAACTTTAGATATATTTTACCACCATCACGACAACAACAAAAAATACCACAATTGTCAAAGGCCCTGCTCAGGTATTAGCATAATATTTAATATTTCACGTGCTGACATCATTGATGTCCTTCTTCATCCATTGAAGGAAAGTAATTTGCAGAAGTTATAAAATCTCAGATTGTACAAGGAAAATTTCAAGAATGTTTTTGGAATATTCTCCAAAAGTGGTTTAGTGGGAAACTGAGAGCAGATGAGGGGAGATCCCCTTCCCACCAATCCTGACAGACCACAGTGACGAGGGCGGCCCTGACCCCTTCCACGAGGAGCTGTGGCAAACAGAAGTCAGAGAAACTGACACTTTGATGAGTAGATGAATCTGTGTCCCTATTTTCAGTCTAAAAAAAGAAATAGCTTGGTGTGATGGCTCAAGCTGGTAGTCTGGAGGATTGCTTAAGCCCAGGAGTTTAAGATAAAAAAAAAAAAAAAAAAACCCAAAAGCAAAAATACAAAGAAAGAAAGAAGTATGCCTATAAACTACTTCCGGAAACTTGTCTAAACTGCCATATCAAAAAGAAAGTTGATATTAAGTGTTACTAAACATAAAATAATCTGTATCACCCTGTACCTCTTAAGATTACTGAAATATACTAATAAAATGAATTAAAGTCTTGTCACTGAGAAACTGAGAAAGAACTACTCAAACTTGTATAGATTTATAAAAGCTGTGCGAGATTAATCAATTTTTTTTTTTTTTTTGAGATGGAGTCTCGCTTTTGTCGCCCAGGCTGGAGTGCAACAGCGCAATCTTGGCTCACCACAACCTCTGCCTCCCGGGTTCAAACATTTCTCCTGCCTCAGCCTCCCGAGTAGCTGGGATTACAGGCTTGTGCCACCACACCCAGCCAATTTTGTATTTTTAGTAGAGACAGGGTTTCTCCATGTTGGTCAGGCTGGTCTCAAATTCCCGACCTCAAGTGATCCACCCACCTCAGCCTCCCAAAGTCCTGAGATTACAGGCGTGCCACTGCACCCGGCCATCAGTTTTTGGTGGTTTTTTTTTTTTGAGACAGGGTCTTGCTCCATCACCCAGGCTGGACTGCAGTGGTGGGATCATGACTCACTGCAGCCTCAGCCTCCCAGGCTCAAGCGATCCTCCCACTTCAGCCTCCCTAGTAGCTGAGACCACAGGTATCTACCACCACACTTGGCTATTTTTTTTTTTTTAATAGAGACAGGGTCTCCCTATGTTGCCCAGCCTGGTCTCAAACTCCTGAGCTCAAGCAATCCTCCTGCCTCAGCCTCCCAAAGCGCTGGGATTACAGGCATGAGCCACTGTGCCCTGCCTATATCAATTATTTAAAATTCTGCCTTCAGTCTCTCTCAGTGCCTTACTGGAACTCAGAGATTGGGAGCTATACCCCTCTGAATTGCATTTTTTGTGGGAATCTTCCTTAGATTTGTCAATAGCTGAATGTGATATTGTAATATAAGAAATATATATTTGGTCTTTGCCCTCAGTTCCTGACATAGAGCTCCTAAAATCCTAGTAGATAGGGGTGTTAGGTGAATCTTTTCTCATAGTTGGTCTTTGACCCCAGTTCCTAACACACAATTCTTAAGACTGTAATTTCCTCAGTGCTAGGAGCATCTGACACAGAGCCCCTAAATCCCTTGGAATTTCCTGGGTAATAGAAGCATCTTTTGTTCTAATGAGGCTCTTGATGGGCTCCTGGATAGCCTCAGGATGGGGGCTGGTTGCCAGGGGAACCAATCTTGTGATTAGAAAGCTGGAACTTTCAGCCCTAGCCCCCAAACTCCAGGGAAGCGAGAGGGGCTGAAGGTTGAGTTGATTACCAATGGCCAATGATGTAATCACCAATGGCCAGTGATGTACCGTGTCCATGTAATGAAGCCTCCATAAAAACCCAAAAGGGTCTGGGGAGCTTCCAGATAGCTGAGCATGTGAGGTTCCTGAGGGGTGGTACGCCAAAGAGAGCATCCCTTCCCACGTGCCTTGCCCTGTCCATCTCTTTATCTGGCTGTTCATCTGCATCCTTTGTAAGATCCTTTATAATAAACTGGTAAACGGAAGTGTTTCCCGGAGTTCTGTGAGGCATCCTAGCAAATCAATGGAGCCTGAGGAGGGCGTCATGGGAGTCCCAATGTACATACAGCCAGTCAGTCAGGAGCAGCAGAGACAACTCTGTGCTTTTGACTGGCATTTGGAGTGCAGGCCATCTTGTGGGACTGAGCCTTTAACTTATGGGATCTGACTCTAACTCCAGGTAGACAGTGTGAGAATTGAGGGAAATGATAGGATACCCAGCTGGTGTGTGGGGAATCCCCCACCCCTAGCATCTGGTGTCAGAAGCGCTGAGCTGAGTGGTAAGTGCTGTGTGAATAGGAAAACACTTTGGTTTCCCCTGTCTCTTACACTGTGGAAGGTAGGAATTATGGAACATCAAATGCACATATTCTCAAGTGCTGAAATGAGTATGAATCTAGCTCTTGAGAAAAATGCAGCTTTGTCTACACTGCACTATCCTAATGGCCAAGCTCCACACAGGGTTGCAGGCCTTGCAGGCAGGTGACAGGGTCTGACAGGCATTCGTAAGATTAAGATTACTTTAACCCTGACTTTCCCCTTCGTCTCTTCTTTTTCCCATCACTTTTCTTTCCACCTCTATCAAAACAAACAAATATTTACAATCTGACTTTCTAAGAAGATCTGCCTTCAATTAGCACAAAACACCAGGGCTGTCCTCAAAGAGGATTTTACAATCCAACTGCTATTAAGGGCTTAGCTGAGAGAGGAGGTGTCTGAGGAAGATTATCTACACATAGCTGTGGTCCGTGGTAGAACCAGGTATTCTTAGTGTTTTCCACTGGTTCCTAAAAGGCTAAATACATGGACCATGTTAGCTTTTTCCCTGGCAAAATCACCTAACCTGGATTGAACATTAAAGTTGTACCTTCAGCTTTTATGAAGAGTTTATTATAGAAAATGACCATATTATCTAAATACATTATTTTGTATTTATTATAAGACATTGTTGGCCAGGTGCAGTGGATCACATCTGTAACCACAGCATTTTGGGAGGCCGAGGAGGGAGGACCGCTTGAGCCCAGGAGTTTGAGACCAGCCTGGGTAACACAGTGAGACCTCATCTCTATAAACAAATACAAAATTTAGCCTGGCATGGTGGCACATGCCTGAAGTCCCAGCTGCTAGGGAGGCTGAGGTGGGAGGATTGCTTGAGCCCATGAGGTAGAGGCTGCAGTGAGTCATGATCACACCACTGCACTCCAGCCTGGGCAACAGGATAAGATGCTGCCTCAAAAAAAAAAAAAAAAAAGCTACTAAAACACTGTCGGGAATTTAGCCATTATATTTTCTCAAAAGTTTCGTGTCAGAAAACATTTTTAGAAATTAATTTCAAGAAAATATGAATGACTTTCTCAGAATAAGTGTTACAAAACATTATATTTTCCTGTTTTGTCCTGGCTTCCATCTAATGAACACTCCAAACATGTAGCTTCTATGATCTGCATTTCCCTACTCTGTAGTTCTGATTTACTGCTTCTATTTCTATCATCCCTCTGCATCACTTCTTACCCTTTTCAGCAAAGAAAAGGGGGAAAGCTTAGTTAATGAAACTAAAATTCACGACAGCTGACTCCTATACTATTAGTAATATATACTGTTTGAAAATAAATATTTCAAACAAAATGGCTATCTACTATAAAGCTTTCATTTTATTATTATTATTATTATTACTATTATTATTATTATTTTGAGACAGAGTCTTGCTCTGTCACCCAGGCTAGAGTACAGTGGCGCAATCTTGGCTCACTGCAACCTCTGCCTTCCAGGTTCAAGCGATTCTCCTGCCTCAGCTTCCCGAGTAGCTGGGATTACAGGTGAGTGCCATCACACCCAGCTAATTTTTGTATTTTTAGTAGAGATGGGGTTTCTCAATGTTGGCCAGGCTGGTCTTGAACTCCTGACCTCAGGTGATCTGCCTGCCTCAGCCTGCCAAAGTGCTGGGATTACAGGCCTGAGCCACCGCACATGGCCAGGTTTCTTTTTTTTTTCTTTTTTTTCTTTTTTTTTTTTTTTTGTTTGAGACAGTCTTGCTCTTTCCCCCAGGCTGGAGTGCAGTAGTGCAATCTTGGCTCACTGCAACCTCCACTTCCCAGGTTCAAGCAATTCTCCTGCCTCAGCCTCCCAAGTAGCTGGGACTACAGGCGCCTGCGACCAAGCCCGGCTAATTTTTGTATTTTTAGTAGAGGCAGGGTTTCACCATGTTGGCCAGGCTGGTCTCAAACTCCTGACCTCAAATGATCCACCCACCTCGGCCTCCCAAAGTGCTGGGATTACAGGCATGAGCCACGACGCCCAGCCAACAGGTTCCATTTTAAATATTTTCTATGATGGTGTTCCCCTAAGATCATTTTAAATATTACAAGATGTGTATTAGTCTTTCTAAATTCACCTGAATATAAGAGATGTTAGAATTATAGATCTGACAGATAAGAAAATATTTAGAAATACAGTCATCCTAGAATTTTTCTACAAAACATTTAAAATTCTTATAAACTTCACTTGATTCTTTCTCAACTGATAAATGGTTTCAAATTATAATTTGACATTTTAAACTGAAGCAATATGAATTCTACAGAATAATACTGATGAATAAAAATTGGTATGAACTACTTAGAGAAACAGATTTCTAAAAAATAACAGCTACTTTGTTCATACTGGAAGATCTACTTCAATTCTCTCATGCTATTTTAATATATTTTTTAATACACAGATATAATAATACTCAATACTGATCATTTTTTTTTTTTTGAGATGGAGTCTCATTCCGTCGCCCAGTGCAGTGGCGCGATCTCAGCTCACTGCAACCTCTGCCTCCTGGGTTCAAGCGATTCTTCTGCCTCAGCCTCCTGAGCAGGTGGTATTACAGGCATGTGCTACCACGCCCGGCTAATTTTTGTGTTTTTAGTAGAGATGGGGTTTTGCCATGTTGGCCAGGCTGTTCTCGAACTCCTGACCTCAGGTGATCCACCCTCCTTGGCCTCTCAAAGTGCTAGGATTACAGGCGTGAGCCACCACACCCAGCCTGGCCATAAATTTTTGATGGGTTCGTGAACCAAAACCTAAACCTAAACTTCTGCTTCATTTTTTCTAAGAATATTTTATTAATTTGTCCAACTTAAGGTTTTTCCTCTATTCCTCAATTTCCTTCTCAAAAGCATACATTTCAATAAAGTTTAATTAGATAGATACATTTAATGTCATGTTTAAGTGACATTTTTCACATTACTTCCTTCTTGGCAGTTTCCTTTTAATCACCTAGCACTTTTATTGTAAAGTTTTTTCACTAAACATGGTCTTATTTAAATGAAACAGAAGAGTACTAGAAAATAAATATTCCTGTTATGTTATGGTTTATGGATTCCAGTAGTTCACCTGCACATGTAATATCCAATGACTCCTTTTTTTCCATAGTTGCTAAGTTTTTAAGTAAACCACAACCATATGTGAAGTTTCAATTATTTTTGCCCACATTGGATTAAGTGTGCTTCATCAACTTGGATTATAAACAAAACAACTAAAATTACACCCACTTATTGCCATTATAATTCATAGTTACCATCCTCTTTAAGGTGCTTCCAATTCATCCATTTTGTTGCTTTTTTATGCATTTTATCCATTTGTGTCAATTGTAGTGCCTGGTCATTTTTTCTCATTAATTGTTGCTCAAATGCAATTCTGAAAGCATCTGCCATCACGTAAGCTTCTTCTTTACTCTTCTGCAAAATTTCCAACTGATTTTGAAAGACAGTTTGGGAGGTGTCAGAGGCAAAACCAGAACAATTCTTGCTGAATGGGGAATCAAATTAACATATGCAATCTCACTGCCTAGCACTGGTTTATTGCCTGTGGTCTGATCTAGTTTATCTGATTACGCTAATTAATGCTTGCTATTTCTGCAGTAGCAACTTACTCTGATCCAGATTATCAGTTTCCCTTGTGGTGCCTGTCAACTGCCTGCTAACCTAACCCCTGGACCTCACTACCCCATGCAGGCCCTGTGTGTGTGTCCTGCTCAAGTCCTGGGACAAAGGGCCCAGCATGAAAGATAAGAGGATACCAAAGGCTGCATTTCAACTCAGCTTTGGGCCATTCCAGACCACACCACTGAAAATAATGATGAATACGACCTTTCAAATACGTCTTATAGATGACCTTGACTTTGATCAATGTAATCTCATGTTTTTCTTTTCTTCTATTTTTTTCTTCTTCTTCTTTTTTTTTTTTCTTTTGATGGAGTCTCGCTCTGTCGCCCAGGCTGGAGTGCAGTGTCGTGATCTCGGCTCACTGCAAGCTCCGCCTCCTGGGTTCAAGCAATTCTCCTGCCTCTGCCTCTCGAGTAGCTGGGACTATAGGCGCATGTTGCCACGCCTGGCTAATTTTTTGTATTTTAGTAGAGATGGGGTTTCACTGTGTTGCCCAGGCTGGTCTCGAACTCCTGAGCTCAGGTAATCCACCCGCCTCGGCCTCCCAAAGTGCTGGTTTACAGGCATGAGCCACTGCGCCCGGTCTTTCTTTTTGTTTTGGAGACAGGGTCTCTCACTCTGTCACCCAGGCTAGAGTGCAGTGATGTGAACACGGCTCACTGTAACTGTGACGTCTTAGGCTCAAGTGATTCTCCCACCTCAGCCTCCCAAAGTGCTGAGATTACAGGTGTAACCCATTGCCCCCTCATGCTTTTCTTAATGAATGGCTACTGTCCAAATGTTGGCTTTCCTATATACTTTAAAGATTTTATTTTGGCTGGGCTCAGTGGCTCACGCCTGTAATCCCAGCACTTTGGGGGGCCAAGGCGGGTGGATCACGAGGTCAGGAGTTCAAGACCAGCCTGGCCAACATAGTGAAACCCCGTCTCTACTAAAAATACAAAAATTAACTGGGAGTGGTGGCAGGCGCCTGTAATCCCAGCTACTCAGGAGCCTGAGGCAGAGAATCACTTGAACCAGGAGGTGGAGGTTGCAGTGAGCCGAGATTGCACCACTACATTCCAGCCTGGGCGACAGAGCAAGAATCCGTCTCAAAAAAAAAAAAAAACCCAAACACTTTAATTTTTTTAAATTTAATTTTGTCCTATTTTATTCTATTTTAAGTTCTAGGATACAGGTGCAGGATGCAGGTTTGTTACCTAGGTAAATGTGTGCCATGGTGGTTTGCCACACCTAAGGACTTTAAATTCCATACCTTCAATAAAGGTAAAACATTTTAGAATTATGGTCCATGTACTACTGTATTTGTAAGTAAAGACCAAATATAATGGCAGCTATCATTTGAATTAATGTCTGGCATGTTCATGGTGCTGTGCTAAACATTTTATGTCTATTTCCTCACAACAATCATCCAAGGTAGTTATTACCCTCCACTTAATATAGTAGGAAAACTAAGACCTACCCCGTCCAAAGCCACACAGCTAGTAAATGGTGGAGCAAAGATGCAAACCTAGGTCTGGCTGGGACAAAGGTTCCTTTCACTGTGCCTTGCTGCTGTTCAAATACATTCCATGCTTATCTCTCCATTAATCAGTGTTGCTGATCCTAGTGATTTTAAGCATAAATGTACATTTTCCTTCTATTATATAGTAATTTTAGGGACATGTATAGATGAGAACATATAAATTTTAGGAATATTAATTATGAACTTAGGCAAATGACTTTAGGTAGCTTCAAATATCATGCCAAGTACTTTTTTTTTTTTTCTTGGAGATGGAGTTTCACTCTTGTTGCCTAGGCTGGAGTGCAGTGGTGTAATCTCGGCTCACTGCAACCTCCGCCTCCCGGATTCAAGCGATTCTCCTGCCTCAGCCTCCCAAGTAGCTAAGATTACAGGTGACCGCCACCATGCCTGGCTAGTAGAGACGTGGTTTTACCATGTTGGCCAGGCTGGTCTTAAACTCCTGACCTCAGGTGATCTGCCTGCCTTAGCCTCCCAAAGTGCTGGGATTATAGGCCTGAGCCACCGCACCCTGCCCCAAGTACTATTAATATTTGTATTTTGGAACCAGGTAAACAAAATCCAGTTGATAAGTTGATGCTATCACATAAAAACTAAGCATAAGTTCCATAGGCAATAACTACTAAAATGAAGTTAATTATTGCAAACATTTCCATTTATTCTACTATTAACAGAGAAACAAAACTAAAGCTTTTGCTGTTGTGATAACGCAATACCTCTTGTTTGAGCTGAAGAAGCAGTTTCCGAGTGGATGCTGCCATTCTGGCACAAGAACAGGGGTTCCCTCCGGGCCCATGACAAAGGCAGGCTCCGAGGACCGCAAGCTTTAAATTGAAAAGCATTGCTCCTGTTATTAAGTGTCACACTGTTTTAGCTGCACACAAACACAGGGGCATTTACACACATACCCATGCACACTACTACTCAGGCATCTGATCCAAAAAAACTGGAAAGGAAAAACAAAATAGAAGAAAGCTGAGACTGGGATCTCAGAATACAAATAGAAATTAACTACAAACGACAAAAAGAATGTCATGACTTGGAACACAAACAAAAGGGAATTTTACCTTCCTTCATCTCACTCTTAAAACCTTTAATCCTGGCGCCACTCTCCTATAGGTCTGAGTCCTTGGCAGGAGTTTAGCCTAACAATATGGTTAACGCTAACATCCACAGCATACCTTTCCTGTAACAGTGTGGCCCTGATGCCCGGCATTCACTACTGCCAGTTTCCTCTAAGCTGAGTCATCTACTCAGAAATGACGAGGGAATTGTAATATATAATGAGAAAAACAGTCATCCCTCCACTCCTAAAAAAAATAAAAAAATACGATTGATTCCTGTGTAAAAGAATAAAACTTCAGCACCATCCAAACTTATGCCAAGGGTGAAGTTAAGCCCTGGAGACTCAGTCAGGTAGCATGTTTGAAATGCTGCTTCTAGATTAGAGAGTAACCCTCTTCCTCGTTGCTCTTGTTCTGTAAATGAGGAGGAGAGACCAGAGACCAGACCTTTCTGCTTCCATCACTGACCTCCGTTACAGATTAGCTGTCTTATCTTCTTATACCTAACTCAGAGCAGATGACTTCGAAAAGAACCCCATGGCTGTTACATCTTCAGTGTGGAATGTTAAATATACCTTCCCCAAAAGAAAACGATCACCTCAACTAATATCTCTGTAACTATGCACTAAACCATACCATCAAAAGATGTTGAAATTCTGTTAAACTTCCCTAAACATTGTCCATACTTCCCTAAACATTGTCCATATAAGCCAGCACAAACTTCTACACTTTAGAACACTGACTTCTTTTTTTTTTTTTTTTGAGATGGAGTCTCGCTCTGTCACCCAGGCTGGAGTGCAGTGGCGCGATCTCGGCTCACTGCAAGCTCTGCCTCCTGGGTTCACGCCATTGTCCTGCCTCAGCCTCCCGAGTAGCTGGGACTACAGGCGCCACCACGCCCGGCTAATTTTTTTGTATTTTTAAAGTAGAGACAGAGTTTCACCGTGCTAGCCAGGATGGTCTCGATCTCCTGACCTCGTGATCTGCCCACCTCAGCCTCCCAAAGTGCTGGGATTACAGGCATGAGCCATCGCACCCGGCCTAAAACACTGACTTCTTTGGAATCTGTGGCTCCTTGGGTGATCCATCCTCAACTTTTGTACTTGAATAAACTCTTTAAACTAGATTCTGGCCAGGCGCGGTGGCTCATGCCTGTAATCCCAGCACTTTGGCAAGCCAAGGCAGGTGGATGATCTGAAGTCAGGAGTTCGAAACCAGCCGGACCAACATGGTGAAATCCCATCTCTACTGAAAATACAAAAATTAGCTGGGTGTGGTGGCTCATGCCTGTAATCCCAGCTACTTGGGAGGCTGAGGTAGGAGAATCACTTGAACCTGGGAGGCAGAGGTTGCAGTGAGCTGAAATCATGCCTTGCACTCCAGCCTGGGCAACAAGAGCAAAACTCTGTCTCAAAAATAAATAAATAATAAACTAGATTCTGATTCCTTTATTTTTATACTTGGTTGACCACTGTAGTTGGAAGAAAAGTAGTATAATAATTTTACTTTTTAAAACTCCACTTTAAAAGCTAACTACAAGTGGGCCAGGCAGGGTGTCTTATGCCTATAATCCCAGCACTTTGGGAGGCCGAGGCAGGTGGATCACCTGAGTTCAGAAGTTCGAGACCAGCCTAACCAACATGGTGAAACCTGTCTCTACTAAAAAATATAAAAATTAGCTGGGCATGGTGGTGGGTGCCTGTAATCCCAGCTACTCGGGAGGCTGAGGCAGGAGAATCGCTTGAACCCGGGAGGCAGAGGTTGCAGTGAACTGAGATTGCACCATTGTACTCCAGCCTGGGCAACAGAGCAAGACTCTGTCTCAAACACAAAGCTAACCACAAATACTTTCCCAACATATTCCAGTATGTACCAATTTCACAGGGGCAATCTACACAACATAGCGTGCCATATATTTTATTTTATTCTTATTTATTTATTTTTGAGACGGAGTCTTGCTCTGTCACATAGGCTGGAGTGCAGTGGTACAATCTCGGCTCCCTGCAACTTCTGCCTCCCAAGTTCAAACTGAGATTTCAGGCATATGCCACCACACCCAGCTAATTTTTTTTTGTATTTTTAGTAGAGATGGGGTTTCACCATGGTGGTCAGGCTGGTCTCGAACTCCTGACCGCAAATGATCCACCTGCCTCGGCATCCCAAAGCGCTGGGATTATAGATGTGAGCCACTGCGGCTGGCCTGTGCCATATTTATTTATTTATTTATTTATTTTTCTGAGACAGAGTTTTGCTCTCGTTGCCCAGGCTAGAGTGCAATGGCGAGATCACAGCTCACCACAACCACTGTCTCCCAGGTTCAAGCAATTCTCCTGCCTCAGCCTCCCAAGTAGCTGGGATTACAGGCATACACCACCACGCCCAGCTAATTTTGTATTTTAGTGGAGACAGGGTTTCTCCGTGTTGGTCAGGCTGGTCTCAAACTCCCAACCTTAGTTGATCCACCTGCCTCAGCCCCCGCAAAGTGCTGGGATTACAGGCGTTAGCCACCGCACCTGGCCCATATATTTTAAAGTTTCATATGGGCTAGGTATGGTGGCTCACGCCTGTAATCCCAGCATTTTGGGAGGCTGAGGCAGGCAGATAGCTTGAGCCCAGGAGTTCAAGACCAGCCTGGGCAACATGAGACCCTGTCTCTACAAAAAATAAAAAAAAAACATTAGCTGGGTATGATAATGGTGTGCACCCGTAGTCCCAGGTACTTGGCTGGGAGGCTGAGGTCAGAGGATCACTTGAGCCCAGGAGGTCTAAGCTGCAGTGAGCCATGATTGTGCCACTGTACTCCAGCCTGAGCTACAGAGTAAGGCCCTGTCTCAAAAACAAAACAAAACAAAAAAATAAATAAAATTAAACTAAAAATAAAGTTTTTTTTTTTTTGAGATGGAGTCCCACTCTGTCACCAGGCTGGAGTGCAGTGGCACAATCCCGGCTCACTGCAACCTCTGCCTCCCGGGTTCAAGCGATTCTCCTGCCTCAGCCTCCCGAGTAGCTGGGATTACAGGCATGCGCCACTACGCCCAGCTAATTTTTGTACTTTTAATAGAGACGGGGTTTCATCATGTTGGCCAGGATGGTCTTGATCTCCTGACCTTGTGATCCGCCCGCCTCGGCCTCCCAAAGTGCTGGGATTACAGGCGTGAGCCACCGCGCCCGGCCCCTGTTGCTGTACTTTCACATGGATGAGCTGACATAAAATACAATCCTTTTTAAGAGGCTTTTCAGAGAGGAAAATTCCACTGCCTCCCTTAGTGTAAAGGCCATTTCGGAACATTCTTTCTCACATCAGTGATAACCGTGAAGCACGGAGTGAGCTTTCAGTTGAGCTGAATGTACAAATGGTGGATCTGTGGCAGAAAGGTCTTTTCCCTTTTCATTTTCCTACTCCTGATAATCTCCCATGCCTAGGTTGCCAAAAGCAACTAAGACCTGGGAAGGGCCAATATCAATCACAACGGGTTGCGGCCAGGACCCCTGACTCCCGGTGCTACTTCCTCACCTCAGTGCTCCCTCACCAGCTGTGTCGGGGCCCTTGTTCCTGCCTGGCTGGAGGTAAGGCTGGCCCATAGTCTACTTGAGACTATCATAAAACACCCTGTCCCTAAACTTTCTTTAAGCTGTTTCTTGCATTTTTCCTTTTTGCTATTATACTAGTTTTCCACCCATGGCAGTAGAACATGGTGCTCAAAAGCACAGACTCTAAGCTCTGTCTACAGGCTGCAAATCTCAGCTCCACCACGCACTAGCTGTGTGACACCAGGCAAATTACCTAACCCCGCAATGCCTCTGTTACCTCATTTGTGAAGTGGGGATTTTAACAGTACCCACTTTATGGGGTAGTTGTGTAGACTAAATATGTCAATGTATGTAAAGTTCTTAGAACATCATCTGAACTTGCTCAGGACTATGCAGGTATTTGCTATTATTATTACCAATTTTTCTTAAGTTCTTTCTTTCTTTTTTTTTTTTTTGAGACGGAGTCTCGCTCTTTCGCCCAGGCCAGACTGCAGTGGCGCGATCTCTGCTCACTGCAAGCTCCGCCTCCTGGGTTCACGCCATTCTCCTGCCTCAGCCTCCCAAGTAGCTGGGACTACAGGCGCCCGCCACCGCGCCTGGCTAATTTTTTGTATTTTTAGTAGAGACAGGGTTTCACCATGTTAGCCAGGATGGTCTCGATCTCCTGACCTTGTGATCCGCCCTCCTCGGCCTCCCAAAGTGCTGGGATTACAGGCGTGAGCCACCGCGCCCGGCCTTCTTAAGTTCTACAAGAAGTGCATGGCTGCCCCCTATCACTCTACTGCTCCATTATTTTTTTGTGAGGCCCCTTCTGACCTCATTAGCCAAACTCCCACATTGCCAGCCATTGGCATTGCACCAGCAGATTTTTGTTCTGAACCTGGCTTTACCACAGATTGACCTTGCCACCTCAGGAAAGTAACTGAACTAATTTGAGCCTTAGTTTCCTCTTCTCTAAAATGGGGATAATATCTGCTTTGCAGCCCTCACAAGACTCCGATGAAGATCAGATACAACAATTTGTATGAAAGCACTCAAACGGTAAGCCCCGACCCACATGTGAGACATTACCCAACACAGCTTCTGCTAGAACTGTAAAGATGAGAAATAAACGGGGCAGAAGTGGCCAGCACATTCCCTCATGTCCAAGAATGTCCTGTATGAAGGGCATGGAACCAGCAGAACTGGAAGAACCAACCTGGGCCCAGGGGCGTCTCTCACTCCCATCCTCAAATTGCTAAGTATGTGCTATCCTACAATGTGTACACAAGGGCAATGGGAGAAAGAAAGGAAAGTAGCAAATGTCCCTTCTGTTCAGCTTTCCTGCATGCTTACCTACCTCAAGACCTGAAGCCTCTGCAAAGCCACTTTTATCACAGCACATGTTTTCCTGAGCCATCTTCTGCTGTTTGATATCAAGCATGGCGAGGGCCTCCAAATACCGTTGATTCAAAACTAGGAAGGGCCATATGAGAAAGTATTCATTATGAAGCCTAACTCCACCCTCATCCAATCTAGTTACCCCAACATGACATATTCATTTCGTACAAGCAATACACTACCCACAAGATCGGGCTCCATTCAGAAAACCTATCTGATAGAATAGTGAGTATCACGTAAGATCATATATATGTAATACTAGATGAGATGGTGTCATTTTTAATGGAAAAGCATCTTAACTTTGCAACTGAAGTCGGATTCCTGTTTCCTCTTGGAAAATTTGTAGGATTTTTCCAAAAGGGAATATGTAAAAGCAAATTATTCAGAGACTTTATGGTTAGTGAGAAAACTGGATGGTGAGATCTCATATATTGTATCCATATCAAACATACCAGCTATCCAAGCTCTATCAGGTTTTTGTATTAGGAGTTTTCACAAGAAGATCTCAAACCAAACATTTAGAGAGGGGTCCTGCTGTCTACTGGAGAGCAGAAAACAGTATCTTTTCCCTGTCACTGCAGGGTAGAGTGGTAGGACAGAAGGGGAGGACTTATGATCATGAGCAGCTTCTGTCCTGAACTTATCTCACACAGGAGACATCTTTATCAGCTGGAGTCCCTGGTGCTGAGAAGCTCCAGCTGTGTGTGCAGATCTCAGCTGGAGGCGTTTATACAACTCAGCTAAGACACAGCATAAAGTGCCGCTCTCAGCCCAGGGCCTAATTTAGAGCTTTTTTTGTCCTTTTCTTCTTTTTTCCTTTCTTTTCTTCTTTTTTTCCTTCCTTTTCTTTGTGTAAGAGACAGAGTCTTGCTCTGTCACTCAGGCTGGAGTGCAGTGGTCCAATCATAGCTCACTGCAACTTCAAACTCCTGGGCTCCAGGGATCCTCTCACCTTAACCTCCCAATCAGCCAGGAAGTTGCAGTGAGGTGAGATTGCGCCATTGCACTCTAGCCTGGGTGACAGAGCAAGACTCCCTCTCAAAAAAAAAAAAAAAAAAAACCAGGTGCATGCTACCATGCCTGGCTAATTTTTGTTTATTTTTTGTAGAGGAAGAGTCTCGTTATGTTGCCCAGATTGGTCTCAGACTCCTGGCCTCAAGCAATCCTCTCCCCTTGGCTTTCCATAGCACTGGCCATTACGGGCATGAGCAACAGCGCCTGGCTTGTGATTTGTCCTCTTCAAGCCACCTCTTTAATTTCTGCTAAGAAGGAAGAACTAGCCTCTTCTCTAAATTTTTAGGGCTGGGTGCAGTGGCTCACACCTGTAATCCCAGCACTTTTGGAGGCCAAGGTGGGAGGATTGCTTGAGCCCAGGAGTTGAGCCCTCACAAAGTGAGTCACCCCCATGTCTACAAAAATTTTTTTTTTAATGTTGCACTTTGGGAGGCCAAGGCGAGCAGATCACCTGAGGTCAGGAGTTCAAGACCAGCCTTGTCAACATGGTGAAACCCCGTCTCTACAGAAAGACAAAAATATTAGCTGGGAATGATGGCAGGTGCCTATAATCCCAGCTACGTGGTAGGCCAAGGCGGGAGAATCCTTGAACTCGGGAGGAGGAGGTTGTAGTGAGGTGAGATTGCACCATTGCACTCTAGCCTGGGTGACAGAGTGAGACTCTGTCTCAAAAAAAAAAAGAAATCTGGGCATGGTGGTGGGTGTCTGCAATCCCAGCTACTCAGGAAGTGGAGGCAGGAGAATCACTTGAACCTGGGAGGCAGAGGTCACAGTGAGCCGAGATTGTGCCACTGCACTCCAGCCTGGGCGACAGAGTGAGATTCTGTCTCAAAATAATAATAATAATAATAATAATAATATATTTTTTAATTAGCTGGACATGGTGGAACATGCCTGTAGTACCAACAACTTGGGAGGCTGAGGTGGGAGGATCTCTTGAGCCCAGAAAGTGGAGGTTGCAGTGAACTGAGATTGTGTCACTGCACTCCAAACTGGGCAACAGAGCAAGACCCTGTGTGAAAATAAATAAATAAATAAACAAATAAATAAATAAAATATGTAAAAAGTTAACATCAGTTTGGACATGGTGATTCACGCCTGTAATCCCAGCACTTTGGGAGGCCAAGGTGGGTGGATCATTTGAGGTCAGGAGTTTGAGACCAGCCTGGCCAACATGGTGAAACCCTGCCTCTACTAAAAATACAAAAATTAGCCAGGTGTGGTGGCAGGCACCTGTAGTCCCAGCTTCTTGGGAGGCTGAGGCAGGAGGATCACTTGAACTGGGAGGTGGAGGTTGCAGTAAGCCAAGATGGCGTCACAGCACTCCAGCCTGGGCAACAGAGTGAGACTCCATCTCAAAAAAAAAAAAAAAAAAAAAAAAGGCCAGTCGCGGTGGCTCACACCTGTAATCCCAGCACTTTGGGAGGCTGAGGCGGGCGGATCACGAGGTCAGGAGATTGAGACCATCCTGGCCAACATGGTGAAACCCCTGTCTCTACTAAAAATACAAAAATTAGCTGGGTGTGGTGGCATGCACCTGTAGTCCCAGCTACTCAGGAGGCTGAGGCAGAAGAATTGCTTAAACCCAGGAGGCGGAGGTTGCAGTGAGCTAAGATTGCACCACTGCACTCCAGCCTGGCGATAAAGTGAGACTCTGTCTCAAAAAAAAAAAAAGTTAACATTAAATATCTTATTATCCTTGCATCAACTTTCATCGTAAGGTAGACCATTATATAAGAGATATATAACATATAAATTATATACACACATATATATCATTTCTACTTAGGTTCTTCAAATATCAGGTGCTCTACCATTTTGCTTTAAGTGAAAACTAAATAAAAAGGAGAAAATGGGGAGAAATTGCTTAATAGGTAGGAGATTTTACTTTGGAGTACTGGAACTGTCTGGAACTAGACAGAGGTGGTGGTTAGGCAACTTTGTGAATGTCACTGAATTGTTAACTTATTTTTTCGAGACCGAGTTTCGCTCTGTCACCCAAGCTGCGGTGCAGTGGCACAATCATGGCTCACTGCAGCCTCAACCTCCTGGGCTCCAGCAATCCTCCCACTTCAACCTCCCAAGTAGCTGGGACTACAGGCCAGTGCCACCACATCTGGCTAATTTTGGTTTTTCTGTTGTTGTTGTTGTTTGTTTGTTTGTTTCTAATAGAAACAAGGTTTTGCTATGTTGCCCAGGCTGGTCTCAAACTCCTAAGCTCAAGTGATCCTCCTGCCTTGGCCTCCCAAAGTTCTGGGATTACAGGCATGAGTCACTGTGCCTGGCAAGAATTGTTCACTTTTTTTTTTTTTTTTTTTTTGAGATGGAGTCTCACTCTGTTGTCCAGGCTGGAGTGCAGAGGCACAATCTTGGGTCACTGCAACCTCGGCCTCCAGAGTAAAAGCGATTCACCTGCCTCAGCCTCCTGAGTAGCTGGGACTACAGGTGCGCACCACCATGTCTCGCTAATTTTTGTATTTTTGGTAGAAATGGAGTTTCATTATGTTGGCCAGGCTGGTCTTGAACTCCTGACCTCAGATGATCTGCCCACCTTGGCCTCCCAAAGTGCTGGGATTACAAGAATGAGCTACTGTGCCCAGCCAGGAATTGTTCACTTTTAAATAGTTTTATGTTATGTGAATTTCACCTTGATAAATTTTCTTAAATTTAAAAAACCTAAATGATACATTTCTCCCCTCTATTATACTTAATGTATATTATTTCAAAATACTAGCATGTTATCTTTATTGATACATGTGCTCTTAATACAAAAATCATCATTACCTGCATTGTCAGACTTCAGCATTTTAATTTCTTCTGTTTTCACTTTCAAATTCTCTTTGAGGACTGCATTTTCACAGTTTAGCCTGGAAAAAAGTGGCTTTCAAATAACTAAAACATTAATATTTCCTTGCTGAGCGAGAATATTTTTATTGCCATAATTGGAACACAAAAATCTAAATATAGTTTTTCCTACTTCAAAATAGTCTGGAATTTACACGTATCACAAAAATAAAAACAATTTAAAGGAATGTGGTAAGAATTTTTTTTTTTTTTTTGAAATGGAGTCTCACTCTGTCGCCCAGGCTGAAGTGCAGTGGCACAATCTCAGCTCACTGCAACCTCCACCTCTTGGGTTCAAGTGATTCTCCTGCCTCAGCCTTCCAAGTAGCTGGGATTACAGGTGTCTGCCACCACACTTGGCTAATTTTTGTATTTTTAGTAGAAACGGGATTTCACCATGTTGGCCAGGCTGGTCTCGAACTCCTGACCTCAAGTGATCAGCCCGCCTCAGCCTCCCAAAGTGCTGGGATTACAGTTGTGAGCCATCATGCCCGGCCAAGATTTTAAACATACCCTTTTTTTTTTTTTTTTCTTTTTGAGACGGAGTCTTGCTCTGTTACCTAGGCTGGAGTGCAGTCATGTGATCTCGACTCAGTGCAACCTCTGCCTCCCAGGTTCAAGTGATTCTCCTGCCTCAGCCTCCTGAGTAGCTAGGATTACAGGCGCCCGCCACCACGCCCGGCCAATTTTTGTGTTTTAGTAGAGAAGTGGTTTCATCATGTTGGCTGGGCTGATCTCAAACTCCTGACTTCAAGTGATCTGCCCACCTCGGCCTCCCAAAGTGCTGGGATTACAGGCGTGAGCCACTGCGCCTGGACTAAACATACTCTTAACCCTTCTTAGCTGAGACATAATCAGAACCAGAAATATTTTTAAACCATCCATTTTGCATACTCATTCTCTTTACTTAATAACCATTTGAATTTCAACTATATGCTTAGGTCACCTTCAGAAACTTACATACATAGGTCCTCATGTAAACTATGGACTTCGGGTAATAATGATGTATCAACATTGGTTATAAAAAATGTACCACTCTGGTGGGGGATGTTGTCAGTGGGGGAGGCTGTGTATATGGGAAATCTCCGTACCTTCTGATCAATTTTGTTGTGAATCTACAACTGCTCTAAAAAAAAAAAAACCAACAAAGTATTTCATGGAAAAAAAAGATACATAGGGTACACCCATGTTCATAGCAGCATCATGCAAAATAGCCAAAAGGTAGAGTTAACTCAAGTGTCCATCAGGAATGAATGGATAAACAAAATGGCGTACATACATAACATGGAATATTATTTAGTCTTTCTGGTTTTTTTTTCTTTTTGGATACAAGGTCTCGCTCTGTCATCAAAGCTAGAGTACAGTGGCCCAGTCTCAGGTCCCTGTAGCCTCTACCTCCTGGGTTCAAGCGATTCTCCTGCCTCAGTCTCCTGAGTAGCTGGGATACAGGTGTGTGCCACCACGCCCAGTTAATTTTTGTATTTTTGGTAGAGACAGGGTTTCGCCACATTAGCCAGGTTGGTCTAGAACTCCTGGCCTCAAGTGATCCACCTGCCTCAGCCTCCCAAAATGCTGGGATTATGTAGAGAGCCGAAAGCCAGAGGATCGTGACCAACTTAGCATTCCACTGAGGCTATATGATCAAACAGCAAACTGTTTATCATGAATGCAGGATGTAGGCAAACTCACATCTGCACCTGCCGCCAGAAGGTTTGCTGAGGGCAGTCACTCTCTGGCGCCGTGCTCCTTGAGGTTATCTACTGGAACATCTGGAGACTACTGTTCAGAGAATGCAGTTGTGCAAGCCTGCACCGAGTCAAGCAGCTGACTGACAACCACCTCCTCCCTATCTCCTTTACTCAATAAATACGAAGGGTGCTAAAAGCTCAGGACCCTTGTTCACTGGAGCAAGGAGCCCCCTGACCCCTTCTTCCAAATATACTCTTTTGTCTTTATTTTTATTCCCACGTTCGTCTCCCTTTGTTCAGTCCAACAGGGATTGGGGCCACGATAGGATTGTGTGAGCCACCATACCCAACTGAAATGACTGACTTTATAGTAAGTGTATAATTTAAAGTTATTAAATAAACTCACACAAATAAAAGTTGTTCCAAAGATATTTTTTCTCTCTTTGGAGCTGATTGTCAGAACATAAACATTTACCATCTTAACCATCTTATTTTTCATCTTTTTTTTTTTTAACAAGATGAGGATCTTGCTATGTCATCTAGGCTGGTTTTGAACTCCTGAACAAAAGCAGTCCTCCCACCTCAGGCTCCCAAAGTGCTGAAATTACAGGTGTGAGCCATCATGCCCAGCCCCTCAAAAGATTTTGTTTGAAAAAAACAAATAGTTCCAATTCTAAAATAATTCTTACACTGTATTTTAAGATAGAGTTTATACTATTTTGGTTTTTGTTTTTTTGTTTTGTTTTATTTTTGAGACACGGACTCACTCTATCATCCAGGCTGAAGTGCAGTGGCGCAATCATGGCTCACTGCAGCCTCCAACTCCCAGGCCCAAGTGATCTTCACACCTCAGCTTCCCATGTAGCTGGGGCTACAGGTGCAAGCCACCACACCCAGTTACTTTTTGTATTTTTGTAGAGATAGGGTTTCAACATGTTGCCCAGGCTGGTCTCAAATTCCTGGACTCAAGTGATCCTCAGATCCAAGTGCCAAAGATTCCCAAAAGTGCTGGGATTAAAGGTGTGAGACACCACACCCAGCCTATGCTATTTTTTTTCTTTAAGGAAAATTAACACTAACAAAAATATGCGACTAGTAAGTGGATAAGCAATAAAAATTTTGTAATATTTTGCACTTGGCTCAAAGAAGAAAGCATAAATTACTTTTGAATTACATAGATTTTAAAGGTTGTCAAAGAAAAATAATGGAGTAATATACAAACCTGTCATATTTTTGGATCCAAGATTCCTCTATATTTTTAAATCTATTATGATCAAATTCTATTTCCCACTGCAAGGCATTTATTTCCTATGGAAAGAAAATACTACCTTCATGGCAAATTACTACAAATAAATCATTTCAGGACATTGTGAATAGCTGAAATAAATCATATAATCAGTTCTCAGAAATGGTTTAAAGAGAAAAAATTAATTATTGCTCTAAAAGTATCTCTGACATTTGCAAACACATATAACATGCCTCTTTAGCATTCAAAACAACTCTGCCAAAACTCACTTAATATAGAAAAAATTTCAAATTGTTTGCCTTCAAAATTTGCTGGGCTGCTACACCTAGATTTCTCAGTGCCCACCTCCGCTGCATGTAGAGACCTCAAGCAAAATCCACTCCTGGAAATCTTAACTCAATGGTCCCATCAAGGGAGAACACACCAAGCACAGGAGACATGACCATCTAGGATGATTCCTAACTACCTTTATAGTGAAGATGAGATGGTCAGAAAGACGTACGTCCTGCCAGGCAACGATAAGGATTTAAAAAAAAAAATTTTTTTTAAGAAGAAAAATGGGCTGGGCACGGTGTCTCACGCCTGTAATCCCAGCACTTTGGGAGGCCAAGGTGGGTGGATTACAAGGTCAGGAGATCGAGACCATTCTGGTTAACACGGTGAAATCCTGTCTCTACTAAAAATACAAAAAATTGGCTGGGCGTGGTGGCGGGCACCTGTAATCCCAGCTACTTGGGAGCCTGAGGCAGGAGAATGGCGTGAACCCGGGAGGCAGAGCTCGCAGTGAGTAGAGATCGCGCCACTGCACTCCAGCCTGGGCGACAGAGCAGGACTCCATCTCAAAAAAAAAAAAAAAAGAAGAAGAAATGAGAAGTACCAATTTGGCAGGCCTCCTACTACCTTAACATGGGGAAATAAAAATAACCTGAATTCATTGTGCACATGACAATCTGTTTTAGATTGTAAACTCCAAAAGGGAAGACCATCAGAACTGAAGCACACCTAGCAGAAGGTAGGCACAAGTGACAGATCCATTAGTATGGTGAGTTTAGGGAAATTATATTTAACAGCTTATTGGATTCAATAAGTCTACACTAAAAGCACCAAATACCTTCTCCAAGGATCTGTTTTGTTCCATAGTTTTTTGAAGCACTGCCTGCGTATGACTTGTGGCTTTGCCCAGTATTGCCTAAGAAAAATAAAACTAGCATCAGTATAAATTAAATTTGTAATCACTCCTATGTACATCATGAAGTTCTCTTTTATTTTAAGGCAATGGAAAATTAAGATGAATTGACATAAGAATTTCACAGTGACCACCTTTTATGGAGAGTCTGATAGTTCAAAAGTCAGGAGATCTTGGTTTGGCTCTTTTCCAATGAATGTGGGAATTAATGGATGAATTTTCCACACAAAGAAAGTGTTCAGAACAGTACTATTCATCAGTCAAAAAGTGGAAACCATCTGATACGGTTTGGCTCTGTGTCCCCACCCAAATCTCATTTTGAATTGTACTCTCATAATTACCACATGTTGTGAGAGGACCCGGTGGGAGATAATCTGAATCATGGGGGTGGTTTTCCCCATACTGTTCTCATGGTAGTGAATAAGTCTCATGAGATCTGTTGATTTTATCAGGGGTTCTGCTTTTGCATCTCTCTCATTTTCTCTTGCTGCTGCCATGTTATAAGTGCCTTTTGCCTCCCACCATGATTCTGAGACCTCCCCAGCCATGTGGAACTGTAAGTCCAATTAAACCTCTTTTTCTTCCCAGTCTTGGGTATGTCTTTATCAGGAGCATAAAAATGGACTAATACAGTAATTTGGTACCAGTAGAGTGGGGCATTGCTGAAAAGATACCCAAAAATGTGGAAGCTACTTTGAAACTGGGTAACAGGCAGAGATTGGGACAGTTTGGAGGGCTCAGAAGAAGACATGAAAATGTGGGAAAGATTGGAACTTTCTAGAGACTTGTTGAGTGTCTTTCACAAAAACACTGATAATGATATGGACAATGAAATCCAGGCTGAGGCGGTCTCAGATGGAGATGAGGAACTTGTTGGGAACTAGAGTAAAGGTGACTCTTGTTATGTTTTAGCAAAGAGATTTGTGGCATTTTGCCCCTGCCCTAGAGATCTGTGGAACTTTGAACTTGAGAGAGATGATTTAGAGTATCTGGTGGAAGAAATTTCTAAGCAGCAAAGCATTCAAGAGATGGCTTGGGTACTGTTAAAGGCATTCCATTTTAAAAGGGAAGCACAGCATAAAAGTTCAGAAAATTTGCAGCCTGACAATGCAATAGAAAAGAAAATCCCATTTTCTAAGGATAAATTCAAGCTAGCTGCAGATATTTGCATAAGTAATGAGGAGCCAAATGTTAATCCCCAAGATAATGGGGAAAATGTCTCCAGGGCATGTCAGAGACCTTTGCAGCAGCCTCTCTCATCACAGAGCCAGAAGTCTCGGAGGAAAAAATGGTTTTGTGGGCAGGGCCCAGGGTCCCCGTGCTGTGTGCAGTCTAAGGACTTGGTGCCCTGCGTCCCAGCCACTCCAGCGGTGGCTGAAAGGGGCCAAGGTACAGCTCCGTCTGTGAATATAGAGGGTGCAAGCCCCAAGCCTTGGCAGCTTCCACATGATGTTGAGCCTGCAGGTGCACAGAAGTAAAGAATCGGGGTTTGGGAACCTCCACTAGATTTCAGAAGATGTATGGCAATGCCTGGATGTCCAGGCAGAAGTTTCCTGCAGGGATGGGGCTCTCATGGAGAACCGGGGCTAGGGCACTACAGAAGGGAAATGTGGGGTTGGAGCCCCCACACAGAGTCCCTACTACAGCACTGCCTAGTGGAGCTATGAGAAGAGGGCCACCATCCTCCAGACCCCAGAATGGTAGATCCACCCATGGCTTACACTGTGCACCTGGGAAAGCCGCAGACACTCAATGCCAGCCTGTGAAAGCAGCCAGGAGGGAGGCTGTACTCTGCAAAGCCACAGGGGCGGAGCTGCCCAAGGCCATGGGAACCCACCTCTTGCATCAGTATGACCTGGATGTGAGACCTGGAGTCAAAGGAGATCATTTTGGAGCTTTAAAATTTGACTGCCCTGCTGGATTTTGGATTTGCATGAGCCCAGTAACCCCTTTGTTTTGGCCAATTTCTCCCATTTGGAATGGCTATATACCTACATCCCCATTGTATGTAGGAAGTAACTAGCTTGCTTTTGATTTTACCAGCTCATAGGCAGAAGGGACTTGCCTTGTCTCAGATGAGACTTTGGACTGTGGATTTTTGGGTTAATGCTGAAATGATTTCAGACTTTGGGGGACTGTTGGGAAGGCATGATTGGTTTTGAAATGTGAGGACATGAGATTTGGAGGGGCTGGAGTGGAATGATATGGTTTGGCTCTGTGTCCTCACCCAAATCTCATCTTGAATTGTATTCCCATAATTCCCACGTGTTGTGAGAGGGACCCAGTGGGAGATAGTTTGGATCATGGGGGTGGTTCCCCCATACTGTTCTGGTATGTGAATAAGTTTCATGAGATCTGATGGTTTTATCAGAGGTTTCCACTTTTGAATCTTCCTCATTTTCTCTTGCTGCTGCCACGTAGGAACTGCCTTTCACCTCCCACCATGATTCTGAGGCCTTCACAGCCATGTGGAACTGTAAGTCCAATTAAACCTCTTTTTTTCCCCCAGTCTTGGGTATGTCTTTATCAGCAGCATAAAAATGGACTAATACACCACCCAAATGTCCATCAACTGGTGAATGCATAAGCAAAACATGGTGCATCTACACAATGGAGTATTACTTGGCAATAAAAAGGAAGAAAGTACTGATACACGCTACGACATGTATGAACCTCTAAAACATGCTAACTAAAAGAATCTCAATGCAAAAGAATCCAGTCACATATCTTATGATTCTATTTATATTAAATAGAAAAGACAAATCTACAAACAGAAAATAGATTACTGGGGATAGGGGTGGGAATGAGGAATGACTGCTGATGGGCACCAAGTCCCTTTTCTGGTGTTGGAAATATTCTAAAATTAGATTATAATGATGGTGGTACAACTCTTATATCTAGTAAAAATGAATTGTAGTGTACATTTACATGTGAACTTCAGGATATATAAATTATAAAGCTCTTAAAAATATACATACCTAAAAAAACCCTCAACTATATTAAGTCCTTCTGCCTTGGTTTTAAAAGTTAAAACCATACCAACATTATTATTGGAATGTGTAAATGGTGAAAGTTTAAAAACAACTTCTTACCATGCTTTGAAGAATTTTCAATGCTTCCTCTTTACCTCTGAGTTGTCTTTGAGATGCCTCAAGTTCAGTTTTTAACATTTCTACCTCCTGAGGACAGAAAGAAAATTAGTCTTCCTATCTGCAAGATATGCAACCCTAAAATTATCAGTTTGGCTAGTCTACATTTACCCTTGGCTCAAACCACTTACAAATGTGGCTGAAAATTCTTCTAGACTTAGTGAGTGAACCAGACATACTAAAATTGAAAGCCTCGGCCGGGCAAGGTGGTGTGACCTGTAATCCCTGCATTTTGGGAGGCCAAGGTGGGTGGATCACCTGAGGTCAGGAGTTCACGACCAGGCTGGCTAACATGGTGAAACCCCGTCTCTACTAAACATACAAAAAAATTGCTGGGCGTGGTGGTGCATGCCTGTAATCCTAGCTACTCTGGAGGCTGAGACAGGAGAATCGCTTGAACCCGGGAGGCGGAGGTTGCAGTGAGCCGAGGCTGAGCCACTGCACTCCAGTCTGGGTGACAGCAAGACTCTGTCTCAATTAAAAAAATAAAAAATAGCTGGGCATGGTGGCTCACACCTGTAATCCCAGCTACTCCGGAGGCTGAGGCATGAGAATTGCTTGAACCAGGAAGGTCTCTGAGACAGAGTCTCACTCTGTCACCCAGGCTGGAGTGCAGTGGCGTGGTCTCAGCTCACTGCAACCTCTGCCTCACAGGCTCAAGCAATTCTCCTGCCTCAGCCTCCCGAGTAGCTGGGATTGCAGGCACGTGCCACTACTGCCCAGCTAATTTTTGTATTTTTAGTAGAGACGGAGTTTCACTATATTGGCCAGGCTGGTCTCGAACTCCTGACCTCAAATGATCCACCTGCCTTGGCCTCCCAAAGTGCTGGGATTACAGGCATGAGCCACTGCCCCCAGCCTCAGTTGGCTTTCATGTTGTTTACATACTGAGGTTGTAGTTCCTTATGTAGGGACTCAAGGTGAGGAGGCAGCTGCAGGCCCCAATCCAATGACTAGTGTCCTTATAAATTGAGGGAAATTTGGACCCAGACTCATAGGGAGAAGGCCATGTGACAGGCAGAGGCTGGATTTCTGCAGCTACCAGCCAAGGAACACCAAGGATTGCAGCAAGCATCAGAAGCTAGGAAGAGGCAAAGGACTCTCCTCTAAAGCCTTCAGAGGGAGCACGGCCTGCTGAAACTCTGGTTTCAAACTTCAGCCTCCAGAACTAAAAGCAAACAGATTTCTGCTGTTTTAAGCCACCAGTTTGTGGTACATTGTCTCGGCAGCCAAATACAGTAGCTTTCACGGGAAGAGTCCCAAACACACAGTAAGGTGGGCTTCCTATTTCCCAAAGGACAGACACCCCTCGCAGAAACTGCTATTTCCACCAAGGCAGTGGGCTACTCAGGCCACCTGAGACTCTGGGCTTCTGACTTTAATGAGGTTAAATTAAGTCAGATTGTTTGAAGCCACACATACGGGGAAGGCCGGTGGAAGGAAGTGATAACTTACTTTCTCAAGGAGGAGATAAGAGAAGTGGGGTGGAAAGGAGAACCGGTGGGCATGTTTACATAAGTAGCTTCTTTTAAGAGATGAGGTGGATAAGAAACAGAGGAGGCCAGTTGAAAAAGATGAGCTCTCAAGTTCAGCAAGAATGTCTGGAAAGCCAAAATTTGCCTTCCACACAGATTTGGTACCATTTAAACAAAATATCTATCAATGGACTTTATTCACTTGAGAATTTTTTTTTTGTAATCGAAAGTCTCTTACTGGTCCTGCTTCCATGAGTAGCAGTGACCAGGGGAAAAGGGAGAGGAACCAGCCAGCACAGGGAGGGGTCATCTCCACAACATTCCATTTATATACAGAACTAAACAGACAAGCACAGAGTCACTATTGCAGTTACAAGTCAGCAGCAAGGGAAGAGGGGGAGGAACAGGTGGGGAGTGGGGGTGTTGTTAAAGAAAATACAGGCCCCCCCATAACTGGGGTGCCTGGGGGGAACTTGGTCTTCTTCAACCCAAGAGGAATCAGAAGATCAAAAGCAGTTTCGGAAGGCCAGAACCATCAGGGATGGAGGGAGGAGGAAAATCCAGGGGGTGGGAGGTCTGTTTGGCAACTGGGGTGAAGGGATTGCCCTTCCCCTGCTGGGATTCCCCCAGCCCCTCCTATCTGGCAGGAAGGGGGCAGCCTGCAACCCCCGAGGACAGGTGTGGGGCTGCCAGATGCTCTAGGCAGGGGGCCAGAAGGGGCTCACAAAGGCTTGCCCTCCAGGGAGATGATGGCACTGCCCCCCAGCTTCTCTGCCAGGGTGCAGTGGTCCTTGACCTCCTCATAGTAGTTTGCTTGTAATTCTTGCTTGATTCCTGTCAGCTTCTTGTTGATGGCGTCCTTGGAGCTGGCATTGATCATTTTGCTCTTAAGGGGCACAGACTCAGTGGCCCAGAAGATAAACACCAGGTCCTCCTTCTTGCTCTCTTGGTCTCATAGGTTGCGTCATAGAGGGCGTAGAGGCAATCCTTATCCGGTAGCATCTTGACAAAGGTGGCATAGGGGTTGTCGATGGTCTGGTCCACATTGCCCACCAGTATCTCCTTGCCCTCCCCTTCAGGATGATGTTCTTCTTGTCTTCACTCAGGCGGAAGAGCACCGCCTTCTTGCGCTTCTTCAACTTCTCTGGTGTTGAAGACTTACACAACTTCATGTCGTTGAACACCTTGATGACACCATCAGAGACAGCCACAACAGAGGCCATGTTTCCAGAAGCAAAAAGGAGAGGGCATGGAGAGCTGCAGAAGACGAGAGCACTGCAGCCGCTGCTGGGACCCAGCTAAACTGATAATTTTTATATTAGCCAGAGTACCTACCTCTAAAGTTTCATTAAGACATTGCCTTAATTCTTCATTTGACAATTCTGAATTCGAATCTACTTGGGAGGGATGAGAAAAGAATCTATTAGGGGAAAAATTTTGAATATTTTAACTAATTAAACATAGGACATTTGTTTACAAATTACCAAATACAGGTATCCCCTAAATTGCAAAGAGAAGAGAATTATAATAGACCACCAGGTGCGGTGGCTCACATCTGTAATCCCAGCACTCTGGGAGGCCGAGGCGGGCAGATCACTTGAGGTCAGGAGTTCAAGGCCAGCCTGGCCAACATGGTAAAACCCTGTCTCTACTAAAAATACAAAAATTAGCTGGGCGTGGTGGTGCCTGCCTGTAGTCCCAGTTACTTGAGAGGCTGAGGCAGGAGAATCACTTGAACCCGGGACATGGAGGTTGCAGTGAGCGGAGATCGTGCCACTGTATTCCAGCCTGGGTGATAGAGTAACTCTGTTTCAAAAAAAAAAAAATTATAACAGACCAAATTATGGTAAAAATAGGAGTGTAAAACATTTCACAAATGAAAAGACATATACTGTACTTTTGAATAAAAAAATTTTTTGAATAGACTCTAAGGCTCGCTTGAGGCCAGGAGTTAGAAACAACCCTAGGCAACACAGACCTCCGTCTCTACAAAATATAAAATAAAAAATTAGCTAGATGTGGTGATGTGCCGGAGTCCCAGTTACGTGGGAGACTGAGTTGGGAGGATCACTTAAGTCCAGGAGTTCGAGGCTGCAGCGAGCTATGACTGTACCACTATACTCCAGCTTGAGCAACAGAGCAAGACCATCTAAAAAAAACAAAAAAGGACTCTAAAATAAAACTGATGTTAATGAGTTGGTTAATTACTGCATTCAAACAAAAATAAAGAAAAATGAATATTGGTGAGTAAAATAAATAGATTTTGGTGTTTTGGCTTAAGCTTGAATGATGTAGTGGTATAAATATGTAAGAAATAACTTTGGCCAGGCACAGTGGCTCACACCTGTAATCCCAGCACTTTCGGAGGCCAAGGCGGGTGGATCACTTGAGGTAAGGAGTTCAAGGCCAGCTTGGCCAACATGGTGAAACCCCATCTCTACTAAAAACACAAAAATTAGCTGGGCATGGTGGTGCCTGCCTGTAGTCTCAGCTACTCAAGAGGCTGAGGCAGGAGAATTGCTTGAACCCAGGAGGCGGAGGTTGCAGTGAGCTGAGATTGCACCATTAGACTCCAGCCTGGGAGACAGAGCAAGGCTCTGTCTCGAAAAAATAAAAAAAAATAACCTGAAGGCTGGGCACGGTGGCTTACACCTGTAATCCCAGCACTTTGGGAGGCTGAGGCAGGCAGATCACCTGAGGTCAGGAGTTTAAGACCAGCCTGTCTACATGGTGAAACCCTGTCTCTACTAAAAATCCAGCCTAGGTAACAGAGCGAGATTCTGTCTCAAAAAAAAAAAAAAAAAAAAAGGCCAGGTGTGGTGGGAGGCTGAGGAGGGTGGATCATCTGAGATCAGGAGTTCTAGACCAGCCTGGCCTACATGGTGAAACTCCATCTCTACTAACAAATACAAAAATTAGCCGGGCATGGTGGCGGGCACCTGTAATCCCTGCTACTCAGGAGGCTGAGGCATGAGAATCGCTTGAACCCGGGAGTCAAAGGTTGCAGTGCACACTGTGATCGCACCATTGCACTCCAGCCTGGGCAACAAGAGCAAAACTCCATCTCAAAAAAAAAAAAAAAGAAAAGAAACCAAAAAAAAACCTAAATTTAATTTCTTTCCAAAAAGAATGACTAGAAGAGTCCTGTAACTTCAATTATTTGCTCCTTAATGTGATCAATTGAGAATTTAAATTGAGCTTCCTAAGAGCTTCATTTTCCTTTCTGCCTCAACGGCAGTAAAAAAAAAAAAAAAAAAAATTAAAGTGGCAAGTTATAAGCAAGAGTATAGGAAGTAAAAAAAAAATTTTATTGAGAAGAATGTTTGCTTTGAAAAAATATTTCTCAAAACAACTTTCTTTGCTATTCTGAAATTTCATTAACATGACAGTATCTAAGGCAAAACCTAAATCATGTTTGTACTGTGATTGATGATACAGGCTTCCAAGGAGGGCAGAGTGACTCTGGGTTGGCAGTGACAAGTTCTGTTCTATTAATACTTGTGGTAGGCAGAATATGATGTCCACATGCCAATTCCCAGAAGCTGTGAACACATGGCAAAAGGAACTTTGCAGATGTGATGAGATTAAGGATTTTGAGATGGGAGAGTACTCTGGATTATCCAAGTGAGTCCAGTGTACTCATAAGAGTCCTTATACATGAAAGAGGGAGACGAGAAGGTAAATGTTAGAGTGATATGA
The DNA here is from genome assembly GCF_000001405.40 of Homo sapiens. Classification (NCBI taxonomy): domain Eukaryota; kingdom Metazoa; phylum Chordata; class Mammalia; order Primates; family Hominidae; genus Homo; species Homo sapiens. Next base: position 99,513 of record NW_003315917.2, read on the forward strand.
TGTGAGAAAGACTCAGCCATCGTTGGCTTTGAAGATGGGGAGGGGGCCATGAGCCAAGGAATGCAGTAGCCTCTGGAGCTAGAAAAGGCAAAGGAGTAGAGTCTTCCCACTGAACCTCCAGAAGGAACGCACCCTGCCAACACCCTGGCTTTAGCCCACTGAAATTTATTTGGGACTTTTTTTCCCACAGAGAGAGGGTCTTGCTTTATTGCTCAGGCTGCAGTGCTCCTGCATCAGCTTCTCAAGTAGCTGGGACTACAGGTGCACACTACTACACCTGCTAATTTTTAAACTTTTTTTTGTGGAGTGTGGTCTTTCTATGTTGACCAGGCTGGTGTCGAACTCCTGGCCTCAAGTGATTCTCCCACCTCGGCCTCCCAAAATGCTGGGATTATAGGCATCAGCTACCAGACGTAGCCTGTTTGGGACTTCTGACCTACAGAACTGTAAAATAATAAATTTGTGTTGTTTTAAGCCATTAAATGTGTGGTATTTTGGAAATTATCTATTAGTGATAGGGCCAACTTTAATAAAAAGAAAAGTTCATAACCCAACAAAATGGGAACTCATACTATTACTATTTAAATCTTATTTATACCCCAGTGTTTCTTCATGCTGTTTGTTTGTTTGTTTGAGATGGAGTCTTGCTCTGTTGCCCAGGCTAGAGTGCAGTGGTGTGATCTTGGCTCACTGCAACCTCCGCCTCCCAGGTTCAAGTGATTCTCCTGCCTCAGCCTCCCAAGTAGCTGGGATTACAGGCACCTGCCACCATGCCCAGCTAATTTTTTTGTATTTTTAGTAGAGACGGGGTTTCACCATCTTGGCCAGGCTGGTCTCAAACTCCTGACCTCATGATCCACCCACCCCAGTCTCCCAAAGTGCTGGGATTACAGGCATGAGCCACCGCACCTGGCATCTTCATGTTTTTATAAAGGCATCTTAGCATCATGCTCAGTTTCCAACATTTTGCTTTCAAAACAGTATCCATTCTCTATACACAATAAGGAATTGGAAGAAAAATATAAAAATAATCCCATTCTGATTTCAAGAGGGATGTTGAAGGATGGGGATGAACCCTGAGCTACCACGAGCTACCACGTATTTTTGTAAATCTGAAACCATGTTTCTTAAATCACTCTCATGTTGTTCTAATTTGTGTTTGTTCAACTTTGAGGGGAAGTTTCAGAAGAGGAAGTTTTACAACATAGATTACAAAATATTTAGCCAGATAACAGCTGGTGCCATGGTACAGGCATGGGCTTATCCACAGACTCCCGATCATTTTGGAGTTGTAACATTTTATCAAAATACGATGCTAAATTTTATTATTTCCATAAGGTAAGGTATAATTTCTTTTTGGTTATGATAAATTAAGACTAACTGTTTTGACAATTTTTGAGAGTTTCATGACCTCCTAAAATAACCAGAAGCATCTCTGTTCTTCCTGGAACACTCCTTTCCCAAAGATCCACTGCCTTACTCTCCCCTTCATTCTGGTGCTCAGGCCAAGGTGGGAGGACTGCTTGAGGTCAGGAGTTTGAGACCAGCCTGGGTAACATAGTGAGACCTTGTCTCTAGAATTTTTTTTTTTTTTTTTTTTTTTTTTTTGAGACTGAGTCTTGCTCTGTCGCCAGGCTGGAGCGCAGTGGTGCGATCTCGGCTCACTGCAACTTCCGCCTCCCAGGTTCACGTGATTCTCCTGCCTCAGCCTCCTGAGTAGCTGGGATTACAGGTGCACGCCACCATGCCTGGCTAATTTTTGTATTTTTAGTACAGATGGGGTTTCACCATGTTGGTCAGGCTGGTCTGAAACTCCTGACCTCATGATCCACCCGCCTCAGCCTCCCAAAGTGCTGGGATTACAGGCGTGAGCCACAGCACCTGGCCGAAAAAATTTCTTTTAAATTAGCCGGATATGGTGGAACATGCCTGTAGTCTCAGCTACTCAGGAGACTGAGGCAAGAGGATTGCTTAAGCCCAGGACTTTGAGGTTGCAGTGAGCTGTGATCATGCTACTGCACTCCACCTTAGTGACACAGTGAGACTGTCTCTTTTTAAAAAAGAAAAAGGCCAGGCACGGTGGCTCATGCCTGTAATCCCAGCATTTTGGGAGGCTGAGGTGGGCGGATCACTTGAGGTCAGGAGTTTGAAACCAACCTGGCCAACGTGGTGAAACCCCATCTCTACTAAAAATACAAAAAAAAAAAAAAATTAGCCAGGCATGGGGGCGGGCACCTGTAATCCCAGCTACTCAGGAGGCTGAGGCAGTAGAATACCTTGAACCCAGGAGGCGGAGGTTGCAGTGAGCCGAGATTGTGACACTGCACTCTAGCCTGGGCGACAAGAGTGAGACTCCACCTCATAATAAATAAATAAAAATAAAAAATAAAAAGAAAAGTAAAAAGAAAAAAAATGTCACCTCCTTACAGAAGCCTTCCTAACCCTGGCCTGAAATACTAGCACCCCATTCCCCATAATCACTCACTATCCCTTCACTTACCACTGCCCAATGTTACACATCTGTTGATTTGCAGGGTTTTGGTTTTTTTTCTTTTTTTTTTTTTGAGACAAAGTCTTGCTCTGTTGCCCAGGCTGGAGTGCAGTGGTACAATTTTGGCTCCACCTCCCGGGTTCAAGCAATTCTTGTGCCTCGGCCTCCCGAGTAGCTGGGACTACAAGCACGTGCCACCACACCCAGCTAATTTTTATACTTTTAGTAGAGATGGGGTTTTGCCATGTTGGCCAGGCTGGTCTCAAGCTCCTGACCTCAAGTGATCCATCCGCCTCGGCCTCCCAAAGTGCTGGGATTACAGGCATGAGCCACTGTACCCGGCCTGCAGGTTTATTTTCTATCTCCTCTATTAGAATGTGAAATCCATGACATTAGGGCCTTTGTCTATTTTGTTTACTGACATTATTCTCAGAAATTGGACCTGTGCCTGACACCTAATGATGCCCAGTAAATATTTGACTGCAAAAAAAAGTACTTCACAAAAAAGGCAAGGTTGGTAATCATTTATAGATATCATTAATATATTAGATGCATAACTACTGTACTGTACAATATTTAGAAATATAAACATCGACTACTTTTTTTTTTTTTTTTTGAGATGGAGTCTTGCTCTGTCGCCCAGGCTGGAGTGCAGTGGTGCCATTTTGGCTCACTGCAAGCTCCGCCTCCCGGGTTCATGCCATTCTCCTGCCTCAGCCTCCCGAGTAGCTGGGACTACAGGAACCTGCTACCACGCCCGGCTAATTTTTTGTATATTTAGTAGAGACAGGGTTTCACCATGTTGGCCAGGATGGTCTCGATCTCTTGACCTTGTGATCCACCTGCCTCAGCCTCCCAAAGTGCTGGGATTACAGGCGTGAGCCACCACGCCCGGCTATCAACTACTTTTATACTACCACCAATCCCAAGAGATGAATAAAGATAAATTTCTAAAAGCTGGGTGCAGTGGCTCATGCCGGTAATCCCAGCACTTTGGGAGGCCGAGGCAGGCAAATCATTTGAGGTCAGGAGTTTGAGACCAGTCTGGCCAAGATGGTGAAACCTCGCCTCTACTAAAAACACAAAAATTAGCCAGGTGTAGTGGTGCATGCCTGTAATCCCAGCTACTCCAGTGGCTGAGGCAGGAGAATCGCTTGAACCCGGGGGGTGGAGGTTGCAGTGAGCCGAGATCGCGTGCCACTGCACTCCAGCCTGGGTGACAGAGCAAGACTCCGTCCAGAAAAAAAAGAAAATCTAAAATCCAATATGGTTATTTATTTTAGATTTTGGAAGGGTTATAGCTTTGATACTATGCACAGGAGAAAGAAAGGAGAGGAAATTCAGCATTCTTACCAGTGCTACTTTGTCGTCTGTAATTGGAAATTCTGGACACTTGAGGGAATGTATCTTGCTGGCTCTTATGCTTGGAATACTGAAAACTCGCTTCATTTCTTTCTTCTCCCTTTCTCGGAAATGGAGGAGGGCTAAAGTTCTTTCCATCTGATCTTTTTCTAGACCTATGTGAAAATTCTATTTCATAAATCCCACCAGGTTTCCTTCCGAGGCCATACCCTAAATCACCTTCTGTCATGTCATCCTCTTCTGTTTCCCAGAGCTGCACGTCTGACTCACTTGATGATCTTGCCACCTTGCTCATGAGCCAAATGCCGTCTTTATCATAAGAAAAAATGGGCTGTCTGTAGTTAAGAAAAACAGTAGTTAGGAAAACATCAGTAGATCCAGCAACCCCACCTCTCGATATTTACCCAAAACATTTGAAATCAGTATGTCAAAGAGATGTCTACATTCCCATGTTTGCTGTAGCACTGTTCACAATAGCCAAGATATGGAATCAACCTAAGTGTCCATCAAAGATGAACAGGTGAAGAAAATATGGTGTGGGGTGTGTGTGTGTGTGTGTGTGTGCGTGTGCGTGTGTACACAATGAAATACTAGTCAGCCTTGAAAAAGAAGGAAATCCTGTCACTTGGGACATCATGGATGGAACTAGAAAACATTATGCTAAGTGTAATACGCCAGACACAGAAAGACAAATACCACGTTCTTCCTTATGTATAAAATAAAAAACAATCAAACTCAAAGGAGCAGAAAGAAAAATGGTGGTTACCAGAGGCTGGGGGATGGGAGGAATGGGGAAATGATGGTCAAAGGGCACAAAGTCCTAGTTAGACAGGAAGAATAAGGTTTTTTCCTTTGCAATACATTGCACAGCATGGTGAATATAACAAAAATGTATTGAACATTTCAAAATTGCTCATAGAATAAAATTCAAATATTCTCACCACAAAAATGATAAGTATTTGAGATGATGGATATGTTAATCAACTTGATTTAATTATTCCACATTGTATTCATAAATCATAACATCACTTTGTACCTCATAAATATAGGCAGCCATAATCTGTCAATTTTCAATTAAAAAAACAAAAAACCTAACAAACAAAATGAAGAAAACCCATCAGTAAAGTCATGTGTCACCTAATGATGGGAATATATTCTGAGAAATGTGTTGTTAGGCAATTTTGTCGTTGTGTGAACACCATAGAGCATACATACACAAACCTAGATGGTATAGCCTACTATACCCCTGGGCTACATGGTAGAGCCTATAGTTCCTAGTCTACAAACCTGTACAACATGGTATAGCACTGAATACTGTAGGAAATCGTTACACATGGGTCAATATTTGTGTATGTAAACATACCTAAACATAGAAAAGGAACAGTAAAAATACAATAGTATCTTATGGGACCACCACTGTCTATGTGGTCTGTCATTGACTGAAACATAATTTGGTGCATAACTGTATAATAAAGCTGAATTTTTCAGGGAAAAAAGTTTCTTTCTGTATTATACAGGCATGAATATCCTAGCAATGCACTCGCACATAAATGCCCTTGCAATCCAATTATAAGTATTTAACATTTCAGAACTCTTTTTTTTTTCTTTTAGACGGAGCTTCGCTCTTGTTGCCCAGGCTAGAGTGTGGTGGCGCAATCTTGACTCACCACAAACTCCGCCTCCCGGGTTCAAGCGATTATCCTGCCTCAGCCTCCCAAGTAGCTGGGATTACAACCATGCGCCACCATGCCCGGCTAATTTTCTATTTTTTTTTTAGTAGAGACGGGGTTTCTCCATGTTGGTCAAGCTGGTCTCGAACTCCTGACCTCAGGTGATCTGCCTGCCTCGGCCTCCCAAAGTGCTAGGATTACAGGCATGAGCCACCGCGCCCAGCTGGGTTTTTTTTTTCATTTGTTTGTTTGAGAGATGAGGTCTAACCATGTTGCCCAGGCTGGTCTCCAACTCGTGGGCTCAAGTGATTCTCCCAGTTCAGCCTCTGGAGTAGCTCGGATGACAGGAGTGAGGCACCACGTGGGGGTGGGGAGCAGATATACTCTACATTCAATAAATACTTGTTTAGTAACTGAATAAAGGAAGAGAGGAATAAAGAAACAAACTGAAATACAATCATCCCAAGGAATTCAAGGGGAACTGGTTCCAGGACCCCTGTGTATTTCCTTGGATCCTCAAATTCTTAGCCAGGCATGGTGGCTCACACTTGTAATACCAAGGCTTTGGGAGGCTGAGGCTAGAGGATTGCTTGAGCCCAGGAGTTTGAGACCAGCCTGGGCAACACAGTGAGAACCTGTCTCTACAAAAAAAAAATTTTTTTTTTTTGAGACAGTCTTGCTCTGTCGCCCAGGCTGGAGTGCCGTGGCGCAATCTCAGCTCACAGCAACCTCCGCCTCCTGGATTCAAGCAATTCTCCTGCTTCAGCCTCCTGAGTAGCTGGGATTACAGGCACGCGCCACCACACCCGGCTAATTTTTGTATTTTTAGCAGAGACGGGGTTTCACCATGTTGGTCAGGCTGGTCTCAAACTCCTGACCTCATGATACACCCGCCTTGGCCTCCCAAAGTGCTGGGATTACAGGTGTGAGCCACCGCACTGGCCCAAAAATTTTTTTTTAAATTAGCTGGTGGCACACGCCTACTCAGGAGGCTGAGGTGGGAGAATTGCTTGGCTCTGGGAGGTGGAGGCTGCAGTGAGCCATAACTGTGCCTCTACACTCCAGCTTAAGCTACAGAGCAACATTCTATCTCAAAAAATTTTTTGTTCGGCCTGGCGCGGTGGCTCATGCCTGTAATCCCAGCACTTTCAGAGGCCAAGGTGGGCGGATCACTTGAGGTCAGAAGTTCAAGACCAGTCTGGCCAATATGGTGAAACCCCATCTCTACTAAAAATACAAAAAAATTAGCCGGGCATTGTGGCGTGTGCCTGTAATCTCAGCTACTCAGGAGGCTGAGGCAGAAGAATTGCTTGAACCTGGGAGACAGAGGTTGCAGTAAGCCGAGATTGCGCCACTGCACTCTAGCCTGGGCGACAGAGAAAGACTCCATCTCAAAAAAAAAAAAATTTGTTAATTTGTTAATCAAAAAGGTATCATATTTGCATATTATCTAGGCACATCCTCCTGTGTACTTTATATATATTTTCAATTGTCTCTAAATTACGTATAATATCTAATACACTGCCTATACATCACTTCATTCCCGTGGATTTAACCTCGTACTCTGAGTCCTGCAAATTCGTCTTTGTTTTTGGAACACTGTGGATTTTTTTTTCCAAATATTTTCAACCCTGGTTGGTTGAATCAACCAATGTGGAACTCACGGAGCTCCTATCCCACCTCAGGCCACGCACAGCAGGTTTGGTTAGACTGTACTTGCTTTTAGGGCAGAAAAACAAAACCGGCACCCTAGCAGGACTCCACAGCAGATACAGAGGAGTTATGCCTGCCTTTCTTCCCAGCAGAAAACTTCTCCTGGCAAAAATGCCTACAGATCAACTAGTATCACTGAGCCCTCCCCATGTGGAGACCACCCTAGTCACCTACCTGGTGACAGTGAAGCAGCCGGGAGAAGCAGAAATGCTCAACCTTGTGCCTCCAGGACAGAGTGCAGTTAAGAGGGACTTTCACCACCAGGCATTTCAAAACAGCTGCTTTGCTATAGCTATTTAGAAATATTTCATCCTTCTCTCAAGGCTCATTAAAAAAAAAAGTGGGGTGTGGGGGTATAAACATGTCTAACATTTTTCTCTAAATATCCTGCTGTTTAAGTAGTTGCTTCCAAAACTTCGAAAGACATTTAATCTCAGTCTTGCATTTGTTGTGGAGATCTCTCTATTCTTCCACTATTAAACCTTATGTAGACACCAAATAAATCTGACCATGTATTAAGGAATTTCTGTCATTTTTAGGATCAAAATGCCATATATTTTCAATGTTAAAAACAAATACCCTTAAAAGATTTGAACAGATATGTCATCAAAGAAGATACATGGATGGAAAGATGCTCAGCATCATTAGTTATCAGGCAATTATAACTTAAACCCCAGTGAGATTCCACCTCACCGCACTGACAATTCCAAGTGCTGCTGAGGATGTGGAGTAACTGAAACTCTCATACATTGGTGATGTGAGTAAAACATGGTACAACCACTGTGGAAAACAATTTGATAGCTTCTTACAAACATGTGACCTGGCAACTGCATTCTTCAGGATTTACTCAAGAGAAACAGAACCCCATGTCCGTACAAAGATGTGTGCATGAATATTCATACATCACTCAATTTGTCAAAAATTGGAAACAACCCAAGTGTCCATCTGCAGTAAAACAAAGAAACTGTGGTCTGTCCATACAACAGAATATATTTGTCAGTAAAGAACAACGCATTTCTGACATATGCATTACACATGCAATGCATTTCCGATATATGCAATGAATTTCCCAGACATTACGCTAACAAAAAAGCACATACTAGGCCGGATGTGGTGGCTCCCACCTGTAATCCCAGCATTTTGGGAGGCTGAGGTGTGAGAATCACTTGAGGCCAGGAGTTCGAAACCAGCCTGGGCAACATAGCGAGATCCCCATCACTAATTAAAACAATAAATAAATAAACAACAGCACATACTGTATGAAATACTGGGAAAACTAACACACAATGATGGTAAACAAATTAATGGTTGCTTGGCATTGGAGAAATGACCACAAAGGGCATGAGGGAAGTTTTCTGGGGTAATGGAAAACTTCTATATCTTCACCACAGTGGCCACTTATCAAAACTCATTAGGCTGGGTGTGGTGGTTCATGCCTGCATCTCAGCAGTTTGGGAAGCCAAGGTGGGCGGATCACGTGAGGTCAGGAATTCAAGACCTGCCTGGCCAACATGGTGAAACCCCATCTCTACTAAAAAATACAAAAAATTAGCCAGGTGTGGTGGTGCATGCCTGTAGTCCCAGCTACTTGGGAGGCTGAGGCAGGAGAATGGCTTGAACCCGGGAGGCAGGGGTTGCAGTGAGCCGAGCTTGCACCACTGCACTACAGCCTGGGCAACAGAGTGAGATTCTGTCTCAAAAAAAAAAAAAAAAAAGATGTAATAATACCTAGCACTTGTTGCCTGCTTTCCATGTGCTAGACAGTTTTAAGTGCCTTAGATTATATTTATTCTTTACAAACACTCTGCAAGAAAATACCATTATTAAGTACGAAAATTAAACTGAAGCAGACAGAGACTGAGTAACACAGTCAACCAGAAGTGGAGATGGATTTTTTTTAAGAGACAGGGTCTCGGGCTGGGCACAGTGGCTCACGTCTGTAATCCCAGCTCTTTGGAAGGTCGAGGTGGGCGGATCACGAGGTCAAGAGTTTAGGACCAGCCTGGCCAACATGGTGAAACCTCATCTCTACTAAAAATACAAAAATTAGCCAGGTGTGGTGGCAGGTGCCTGTAATCCTAGCTATTCGGGAGGCTGAGGCAGGAGAATCACTTGAAACCAGAAGGTGGATGTTGCGGTGAGCCAAGATCGTGTCACTGCACTCCAACCTGGGTGAAAAAGCAAAACCCTCTGTCTCAAAAAAAAAAAAAAAAAAAAAAAAGAGAGACAGCATCTCACTCTGTTGCTCATTGCTTAGGCTGAAGTGCAGTGATGGCATCCACAGCTCACTGCAGCCTCGACCTCTTAGGCTCAAGTGATTCTCCCACCTCAGTCTCCAAAGTAGCTGGGACTACAGATGTGTACCACCTTGCCAGGCTAATTTTTAATTCATTTTGTAGAAACAGGGTCTCGGGCCAGCCAGTCTTGAACTTCTGACCTCACGGGATCCTTCCACCTCAGCCTCCCAAAGTCCTGGGATTACAGGCATGAGCTACCACCCCTGGCCCAGAGACAGATTTTTAATCCAGATATCTGATGTCAGAGCCAACACTCTTAGCCACTGTTTTGTATTATTTGGAGAATTTCAATGAAATTAACATCAGAGTATACCAAGTTTCTATTATTTATGACTTCAAATAGAACTTAAAGTAAAAGTCTAAAATATCTAGTTTGAGCAACATCTAACAGATTCTGGATCCACTTTTTCCCAGATTTTTATAAAATCATCTTGGTTCTTTTACAAGATTATTTCCTTAAAAAGGAGATTTACCTATTTTGTCAAGGTAGATAAGAAGATATTTATTGAATCAAAGAATAATCCCTTGAGAGGCTGTGTTTTACCTCTAGTGCAGTAGACTCCTGCTTGTTAAGGGCAACCTCTGGCCTGTGTTAAGAAGGGTGTGGTCAGGATTAGGCAGGCAGCAGAGAAGAAAATGGAATTGGTCAATATAAGGGGGAAAAGCTGTAAAAGGAAAGAGTAAGCAATTGTAGAGTTAGCTAAGAATATTTTTCAATGCACCACATAAATTCAGGCATCATGGGTACGCCTTCCTGCTATTCAGAGTTGAATATAATGAGGTTTTGTTGTTGTTTTGTTTGTTTTTTATCCCTGCCTACTGTTTCTTAAACTTAACTTCAGGCTGGGAATGGTGGCTCATGTCTGTAATCCCTGAACTTTGTGAGGCCAAAGAAGGAGGACTGCTTGAGCCTAGTAGTTCAGACCAGCCTGGGCAACACAGTGAGACCTCATGTCTACAAAAAAAGGAAAAAAAGAAAACTGCTGGGCATGGTGGTGCACACCTGTAGTCCCAAGCTACACGGGAGCCTGAGGTGGGAAGTCAAGGCTGCAGTGAGCTGTGATCACGCCACTGCACTCTAGTCTGGTCAACAGAGCAAGACCCTGTCTCTAAAAATAAATAAAATAAAATGTAACTTCAGGGACTGCTGACTGTATATTCTCCCACTTTTTTTTTTTTTTGAGACAGCGTCTTGCTCTGTCGCCCAGGCTGGAGTGCCCTGGCGAGATCTCGGCTCACTGCAAGCTCCGCCTCCCGGGTTCATGCCAGTCTCCTGCCTCAGCCTCCTGAGCGGTTGGGACTACAGGTGCCCGCCACCACGCCCGGCTAATTTTTTGTATTTTTAGTAGAGATGGGGTTTCACCGCGTTAGCCAGGATGGTCTCGATCTCCTGACCTCATGATCTGCCTGCCTCGGTCTCCCAAAGTGCTGGGATTACAGGCATGAGCCACCCCGCCTGGCCTATTCTCCCACTTTTTATATGCTGATAGTAAGGTAACATGAAATACCATACAAATTAAACTTCACTTTTGAAACACATTACTTCCAAGAAAGTGAAAATATTTGAAGTCACTAAACTATCCAACCAGTTTAATGTATTCAGGGTTGATGACCAGGGAAGCAGCAGGATGTGTTAACGGAGAAGGCACTGACTCGAGAGGTCTGGGTTCAAATCTCACTTCACCACTTGCCACTTTTTGATCTTGGGTAAGTCATTTAACTTCTTAGAGCCTGTTTTATTTCTTAACAGGGGTTTAAGCATAACTACTTTATTGGGACATTTTTGGGCACCACTGATATATTTGAAATCAACTATGGTAGCCAAATCAATGTTTATTGAATTTGAATACTATTTTCTTCAATTGTCAATTTAGGGGACTAGATTTTTGGTTCTTCAGAGCTCTAAAATTGTTTCTGTATCAGCATTTTCCAAAGTGTGCTCCATGGAACATGTTCTCCAGACTATTAGGTTTTGCTAGGAATAAAAGTGTCCTTTTGGTTTTATTGAGGGCTGGAGTGCAATGGCGCAATCTCAGCTCACTGCAACCTCCGCCTCCCAGGTTGTAGCAATTCTTGTGCCTCAGCCTCCCAGGTAACTGGCATTATAGGCACCTGCCACCATGCCCAGCTAATTTTTGTATTTTAGTAGAGACAAGGTTTCACCATGTTGGCCAGGTTAGTCTCAAACTCCTGACCTCAGGCCATCCGCTCACCTCTGTCTGCCAAAGTGCTGGGATTATAGGCGTGAGCCACCAAGCCTGGACTTTTTTTGTTTTAATTTTTTAAATTAAAATGAGTCTGTATTTATGCCTGTTTTATGTTCAATGCATTCAGCAATTTACTCTACCATTTAATTTCTAATTGGACAAAATTAGAAAATAATAAAATATGTTGAACAATAAAGAAATAGTTAAATCTTGGTTTAACAACTTTATAAAATACTATGTAATTAAACAAAATTAATTAAATAAGTATTAGAGTTATAGTGTATTTAACATAGTTTAAGAATAATCTCCAGCCTGGGCAACAAGAGTGAAACCCCATCTCAAAAAATAAAAATAAAATAAAAATAAAAATAAAAATACTATGTAGTATAGACTAGGCAGCAACATGATAAATGCTCACATATACAAGTGTAAAACATAAAAAGCAGAATTCAAAGTTGTCTGTACTAGAACAAAGATTAGAAGAAAAACAAAAGATAAAAATAAATTAGTAGGATTAGAGTATTTTTCCATATACCATTTTTATAATATTGTATTTTAACAGTACCACAAAATCTAAGAATATCTACAGCTGATTCTGTACTATATGGTAATCTTGAATAGATAAACACAGAGGTTCCTTCATACTTTATACGTTTGACTTTTTTTTTTTTTTGAGATGGAGTCTCGCTTTGTCACCCAGGCTGGAGTGCAGTGGCGCCATCTCACCTCACTGCCAGCTCCGCCTCCTGGGTTCACACCATTCTCCTGCCTCAGCCTCCTGAGTAGCTGGGACTACAGGTGTCCGCCACCACGCCCGGCTAATTTTTTGTATTTTTAGTAGAGATGGAGTTTCACCGTGTTAAGCAGGATGGTCTCAATCTCCTGACCTCATGATCCGCTGGCCTCGGCCTCCCAAAGTGCTGGGATTAGAGGCGTGAGCCACCACGCCCGGCCTACCTTTGACTTTTAAAAGACGACTTGAACCAACATATCAATATATGCTGTCTAAAATAGATGTGTCAACGTTTAGGATTAAAGTATTTATTTTTATATGGACAGAGTCTCAGTCTGTTGACCAGGCTGGAGTGCAGTGACAGCTCACTGCAGCCTCGACCTCTGGGCTCAAGTGACCCTCCCATCTCAGCCTCCCGAGTAGCTGGGACTACAGGCATGTGCCACCACACCTGGCTAATTTTTTTGTTCTTGTAGAAGCTAATTTTTGTATTTTTTGTAGAGACGAGGTCTCCTTATATTGCCCAGGCTGGTCTCAAACTCCTGGGCTCAAGCAATCCTTCTGCCTCGGCCTCCCAAAGTGCTGAGATTACAGGTGTGAGCCACCATGCCCAGCCAGGATTCAAGTCTTTTTTTTTTTTTTTTTTTTTGAGACGGAATTTTGCTCTTGTCACCAAGGCTGGAGTGCAATGGCGTGATCACGGCTCACTGCAACCTCTGCCTCCTGGGTCAAGTGATTCTCCCACCTCAGCCTCCTGAGTAGCTGGGATTACAGGTGCCTGCCACCACACCCAGCTAATTTTTGTATTTTTAGTAGAGATGGGATTTCACCATGTTAGCCAGGCTGGTCTCGGACTCCTGACCTCAGATGATCCACCTGTCTCGGCCTCCCAAAGTGCTGGGATTACAGGCATGAGCCACCGAGCCCAGCTCGGATGTATTTTTTTCTATTCCAGCCCAGGCATACGTGACTTGCCCCAAATACAATGGTAATTAGCAGCAGAGCCAGGACTAGAAACAATATTTCTGGCTCTTTGTCCAGTCCTCTGGCCACTTGGGAAAGGCTGTAGGATGAATAGATTACAGTCTGTTAGCAGTCGTCTCACTTTTCCACTAAAACAACTCTTTAAAAGATGACCAGTGACTTCCTCATAGATAAATCCAAGATCAAGTTTCATTCCTCAGTCTCCTCTACCTTTGCAGGAGCTGTGACACTACTGACTCACTAAGTCCAGGTCCACCTGACTCCTGAAGCCCCTAGAAATAGAAATCTGATCCTCCTCCTTCCCTGACTCATATCTTCTCATATCTGTCCTCTAAGGCTCTTTTTCTTTTTCCTGTCCCTTTTGTAAATGTTTGGCTTCTTTTACTAATCTTAAATACACATCTCCAACTGGATATTCCACCAGCAATCCAAGCACATCTTGCTCAAAAACAAATTCACCGCCGGGCACGGTGGCTCATGCCTGTAATCCCAGCACTTTGGAGGCTGAGGCGGGCGGATCATGAGGTCAGGAGTTCGAGACCAGCCTGGCCAACATAGTGAAACCCTGTCTCTGCTAAAAATACAAAAATTAGCTGGGCACGGTGGTGTGCACCTGTAGTCCCAGCTACTCGGGAGGCTGAGGCAGGAGAATCGCTTGAACCCGGGAGGCAGACATTGCAGTGAGCCGAGATTGCACCACTGCACTCCAGCCTGGGTGACAGAGCAAGACTCCATCTAAAAAAAAAAAATTCACTATCCTCCCAGCCCCCATTCCAGGTCTCCCTCTGAGTCCTCTATTTCTGCAAATGCATCAACTATGCTCCAAAACACTCAGGAGCAAAACTTTGGAATTGTTTTTTCCTCTTTGGTCTTCACATGCCTTCAGTTGCTAGGTCTTCTAGACCCAAAAAAATCTCCCCAAACTATGTCATTCTTTGCACATTAATTTCACTGCCCTGGTGGAACGTCTCTTTAATTCCCCAAGGCTAGCCTGATAATTTCCTAATTGGTCTACTTCAAGCCAACCTACATACTGCTGCCAAGTCAATAATATCCAAGTGCAAACCGAATGATGTCTCTCTCTTGCTGTAAAACATTCCATGGCTCCCATGGCATGTATAATTGTAGTCAATGTCACCCTGTTTTCCTTTTTAAAAAAAATGTAGGCTGGGCACAGTGGCTCACACATGTAATCCGAGCACTTTGGGAGGCTGAGGCGGGCAGATCACCTGAGGTCAGGAGTTTGTGACCAGCCTGGCCAACATGGTGAAACCCCGTCTCTACTAAAAATACAAAAATTAGCCAGGTATGGTGGCGGGCGCCTTTAATCCCAACTACTTGGGAGGCTAAGCAGGAGAATCGCTTGAACTTGGGAGGTGGAGGTTCCAGTGAGCTGAGACAGCACTATTGTCTGTCACCCACGCTGGAGTGCAATGGTGCGATCTCGGCTCACTGCAACCTAGACCTCCTGGGTTCAAGCGATTCTCCTGCCTCAGCCTCCCCAGTAGCGGAGATTACAGGCGCCCTCCACCATGCCCGGCTAATATTTGTATTTTTGTAGAGACGGGGTTTCACCATGTTGGCCAGGCTGGTCTAGACCTCCAGACCTCAGGAGATCTGCTCACCGGTCTCCCAAAGTGCTGGAATTACAGGCGTGAGCCACTGCGCCCAGCCGAAACTCCGTTTCAAAAAAATAAAAATAAAAATAATGTATCCAACTGAAGTGTCACCCTGTTTTCTACAACAAAGCTACAGTTTTCACCTCCAGTTTCATCTGGCAGTACTCCCTGGATGTACTCTGCGCTTCCACGTAAGAGGAACTGCACTTGCTCCCAGGGCTCCTCCCTCAGCTCAGCTTGGTCACCTGCAAGCCTCTATTGGTGCCATTCTTCACCCCAGGAATGCTGTTTCTTCTCAGAGCCCCCTCAGTTCAGGACAGCACTCCCTCCAGTAGCCTTCCTGACTCCCTTGGACCAGATGTGATTTCTTCCACATCTGAGTCTTCCCAGTTCTGGGAGGTTTTACTGAATCTTTTTAATAGTGCTTACTTCCTACCTGACCTAGACTGACTGTATATTCCCTTATGCAGAGACTTTGTGTGTCTCGTTTGCTTATGCACAACAGGTGTTCCAAAGATATTTGACAGAATCGAAAGAGAAAACCGATTCCTGCCCGGAAACCTTTGGACAGAAGAATCTACATTCAGTAGCCTGACAACTCTGCCTTAGCAAACAAGTTGGTCAAACATGCCTAACTCCATGACAAAGAGGAACTAACTTGAGCCCTCCCTGGTGAACAATGGCCTGCTGCACTTTGCTTTAGGATTTTGTTTCTTAACTTTTCATTTTAGAATAATTTTAGATGTACAGTAAATTGCAAAGATAGTACTAAGAATTCCTGTGTACCTTTTACCCAAATTCCTCTAATGTCAACATTTGTGTACAATTTGTCGAAATTAAGAAATTAACATGGGTACGTGCTATTAACTAAACCACAGCCTTTATTATTTTTTCCACTAATGTCTTTTTCTGTTTCAGGATCCAAACCAGGATACTGGCGCTATAGTTTTATAAGGCTCAAAATTAACAGAAGAGAAAAAAAGTAAAGCAGGTGGAGAGGCAGAGAGAGAAATAGGGTCTCTGAAATCTATTTCTTATTTTTTTCTTATCAGACGAGGCCATTAAACTGGCATTCAGGGAAAAGGATTTGGGCAGTTTGTCCACAACCTGCAGAGTTTCCACGAATCTGCGCATCCCGCCCCTGCCCTGGGTCCTCCCCACTCCCGGTTCCCACCTGCCAGGTCTGACCCCGGGTACCCTCTCAAGGTCCGTGGCGGGGACCGGAGCCCGGACTCCAGCTCAGCGAACAGCACCCTCCTACCGCCCCGGCGCCCCACTCAGCTCGCTCACCTGGCAAGTAGCCTCCTCTCCGTGCGCGTGCGCCGCTGCCGCCGCGCGTCCTCCGGGCCACCACGTGACCGCGTGGGCGCAGTCCCAGACAGGAAACGCCGGTGAGGTCGCCCTGGGCCATGGAGGCAGCTCGCGCTACTTTTTCGCGACCTCACTGTGTTCCTGTGTGCAACCTGATGTTAGCTCTGTCCACCTTCAGCTCCAAAGCCAACCACGGGTAACCAATATGCAAACAATGACATGAGATTTAGAAAAACAACAAGACGGGGCCTGTGTCAATACAGGTAAAATTTGGTGGTTCAAACATTGAGGTTCAGACCGGCGCGGGGTTTCACACCTGTAATCCCAGCTTTTGGGAGGCCAAGGCGGGAGGATCGCTTGAGGCCAGGAATTCGAGACCAGCATGGCCAACATAGTGAGACCCCGCTCTACAAAAAATTTAAAAAGTAGGGCTGGGCGCGGTGGCTCACGCCTGTAATCCCAGCACTTTAGGTGGCCGAGGCGGGTGGATCACGAGGTCAGGAGATTGAGACCATCCTGGCTAACACAGTGAAAACCCTTCTCTACTAAAAATACAAGAAATTAGCCGGGCGTGGTGGCGGGTGCCTGTAGTCCCAGCTGCGCAGGAGGCTGAGGCAGAATGGCGTGAACCCGGGAGGCGGAGCTTGCAGTGAGCCAAGATCGTGCCACTGCACTCCAGCCTGGGCAACAGAACGAGTCTCCGTCTCAAAAAAAAAAAATAATTAAAAAGTAGCGGGTGTGGTGGTGCGTACCTGTAGTCCCAGCTACTCAGGAGGCCGGGAGGCCGTCAGGTGGGAGGATCCCGTGAGCCTGGGAGATCCAGGCTACAGTGACCACTGCACTCCAGCCTGGGCGACGGAGTGGAGACCCTGTCTCAAAAAAGAAACAAACCAAAACCAAAATATTAAGTCTCTAGGAATCCTGTAAGAGAAGGGTAGATCGGGCCAGGTGCGGTGGCTCACGCCTGTTAACCCAGCACTTTGGGAGGCCAAGGTGGGTGGATCACCTGAGGTCAGAAGTTTGAGACCAGCCTGGCCAACATGGTGAAACCCCATCTCCACTAAAATACAAAATTTAGCCGGTCGTCACACGTCCGGAGGCCGAGCCGTCGCGTACCTAGGATGCCGCGTGGAAGCCGAAGCCGCACCTCCCGCATGGCCCCTCCGGCCAGCCAGGCCCCCTCAGATGAGAGCTGCACCCAGGCCAGTACCAGTCGTTCAGCCACCAGCAGCGGCACCCCCATCTGTAGTTGGCTCTTCTGCTGCTGCGCCCCGGCAGCCAGGTCTGATGGCCCAGATGGCAACCACTGCAGCTGGCGTGGCTGTGGGCTCTGCTGTGGGTCACGCCATTACTGGGGCTTTCAGGGGAGGAAGTAATGCTGAGCCTGCGAGGCCTGACATCACTTACCAGGAGCCTCAGGGAACCCAGCCGGCACAGCAGCAGCAGCCTTGCTTCTATGAGATCAGTTTCTGGAGTGTGCCCAGAACCAGGGTGACATCAAGCTCTGTGAGGGTTTCAATGAGGTGCTGAAACAGTGCCGACTTGCAAACGGATTGGCCTAATCAAGAAGTTCAACCTGGAGAGATGGAAAATCAGCTCTCATAACTAAGTTAATTTAGTATAAAAATAGAATTGATAGTGAGGGTATAAAGTGTAACCATGAGTTAAACCTCTCCTGTCATTCCTAGCTTCCTTGCTTCAGAATTGAAATGGAAGGGGGGTGTTCCTACTCTGTAGAATCTGTGACAGGGCAAATGTTTGTGTGGCCTCCTTAAACTAGCTGTTATGATTTTATTCTTTGTGAGTTAATTAGAATAAAGTCATTTTCTTCCAAAAAAAAAATTAGCCGGTCGTGGTGGCAGGTGCCTGTATTCCCAGCTGCTTGGCTGAGGCAGGAGAATCTCTTGAACCCGGCAAGCGGAGTTTGCCGTGAGCCGAGATCGCGCCACTGCACTCCAGCCTGGGTGACAGAGCAAGACTTTGTCTTAAAAAGAGGAGGGGGGGGTGGGAGAGAGAGAGAGAGAGAGAGAGAGAGGGAGAGGGAGGGAGAGAGAGAGAGAGAGAAATCTAAGCTGAGGTTCAGAGGTAGAGGCAGTCATTGAAAAACAGGCTTTTGCGGGCGGGCGGCGTCCACTGCAAGGATGCACTGTCTGGCTCCCTCTGGAGGCGGGAGCACGAAGGAGCGACCACGGAGCCCTTGAGCCTGTGGATGGTGGCCTCGGCGGCCGGCAGGCCATGCTGGAGTATCTGCCAACCTGATGAAGACGAGGACGTCCCACAAGTTCCGGACAGACGTGGCCGCCAAATTAATGAGGAAAGAAAAGGAGTCTTTTTTTTTTTTTTAAAGACAGAGTTTTTCTCTTGTTGCCAGGCTGCAGTGCAGTGGCGAGATCTCAGCTCACTGCAACCTCTGCCTCCCGG
Source organism: Homo sapiens (assembly GCF_000001405.40). Lineage (NCBI taxonomy): Eukaryota > Metazoa > Chordata > Mammalia > Primates > Hominidae > Homo > Homo sapiens. The sequence goes on from NW_003315917.2 coordinate 118,321, forward strand.
GTTCAAGTGATTCTCCTGCCTTAGCCTCTGGAGTAGCTGAGATTACAGGTCTGCACCACCACGCTCAGCTAATTTTGTATTTTTAGTAGACAGGGGGTTTCTCCATGTTGGTCAGGCTGGTCTCGAACTCCTGACCTCAGGTGATTCGCCCGCCTTGGCCTCCCAAAGTGCCGGGATTACAGGCGTGAGCCACCGTGGCTGACCAAAGGTGTCTTAAGCTTAGAAAAATGATAAAAGATATAAAAGCTGCCTAGGAATGAAACTACTGGGTCATATGAGGCTCCTTCAGGGTGCGCAAAGTCCTGGAAACCAGCATGCAGATAAGGAAAGAAAGAGACCATCAGTCCATGCAGTTGTCAGCTGGCTGGGAGCTGAGGAGAGTCACTTGTGGAGGCACCTGATCTTTGTCCCCCACGTCCCAGACAAGCCCATATCTCACTTTCAGAACTAAGATGCTTGGGAAACCAAGACAAGGAACTGTGTATTGCAAACAGCATTACCCTAGAGAAGAAGTGGCAGGAGATGACCTACAAAAAAATGGAGCAATAGCCTAGAGCAAGAAACAGAACAAAAGAGAACTGAGTCACCTCCTGGAAGGTCACACAAGACAAGCACATATTCAGGGGCCTCCTAACAGACTAGACTTCCAGCATCCTCAGTTGGGGCTAGACACTTTTTACATAGACATTCAATACTAGAGAACTCAGGGACATCTGATTTATACCATGAAATACATACACAGCAGATGTGTGCCTGTGGAGCAGAATTCTGGAAAAGCTCACAGCCCAGAACATAATGCAGACTCCCCCAGCCACAGCACCTTCCAATCCTGAGAAGAGTGCTGATTCTCCATCTGAGCACCCATTCTCCTGCAACATCAGGGGAGAGGAGTTCACCTAAGGATCAGACCAGTATCTCCAAACCCAGCTCCCCACCTCTGCCTGTTGGTGGCACTTGTGGGTGAAGGGGAGATGGTATGAAAAGACTCACAACAGGAGTCACCTGAACAAGGTGGGGCTTGGTGGAAACTGACATTTGTTCCTGTTGGAGGCAAATGTGGAATTTGGCATCTTGCCTTAGCAACAGACACATGAAATTCTCCAGTGCCCAGGACTTTTGACAGTGACTTCAAAGCACAGCTGGGAGACCCATGTGGCCCAGGCTCTACCCAGGCAGGAGCTCAGCTTCACTCACAGCAGGATTCCTAGTGCCAAGAACACCATGGGTGCATAGCAGGTGATCAAAATAATTGTATGTGGCTGAATCAGTGAGAGGTAAGAGAGAGGACTTGAGGCCGGGCACGGTGGCTCATGACTGTAATCCCAGCACTTTGGGAGGCTGAGGTGGGTGAATCACAAGGTCATGAGATCAAGACCATCCTGGCTAACACAGTGAAACCCCATCTCTACTAAAAACACAAAACATTAGTCGGGCGTGGTGGCACGCACCTGTAATCCCAGCTACTCGGGAGGCTGAGGCAAGAGAATCGCTGGAAGTCGGGAGACGGCGGTTGCATTGAGCTGAGACTGCACCACTGCACTCCAGCCTGGGCCACAGTGCGAGACTCCGTCTCAAAAAAAAAAAAAGAGAGAGGACTTGATCCTAGCGGCAAACTAAGAGACCTCATTAAAACCTAACATGTGAGGCCCAGCATGGTGACTCATACCTGTAATCCCAGCACTTTGGGAGGCTGAGGCTGGAAGATTGCTTGAGCCCAGGAGTTCAAGACCAGCCTGGGCAACATAGTAAGACCCTGTCTCTTAAAAAAAATTGGATGAGCATAGTTATAGTCCTAGCTGCTTGGGAGGCTAAGGCAGGAGGACTGCTGGAGCCCAGGAGTTTGAGGTTAGAGTGAGCTATGATTGCACCACTGCAATCCAGCCTGGGCAATGCAGTGAGCCCTGTCTCTCTCTACAAAAATCATATATATATATATAATATATACATAATATATATAATATATACATAATATATAATATATACATAATATATAATATAATATACCATAATATACATAATATATAATATATAATGTATATATTATATATACATTATATATATAATATATATTTAGTGTGTGTATGTGTGTGTGATATCAGAAAAAAAAACTATTCATCGTGAAGTAAAAAAGAGCCTGACTTTGGAGGTATATAAGCATGGCATTGGGTTCAAATCAAGCTCTGACAATTACCAAGCTCAGCCTCAGCGTCTCTACCTGTGAAATTGGCTTGATTCAGTACCTACCACACAGGGCTGCTATATGAATTGTTTGTGAAATATTTAGAATGGTGCCTGACACATGGTTCACAGTAAGAAACAACTATTGCTATTATTAAGTGCTTTGCACTTTGGTTTTCACAGAGCTAATGGTTTTCACAGAGCTAACAATTTTTACTGTCTAGCTTTGTGTCTTTGAAAGATTTTTGAGGTCTAAGAATGCCGTTTTAAAACCTCTCAACACTCCTAGAAGAGGTCACACTTTGAGCTTCAATAACTGCCTTTTTTTTTTTTTTGAGACGGAGTTTCGCTCTTTTGCCCAAGCTGGAGTGAAATGGCGCGATCTCGACCCACTGAATCCTCAGCCCCCTGAATCCTCAGCCCCCTGGGTTCAAGAAATTCTCCTGCCTCAGCCTCCCGAGTAGCTGGGATTACAAGTGCCCGCCACCACGCCCGGCTAATTTTTGTATTTTTAGTAGAAACAGGGTTTCACCATGTTGGCCAGATTGGTCTCAAACTCCTGACCTTAGGTGACCTGCCCGCCTCAGCCTCCCAAATTGGTAGGATTACAGGCATGAGCCACCGTACCCGGCCAATAGCTGGCATTTTTGTCAATTAGTTAACAGTGTGCTTAGAGCAAGTCCCTGTAGAGAGTGTCCACGGGCATGAGCCACAGGGAATACAGTGCGAGGCCTGTGGAGGTAGGAGCTGAGGATGTCAACAGGGAAAGCACAGAGTACCAAAGACAAAAGTCACCCAGGACATTTCTTTGTTAGCTACCTGGTGGCAGCCTGGACACCTGAAGATAGAGTTGAAGACACCTCTAATGCAAGAGGTGGATGCCCCGGAGATGTGGCTGATTCCTCCAGCCCCGCCATCGTGCAGCTTCGTGACTTCCTGGAGAGCCTTATATGCAAGCAGAAAAGTCCCAGAATAAAGCAATGTGGATATTGCACACTTTTTTTTTTTTTTTTTTTGAGATGGAATCTCTCTGTGTCACCCAGGCTGGAGTGCAGTGGCTCAATCTCGGCTCACTGCAAGCTCCGCCTCCCAGGTTCACACCATTCTCCTGCCTCAGCCTCCCTAGTAGCTGGGACTACAGGTGCCCGCCACCACGCCCAGCTAATTTTTTGTATTTTTAGTAGAGATGGGGTTTCACCATGTTAGCCAGGATAGTCTTGATCTCCTGACCTTGTAATCCACCCGTCTTGGTCTCCCAAAGTGCTGGGATTACAGGTGTGAGCCACCACGCCTGGCCAATTGCACACATTTTTAAAAGAACTGGAGGGGTGAAGAGTACCAGCTGTCCCTACTGGGCCAGGACTGCCCTGGTTTTAACACTAAATGTCCCACATCCTGATAACCCTCAATCCCACGCAAATCAGGCCAGATGGTCATCTACTTGGAAGTTATCAAAGGAGGTGGGTTTTAGCATCCCTTCCCTTTCCTGTTACATTGAGACCATGGGGTGCTGTTAACTTGATTTTAGTTTCTTCAAAAATGCCAGAAATTTAGCTAATAGGTTTTCCTTATATTTGTTAATTGAATTAGACTATATACAGTCTGCATGTTTACCTTATTTTCCATTATATAATGGCACCAAATATTGCAATAATTTTTTTAAATTAATGTCTTTAGTAATGGATTGCTAGGTGTTGAAATGCTTTAATATATTTATGAAAACATTTGTACAAATAATTTTATCTTCCACATGACATTTAGAAAAGTTTAGTCTGGCTGGGCGTGGTGGCTCACTCATGTAATCCCAGCACCTTGGGAGGCCGAGGTGGGTTGATCACCTGAGGTTAGGAGTTTGAGACCAGCCTGGCCAACATGGTGAAATCCCGTCTCTACTAAAAATACAAAAATTAGCTGGGCCTTGTGGTGCGGACCTGTAGTCCCAGCTACTTGGGAGGCTGAGGCAGGAGAATCACTTGAATCACTCCGGGAGGTGGAGGTTGCAGTGAGACAAGATTGCACCACTGCACTCCAGCCTGAGTGACAGAGTGAGACCCCGTTTCAAAAAAAAAAAAGAGAAGAGAAGAGAAAATAAGAAAATAAAAGGAAAGGTTTAGTCTGAAATTCCATTACTGAAAGTTCTTGGGGTTGGGGGAGGTGGAAGGCAGTATCTTTTTGCTGTTATATTTCTTATACTGCAGTGTCAGTGAAACTACATCATCCTTTGTAAAATCAATAAAATCCCTGATAATTTAAAAAAAAAAAGAACAAAAGAAAAGCAGGCTTTCATTACTGAGAAACCAAGCAGGCATTGTAGGCCAAAGGAATTCCTGGAGCAAAGTCATGGAAGTGGAAACCAACAGGAATGGCCCTGTGGGCTTAGAAAGCTACTACTGGGGACTGTTACCTATTCCTGGTGGTTTTCTGAGATGGGTGCTACCTACCTATAACCCCATGAAAACATGCTGCATCATAACTTCATTACCTTGGTGAAATAATTTTGGTTTTATTTCCTAATATCCTACAACCTTGGAATAACCAAAGGGACGTGGTAGTGGTCAAAAAACTGCTGGGTCTAAAGATCATTCTGCATTAACAACAAAGACAAGTAATAAACACTTTCCTCGCAGTGACAAACCTCTTTATTCTTTCTCTTCTCCAGATCCAGCTCACATTTGCCTTAACCACTTATACCCCAAAAGTAAACATATCTAGGTATACTGGGAAATATACGAGACTTAAAATTGAGGCTCTAAAATTTCTCCTGATTATAAATAAGGTCAATGCTATGTGCACATTAGATGCTCAAGGATTTAAGATTATTTTAAAAGATTAATACATAGGCTGGGTGAAGTGGCTCACGCTTGTAATCCAGCACTTTAGGAGGCCGAGGCAGGTGGATCACAAAGTCAGGAGTTCAAGACCAGCCTAGCCAACACAGTGAAACGCCGTCTCTACTAAAAATACAAAAATTAGCCAGGCGTGGTGGCAGGTGCCTGTAATCCCAGCTACTCAGGAGGCTGAGGCAAAAGAATCGCTTGAACCCAGGAGGTGGAGGTTTCAGTGAGCCGAGATCACACCACTGCACTCCAGCCTGGGTGACAGAGCTAGACTCCGTCTCAAAAAAAAAAAAAAGATTAATACATTTATAATTTTAAAGTCAGTTTGCCTAGTATCTATTATGGTAGAGTAGGCACATCAAATAGCTTTTGCAAACCAAAAATAATTTTTCTTCACTTAAAACTCTGACATGTATTTAAAACAACAGTCTTCACTCTAAAAATATTTCAAGGCTTACTCCCACCTGTCCCCCTTAAAAAAACTTTAAGATAACCTCTAAGATAACCCTGATTTCTTTGTCAAAACTTTTCCAAAATTTAGAACTGTGGAGGCATGGATATAAAATTTATTTTTGGACCGGGCACGGTGGCTCACACATGTAATCCCAGCACTTTGGGAGGCTGAGACGGACAGATCACCTGAGGTCAGGAGTTCAAGACCAGCCTGACCAACATGGGGAAACCCTGTCTCTACTAAAAACACAAAATTAGCCAGGCATGGTGGTAGGTGCCTGTAATCCCAGCTACTTGAGACGTACTCAAATTGTACATATAGCTTTTAAAGACTTTCGGCATATATTTGTTAAGCAATAGTTTAGCAGCATTGTACATGTATTTTTTGTCTTTTTTTGTTACCTGAGCACATGTTTTTTAAAAATAAATTTTATTTTAATTTTTTTTGAGATGGATTTTCAGTCTTGTTGCCCAGGCTGGAGTGCAACGGCACAATCTCGGCTCACTGCAACCTCTGCCTCTTGGGTTCAAGCAATTCTCCTGCCTCAGCCTCCCGAGTAGCTGGGATTACAGGCATGTGCCACCACGTCTGGCTAATTTTGTGTTTTTAGTAGAGATGGGGTTTCTCCATGTTGGTCAGGCTGGTCTCGAACTCCCGACCTCAGGTGATCTGCCCACCCCGGCCTCCCAAAGTGCTGGGATTACAGGTGTGAGCCACCACACCCAGCCAGTACTGCATTCTTTTTATGGCCAAATAATATTTAGTTTTATGGACATACCACAATTATCTTATACCATTCAGGCCGGGCGTGGTGGCTTACGCCTGTAATCCCAGCACTTTGGGAGGCTGAGGTGGACGGGTCACCTGAGGTCGGGAGTTTGAGACCAGCCTGGCCAACATGGTGAAACCCCATGTCTACTAAAAATACAAAAATTAGCTGGGTGTGGACGAGTGCCTGTAATCCCAGCTACTCAGGAGACTGAGGTGGAAGAATCGCTTGAACCCGGGAGGTGGAGGTTGCAGTGAGACAAGACCGTGCCACTGCACTCCAGCCTGGGTGACAGAGTGAGTCTCCAACTCAAAAAAAAGAATTACACCATTCATCAGTTGATGAACATTTGGATTGTTTCCAATTCTGGGCAATTATGAATAATGCTATAAACAGTCATGGACAAGTTTTTGTATGGGTGTATGTTTTCATTTCTCATGGGTATAGAACTAGGAGTGAAATTGCTGGGCCATATAGTACTCTATATTTAACATTTTGAGGAAATGCCAAGTGGTTTTTCAAAGTGGCTACACCATTTTATATTAACACTAGTTATGTGTAAGGGTTCCAATTTATCCACATCCTCACCAACACCTGTTATTGTTTGTCTTTTTGCTTTTAGTCATTCTAGTGGGTGTGAAACAATCTCTCATGATGGTTTTAATTTGCATTTTTCCTAATGACTAATGATGTTGAGCATCTTTTATGTGCTTATTGGCAATTTGCATATCTTCTTTGAAGAAATGTCCATTAAATTTCATTGTCCATTTTTCAACAGGGTTATTTATCTTTTTATGATTAAGTTATAAGAGTTCTTACTTAATCAGATATAATTTGTTATCTGATTAGAGTTCTAGACTCTAATCAGATATAATTTACAAATATTTTCTACCATTGTGTAGGTTGTCTTTTCACAGTCTTAAGGGTGTCTATTGAACCACAAAAGTTTTTAAATTTTGGTGAAGTCTGATTTATCTATTTTTTTCTTTAGTTGCTTATGCTTTTGGTGTCATACCTAAGAAGGCTTTGCCTCACAAAGGCTGATGAAGGTTTACTCCTATATGTTCTTCTAAGAATGTATTGTTTTAGCTGTTACATTTAGATCTGTGATCCTTTAGAGCTTTAGAGTTACTTTTTGTGTATGTGTGAGGAAAGGATTTATCTTTATTCCTTTTTCTTTCTTTTTTTTTTTTGAGATGGAGTTTTGCTCTGGTTGCCCAGGCTGGAGTGCAGTGGCATACTCATGGCTCGCTGCAACCTCCACCTCCTGTGTTCAAGCGATTCTCCTGCCTCAGCCTCCTGAGTAGCTGGAATTACAGGCATGTGTCACCACGCTTGGCTAATTTTGTATTTTTAGTAGAAATGGGGTTTCTCCATGTTGGTCAGGTTGGTCTTGAACTCCCGACCTCAGGTGATCCGCCCGCCTCAGCCTCCCAAAGTCCTGGGATTACAGGCGTGAGCCACTGCGCCTGGCGTCATCTTTATTCTTTTGTGTGTAGTTATCCAGTTGTTTCAGCACTATTTGTTTAAAAGATTGTTCTTTCATAGCATTAGGAGAAATACCTAATGTAGATGATGGGTTGATGGGTGCAGCAAACCACCATGGCACATGTATACCTATGTAACAAACCTGCACGTTCTGCACATGTATCCCAAAACTTAAAGTATAATTAAAAAAAGAAAAAGACAAACACACAAAAAAACAAAAAACAAAAACAAAACACAACAAACAAAAAAGATTGTTCTTTCTATGTTCAGTTGTCTTGGCAAGCTTATGAAAATTAATTGGTTATAAATATAAGGGCTTATTTTTGGTCTCTCAATCCTATTCCATTAATCTATATGTCTATTCTTATGCCAGTACTACCCTGTCTTAATGTGGCATTAGTAGTAAGTTTGAAAATCAAGAAATGTGAGTCCTGCAACTTTGTTTTGGCAGTTCTGAGTCCCTTGAATTTCCGTATGTATTTTAGGATTAGCTTGTCAGTTTCTACAAGGAAGCCAGCTGGGAATTATGATATGGATTGTGCTAATACTGTACATCAATTGGCAAGTATTGCCATTTTAGCAATGTTAAGTTTTCTGATGCATGAAGATGGGATAGCTTTCTTTTTTGTGTGTGAGATGGAGTCCTGCTCTTTTGCCTACACTGGAGTGCAGTGGTGCGATCTTGGCTCAATGCAATCTCTGCCTCCTGGATTCAAGCAATTCTCCTGCTTCAGCCTCCTGAGTAGGTGGGATTACAGGCATGCACCACCATGCTCAGCTAATTTCTTTTCTTTTTCTTTTTTTCTTTTCTTTTGAGACGGAGTCTCACTGTATTGCCCAGGCTGGAGTGTAGTGGCGCAATCTCGGCTCACTGCAACCTCCACCTCTCAGGTTCAAGCAATACTCCTGCCTCAGCCTCCTGAGTAGCTGGGATTACAGGCATGCACCACCAGGCCCAGCTAATTTTTATATTTTTAGTAGAGACGGGGTTTCACCATGTTGGTCAGGCTGGTCTCGAACTCCTAACCTCGTGATCCACCCACCTCAGCCTCCCAAAGTGCTGGGATTAAAGTCATGAGCCACTGCACCCGGCCGGGTCTTTTTTTTTGAGACACAGTCTCATTCTGTCACCCGGTTGGAGTGCAGTGGGGCAATCTCAGCTCACTGCAACCTCCACCTCGTGGATTCAAGCGATTCTCCTGGATCAGCCTCCCAAGTAGCTGGGATTACAGGCTCCCACCACCACACCCAGATAATTTTTGTATTTTTAGTAGAGATGGGATTTTGCCACGTTGGCCAGGCTGGTCTCGAACTCCTGACCTCAGGTGACCTGCCTGTCTCAGCCTCCCAAAGTGCTGGGATTACAGGCATGAGCCACCATGCCCAGCCTTATTTATTTGTTTATTTTTCAACTTAACAGAATTCATCTTTTTTTTTTTTTTTTTTGAGATGGAGTCTTGCTCTGTTGCCCAGGCTAGAATGCAGTGGCACAATCTCAGTTTACTGCAACCTCCACCTCTCGGGTTCAAGCAATTCTCCTGCCTCAGCCTCCGGAGTAGCTGAGATTACAGGCGCCTGCCACCATCCCTGGCTGATTTTTGTATTTTTAGTAGAGATGGGGTTTCACCATGTTGGCCAGGCTGGTCTCAAACTCCTGACCTCAGGTGATCTGCCTGTCTTGGCCTCCCGAAGTGCTGGGATTACAGGCATGAGGCACTGTGCTGGGCCAACAGCAATTCATCCTGAATGTAAACTTTTTAATATATGTTGGGAATTATTCCCTTATCTTCTATTTGTTGGGAGAAATTTTAAAATAATTGGTATTGGCTCTTTTTTAAACATTTAATAAAATTCACCAGTGGCTCTCTCTTCTTCCTGCTCTAGCCATGTAAGACGTGCCTGCTTCTCCTTGGCCTTCTACCATGATTATAAGTTCCCTCAGGCCTCCCCAGCCATGCTTCCTATATAGCCTGTGGAACCATGAGCCAATTAAACCTCTTTTCTTTATAAACAATAAAAAAAATCGCCAGGTGTGGTGGCTTACACCTGTAATCCCAGCACTTTGGGAGGCCAAGGTGGGTGGATCACCTGAGGCTGGGAGTTCAAGATAAGTCTGGCCAATAAGGTAAAACCCCGTCTCTACTAAAAATACAAAAAATTAGCTGTGTGTGGTGGTGGGCGCCTGTAATCCCAGCTACTCGGGAGGCTGAAGAAGGAGAATTGCTTGAATCCGGGACGCGGAGGTTGCACTGAGCCAAGATGTCACCATTGCACTCCAGCCTGGGCAACAAGAGTGAAGCTCCATCTAAAAAATAATAATAATAAATAAATTAATTAATTAATTTAAAAAAATCACCAGTGAAGCCATCTGTGCCTGGACCTTTCTGTGTAGGAAGTTTTAAAATTACTAATTTATTATATTTTCTTGTTATAGGCCTATTCATAATTTATATTTCTTCTTGAATCAGTTTCAGAAGTTTGTGAATTTCTAGGAATTTGTCCATTTAATATAAATTATCTAATTTGTTGGCATACAGTTGTTTATAGTTTTCCTTTATAATCCATTTGATTTCCGTAGTCAGTAGTGATATCCCCTCCCTTCTCTTTTTTGTTAATCTAGATTAAGGTTTGCCGATTTTGTTGATTTTTTTAAATCAAGTTGTTTTATTATTTTGATAATTCTGTACATATTCTAGATACACACCTGATATCAGATATTCATTTTGCATTTTCTCCAATCTGTGATTTGTGCTTTCATCTTCTTTCTCTTTTTTAAAATTTGTAGAGATGGAGTCTTTCTATGTTGCCCAGGCTGGCATGCAGTAGCTATTTGCAGGCACAGTCATACCTCACTACAACCTTCAACTCCAGGGCTCAAGTGATCCTCCTACCTCAGCCTCCCTAGTAGCTGGGAGTAGTTTGGACTAGGGTGAGCACTGCTGCCCTGGCTCTTTGTGCTTTCATTTTCTTAACATTGTCTTTTGAAGAGAGAAAGAGTTATGAATTTTGCTGAAGTCCCATGTATCAGTCCCTTTATGGTTTGTGCTTTTTGTGTCTTATCAGAAAAATCTTTTTTCTAATCCAAGACACTAAATTTTTTCACTTGTTGAAAGATTATTCTTTCCCCCATTGACTTGCCTTTGGACTTCCATCAAAAATTGCCACAGAGCTCGGTGGCTGTCGCCAGTAACGCTAACACTTTGGGAGACTGAGGCAGGAGGATTCATTGAGCCCAGGAGTTCCCGACCAGGCTGGGCAACGTGGTGAAACCTTGTTTCTACACAAAGTTAAAAAATTAGCCAGGTGTACTGGCGAGCATCTGTAGTTCCAGCTACTTGGAGGCTGAGGTGGGAGGATCACCTGAGCCTGGGGAGATTGAGGCTGCAGTGAGCAAAGAGCATGCCATGGCATTCCAACATGGGTGACAGAGCAAGACCCTGTCTCAAAATAAAAAAATGGCCCATCAACTACTGTCAGCTTCAGGTGGGGGGCGCGGGGGAAAAACTTTAAAAAGAAAACATTTTTAAAAATGTGCCCATATGTGCAGATTTCTTTGCTTTTTTTTTTTTTTTTTTTTTTTTTAGACAGGGTCTGTCTGTGTTGCCCAGGCTGGAGTGCAGTTGTGCAATCTCAGCTCACTGCAACCTCAGCTCACTGCAACCTCCACTTCCTGGGTTAAAGCAATTCTCATGCCTCAGCCTCTGGAATAGCTGGGATTACAGATGTGTGCCACCATGCCCGGCTAATTTTTGTATTTTTAGTAGAGAGGAGGTTTCACCATTTTGGCCAGGCTTTTTTTTTTTTGAGACGGAGTCTTGCTCTGTCGCTCAGGCTGGAGTGCAGTGGCGTGATCTTGGCTCACTGCAACCTCCGTCTCCCAGGTTCAAGCAATTTTCCTACCTCAGCCTCCTGAGTAGCTGGGATTATAGGCACCCAGCACCACGCCCAGTTAATTTTTGCATTTTTAGTACAGACAGGGTTTCACCATGTTGGCCAGGCTGGTCTCAAACTCCTGACCTCAGGCACCAGCCTTGGCCTCCCAAAGTGCTGGGATTACAGGCGGGAGCCACCGTGCCTGGCCTTTTTGAAAATTTTAAGATGGTGTCTCACTCTGTCACCCAGGCTGGAGTGTAGTGGTGCGATCTCAGCTCACTGCAACCTCGAGTTCCTGGGTGTAAGCGCTTCTCCCGCTTCAGTCTCCTGAGTAGCTGGGATTACAGGCACATGCCACCACACTCAGCTAATTTTGTTGGTTTTTCTTTTTTCTTTTCTTTTCTTTTTTTTGTGATGCAGCCTCATCTGTTGCCCACGTTGTAGTGCAGTGGCATGAACCACTGGCCTAATTTTTGTATCTTTTGTACAGGCAGGGTTTCACTAGCTACTTGGGAGGCTGAAGTCAGAGGATCACTTGAGCCCAGGAGGTCGAGGCTGCAGCGAGCTATGATGGTGCCACAGCATTCCAGCCTGGGTGACATGGCAAGAGCCTGTCTCAAAAAAAAAAAAGAAAAAAAATTAGTCTACTAAATGTTAAGCTTGCGTACAATTTGTCTTTGGGAATTTACTCAACAGATAAACTTGCTCATATGCATAACGCATATGCATTAGGGAACACAACTTAGTGAGTGAAAGCCTGCCTAAGATAGAACACTGAAGCTAATACTTTTTAGCTATTATCTTGGATAAGCCACTTAACTCTTCTGTGCCTTGGTTCCTGTAATGGAAATAATAATAACATCTACCTCAGAGAGTGGTCATGTGGATAAAGAATTCACTTTTGAAATGTGTTTAGAAGTTTATGTCATAGTAATATATTTACTCTTTATTATTCTTGCATCATTGTAATAGTAAAAAGCTGGAAACAGCCTAAATGTCCATTAGTGAGAGGACTGATTAAATCAAACTTGGCATGTCTTTTTTTTTGAGACAAGTTCTCACTCTGTCCGCCCAGGATGGAGTGCAGTGGCTCAATCACAGCTCACTGCAGCCTCGACCTCCTCAGGCTCAGGTGATCCTCCTGCGTCAGCCTCCTGAGTAGCTGGGACTATAGGTGCATGCCACCACTCTGGGCTATTATTTTATTTTTATTTATTTATTCATTTTTTTGGAGACAGTGTCTCACTCTGTTGCCCAGGCTGGAATGCAGTGGCACAATCTGAGCTCACTCCAACCTCCGCTGCCTGAGTTAAAGCGATTCTCCTGCCTCGGCCTCCGGAGTAGCTGGGATTACAGGCATGCACCACCATGCCTGGCTAGTTTTTGTATTTTTGGTAGAGACGAGATTTCACCATGTTGGCCAGGCTGGTCTCGAACTCCTAATCTCAAGTGATCCACCTGCCTTGGCCTCCTAAAGTGCTGGGATTACAGGCATGAGCCACTATGCCCAGCCTCTTTTTTCTTTTTTTTAAATAGAGACGAGGTCTCACTATGTTGCCCAGGCTGGTCTCGAACTTCTGAGCTCAAGTGATCCTCCCACCTAGGCCTCCCAAAGTGCTGAGATTACAGGAGTGAGCCACCATGCCTGACCTATTTTTTTTTTTTTTGCGACAGAGTGTGGCCCAGCCTGGAGTGCAGAGGCACTATCTCGGCTCACTGCAAGCTCTGCCTCCCGGGTTCATGCCATTCTCCTGCCTCAGCCTCCCGAGTAGCTGGGACTACAGGTGCCTGCCATCACGCCTGGCTAATTTTTTGTATTTTTAGTAGAGACGGGGTTTCACCGTGTTAGCCAGGATGGTCTCAATCTCCTGACTTCGTGATCTGCCTGCCTCGACCTCCCAAAGTGCTGGGATTACAGGCGTGAGCCTCCGCGCCCGGCCTGGCCTATTTACTTAATTAATTAATTTATTTATTTATTTTTAGGAACAGTGTTTCACCATGTCGGCCAGGTTGGTCTCAAACTCCTGGGCTTAAGTCATCCGCCCGCCTTGGCCTCCCAAAGTGCTAGGATTACAAGTGTGAGCCACAGTGCCTGGGTACTTGGCATATCATTAATGGCTTTTTTTTTTTTTTTTTTTTTTTGAGATGGGAGTTTCACTCTTATTGCCCAGGATGGAGTGCAATGGTGCAATCTCGGCTCATTGCAACCTCCACCTCCTCGGTTCAAGCGATTCTCCTGCCTCAGCCTCTCAAGTAGCTGAGATTACAGGCACCCACCACCACGCCCGGCTAATTTTTGTATTTTAGTAGAAACAAGGATTCACCATGTTGGTTAGGCTGGTCTCAAACTCCTGACCTCAGGTGATCCACCCACCTCGGCCTCCCAAAGTGTTGGGATTACAGGCATGAGCCACCGGGCCTAGCCTCATTAATGCCATTTTATGCAAACATTAAAAAGATGAGGGATCCAAAGAAGATAAACCAATAGGCACATGAAAAGATGCTCATCATAAATCATTAGAGAAATGTAAATCAAAACCAAAATGTGATATACTACTCACCCACTAGTATAGTTATAATAAAAAAGATGGGAGTTGCCAGGCAAGGTGGCTCACGCCTGCAATCCCAGCACTTTGGGAGGCTGAGGCGGGCAGATTACCTGAGGTTGGGAGTTCGAGGGAGAAACTCTGTCTTTACTAAAAATACAAAATCAGCCGGGTATGGTGGTGCATGCCTGTAATCCCAGCTACTTGGGAGATTGAGGCAAGAGAATCGCTTGAACCTGGGAGGTGGAGGTTGAACCCTTGAACCTGCAGTGAGCTGAGATCACGCCATTGCACTCCAGCCTGGGCAACAAGAGTGAGACTGCCTCAAAAAAAAAAAAAAAAAAAAAAAAAAGGCCAGGCGCGGTGGCTCACGCCTCTAATCCCAGCACTCTGGGAGGCCAAGGTGGGCAGATCACGAGGTCAGGAGATCGAGACCATCCTGCCTGACATGGTGAAACCCCGTCTCTACTAAAAATACAAAAATTAGCCGGGCGTGGTGGCAGGCGCCTGTAGTCCCAGCTACTTGGGAGACTGAGACAGGAGAATGGCGTGAACTCGGGAGGTGGAGCTTGCAGTGAGCCGAGATTGCACCACTGCACTCCAGCCTGGGCGACAGAGCAAGACTCCGTCTCAAAAAAAAAAAAAGATGGGATCAAGCAGTCATGGTGTTCTCGATGCTGGAGGGCCTACTTGACCTATCACCAGAAGGTGTTGCTGCTTTGTAACCAGGCGCTGTACCACCTCAAGCCATGGTGCATCCAGAGATAAATAATGGTATATTTTGCCTGTTTGATGAGAGCCTGGTTTGAAGAGCATAGGAAAAAAAAAAAGGGTATGATGGAGGCTACCCCACTGCTGAGGGAGGCAGAGGAATTCTGGTATCGTCAGCATTCACAGCCATTCTCTTCCCTGACTCTCTGGGGGTACTTCCTATGAGAGATACGAGTGATATGCTACAAGTCTCTGGAGTGGTGCTTAGATGACTGGAATCCTTCTGAGAAGGCAATGTACCCTGATTACTTAGCCAAGAGAGAGCAGTGGAAGAAACTGCTGAGGCAAAGCCAGGAGTGAGAGGTTAAGCAGCTGCAGGAGGAAATCCCAACTGGTGGTCTAGGACTGAAGCTTTGCCCCCTGTGGTGGTATATTGTGACCAGACCCCGGGAGTGGCCCATGTAGAGAGACAGACCTCACCCTGTCATGCCTGCAAGTGAAGTAAGTTACAGAACATACACACACACTTAGCCTAATAAAAATCGCTGAAATGGTAAAAATCAACAAATATAGACCGTAACAAGTGTTAGCAAGAATGTGAAGAAACTGAGTCCCTAATACATTGATGGTGGGAACATAAAATGCTGCAACCACTTTGGAAACCAGTTTGGCATTTCCTCAAAAAGTTAAACATGGTTGCCCTATGACCCAGCAATTCCCCTCCCAGGTATATGCCTAAGAAAACTGAAAACATACATCCACATGGAATCTTGTACATGAATGCTCATAGTATGCTACTATTATGTATTCAACTTCACAATACCCAAAGTGGATACAACCCAATTGTGCAAGTGATGGAAACATAAGCAAAATGTGGTAAATCCATATAATGGAATATTATTCAACCATAAAAAGGAATGAGATATTGGTACATGCTATAACTTAGATGAACCTTGAAAACATTATGCTAAGTGAAAGAAACTGGACACAAAAGGCCACATACTGTATAATCCCATTTATATGAAATATCCAGAATATGCAAATCCATAGAGACAGAAAGTAGACTAGTGACTGCAAGGGGATGAGGAGGAAAGAATAGAGAGTGACTGCTAAAGGGTATAGGAGTTCCCTTTATCATCACTGCTTCCTCCACAGTGGTGACAGTTACATAACCTTGTTAATAAGCTAAAAACCAACGGATTATAAATTTTATTTATGTTTATTTTTAGAGTCTAAGGTCTCACTATGTTGCCCAGGCTGGTCTTGAACTCCTGCCTCAAGCGATTCTCCACCTCAGCCTCCCCATTTGCTGGGATTACAGGCATAAGCCACCATACCCGGTTCTGATTATACACTTCAAAATGGTAAATTTTATTGTATGATATGTATATCTATCTCAACTAAAAAAAAGAACAGGGAGGTCTGTACTGAGATGATATAATCTTCAAATATAGTAAGTGAAAAAAGAAAGGTACAGAATAGTGTGCATAATATACTGTTATATTCTTTAAAAAATGTACACATGTACATATACACTGTGCAGGCATAAAACCTCTAAAAAGACATATAGGAAACCAGTAACATTATTTCCTAAAGGGAAGGAACCTGGGGTGCCTGGGGATAGGGTGGTCTGGAAGGGAGACCTAACTTTTCAACATGCTCTTTTGTACCTTTTGAACTTTGTATCGAGTACAACACTTAACTTTTTTTCTAATTTAAAGAAAGAAAAAAGGAATACTCTGTTGCTTTATCTTTAGTTTTATTTTAAGAGATCATCTGCATTTTTTTCTGTAATAAACTTAAAAGATATCCACCCATTTTGTCAGATTTATTTATTCTTTAGCAATTTAAGTATTAAAATCACAGTTTTTGTCTCAATCCTTAATAATACTATATTCATTATATTTCATGTTTAGCTTTCTCATGGAGAAAAAGAAACACAGGCATAAACCTATATACTATCCACCTGCTGGTTCTGCAACATGATTTTAATAAAGTGTTACTGACACTTGAACAATTTCTATGATGTCGGCAGAGATATCAACAAGAGTGATTATTAAGTAGCTAGCCTTATAAGTCAAGAGTTATGATCTTTGATCCACTGCTCAATCCATTTCAAGATCTGATCTACATTATTTTCTAGCTCTTCTGGTTTATTACTGGGCAGCTGATGCACGATTTCTTCCTTGTAGGATGCTGTGGCTTCTTCATAAAGAACTTGAAAAATCTCACACTGAATATTGTCTGTTAGTTTCTTCTCATTATAACCCCTAGAAGGCAGGGAGGTTAAGCAAACAAGAAGCAAAATAAATGGCATTAACTGGAGTTTCAGAAACATACCAGAAACTGGACACTTTTCAATACGTGAAAAATTACAGAAATGGTCTCTTCACCTAGAGAGGAGTGACTGGTACCTGTTTATATGACACAGTTTCTTGACACTAGGGTGAAACTAAAGATCACCAAACCAGCATCTAGGTTTGTTTGAATTTCCCCCCCCCACAATTTGTCAGCTACTCAATAAATTCCCAATGAATTAGTAAATTAGCAAAATCTCATAACTTAGTAATAAAAAGATTTGTAACCCAATTAAAACTTAAGCAAAGAATCTGAGTAAATATTTCTCCAAGGAAGATACACAACTGTCTAATAAGGACATGAAAAGATGTTCAGCATCTCTAGCTGTATAGGAAATGCAAATCAAAATTACAATGAGATATTACTTCACATCCAGCAGGATGACTACAACCAAAATATGAACAATAACAGCTGTTGGTGAGGATGTGGACAAATTAGAACCCTCATACACAGTGTGAATATGAGATGATGCAGCCACTATGGAAAACAATCTGGCAGTTATTGGAAGGGTCAAATACAAAGTTTCCATATTACCCAGCAATTCAATTCCTAGATATATAAACAAGAGAAATAAACACATGATGTCCACACAAAAACATGTACAAGAATGTTTATGGATACAATATTCATAACAGCCAAAAAGTGAAACAACCCAAATGTCCACAACCTGATAAATGTATTTTAAAAATGATACATCCATACAATGGAATATTATTTGGCAATAAAAAGAAATGAAGTACTGGTCTATGATACAATATGAATGAACCTTGAAAACAAACTAATTTGACAGGAGACAGGCATAAAAGTCCACATCCTGTATGATTTCATTCATATGAAATATCTAGTATAGACAAATCCATAAAGACAGAGAGTAGATTATTGGTTGCCTAGGGCTGGGGAACTGAGGGTAAATGGGGAGTGACTACTACTGGGTATGGGGTTCCTTTCTGGGGTGACAAAAATTTTCTTTTTTTGAGACGGAGTCTTGCTCTGTCACCCAGGCTGGAGTGCAGTGGTGTGATCTCGGCTCACTGCAACCTCCACCTTCCGGGTTCAAGCAATTCTCCTGCCTCAGCCTCCTGAGTAGCTGGGATTACAGGTGCAAGCCACCACGCCCAGCTAATCTTTGTATTCCTAGTAGAGACGGGGTTTCACCATGTTGGTCAGGCTGGTCTCGAACTCCTGACCTCATGATTCAGCCACCTTGGCCTCCCAAAGTGCTGGAATTACAGGCGTGAGCCACCGCGCCCACCCCCAAAATTTTCTAAAATTGTTTGTGGTAATGATTGTACAACTTTTTGATATACAAAAAAACAAATGAGCAACTGATATATACACCTACTATGTACCCATAAAACTAGAAAAAAACCTGAATTATGTACTTTAAGTGGGTGAATGTAAACTAAATCTCAATAAAGTGGATATTTTTGTTTTTTGGTTGCTTTTGAGACAGGGTCTTGCTTTGTCAACCAGGCTGGAGTGCAGTGGTGCAATCACAGCTCACTGCAGCCTCAACCTCCCAGGCTCAAGCATTCCTCCCACCTCAGCCTCCAAAGTAGCTGGGACCACAGGTGCATGCCACCACACTTGGCTAAATTTTTTATTTTTTTGTAGAGACCAAGGTCTTGCTATGTTGCCCAGGCTGGTCTCAAACTCCTAGGCTCAAGCAATCACCTTGCCTCAGCCTCCCAAATTGCTGGGATTACAGGTGTGAGGTGTGAGCCGTCCTGCCTCCCCCTCACCACCCAACCATGCCCAGCCTAAAGCTGTTACTTTTTTACAACCTTTTCGATAGTTAAAAATACTAACTAGCTCTCTCATAGTTTTTTCATACCTTAGTCTTACCCTTGGCTATATATGTAAAACAGTAATTTTTTAATCAAAATTTTAAATTGTCTTGATTGAAAAAAAGCATATGTACCATATAGTCTCTATTACTTCTCTGCCCCAAAACTTTTAATGGCTTTTCACTGCCTAAAAAAGATAAAAGTTTTAGGTTTAGCCCCAATTTAACTTTTTCTATATGTATATTTGCTGCCATACTATTCTGTGCAAGGATTTACAAGTATCGCAAATAATAGTGGTTAGTCAGAGTTGACTATAATCAGTGAAAACCACACATTCTGACCCCGACCTTAAGCAAAATTCTGGAGCTTTCCTTTCTGAGATTGCTCTCTAATTTCTCTAGAATCCCCATATTCCCACAGCTTTGATCAAAAGACAGTGGGGATAAAAGACTTCCCTAAAAGTTTCTCTTTACTGGTTCTTCCGCATTAAATCTGATGCTCTATTTGTGGGTTTAACTCGGTATCTATTAAAGACTGTGAAATGCTGGTTTATTTTGTTAGTTTTTCATAAGCTTTCCCACTCCTGATGCAGGGATAATTTGAGTGAGTAGTGTTCAGTCAATAAGCAAAGAATATGTTAGGGGCTTGGCTGTTTTCCTAGCAAGGGTTTACATCAAAGAAAAAGCATGGCTAAATAGGGTTTCTTTTTTTTGTTTGAGACGGAGTCTCACTCTGTTGCCCAGGCTGGAGTGCAGTGGTGTGATCTCAGCTCACTGCAAGCTCCACCTCCCAGGTTCACGTCGTTCTCCTGCCTCAGCCTCCAGAGTAGCTGGGACTGTACAGGTGCCTGCCACCATGCCCGGCTAATTTTTTTTGCATTTTTAGTAGTGACAGGATTTCACCATGTTAGCCAGCATGGTCTCGATGTCCTGACCTTGTGATCCTCCCACCTTGGTCTCCCAAAGTGCTGGGATTACAAGCGTGAGCCACTGTGCCCGGCCGACTAAATTGGGTTTCTACACAGTACATTTTACTCAATCAGATTGTCAGTTGAGATATTAATTTACTCAAAAAGTACTGCCCATATTTTAAAGTAGTCATATTTTCAAATAAAACCCTTTATTAGCTGGGTGCTATGACTCACACCTGTAGCCTCAGCACTTTGGGAGGCTGAGGTGGGCAGATTGCTGGAGCCCAAGAGTTCGAGACCAGTCTGGGCAACATGGGAGACCCCATCTCTACAAAAAATAAAAAAATTAGCCAGGCAAGGTGGCATGTGCCCGTGGTCTGTTAGTCAGGAGGCTGAGGCACAAGAATTGCTTGAACCAGGGAGGTGGAGGTTGCAGTGGACCGAGATCACACCACTGCCCTCCAGCCTGGGTGACAGCGAGACTCTATCTCAAAAAAACAAAACAAAACAAAACAAAACAAACAACAACAATCTTTTATCATGGCCAATTTCAGAAATCTGAATAAAAGTTAACATTATGCTTTAAGAATCTAATGTTTTTCCTTTCTTACCTTGTTTCAAGTCTTTCGTACAATACATTGGTATCTGTTCTCAGCACAAAAACTATATGAAACCAGCGTTCAGGGAAGAAATCACAACCATGGTAATCAACAATAACTCCACCTTCTCTCATTTGGTTATCTAACTCATCAACTACCTGTAAGAAAAGTTTAAAAAAAAATGCTTCTTAAGAAAACTGAAGTCAACTTTCCTATGAAATTCAACAAATGCATACTTTATGAAAAAGTCATACTTACTCTGTCTTCATCTAAAATGGGACAGTCATACTCTTCATCATAGCCATCATACAATTGCTCTAAAAGAGATTTAGAATTGCTTGTTGAAATATTTTCTAAGTAACTTTAAGTAATTTTCAATTAATTCTAGACTTCAGGAAAGGAAATGTATCATCAATTATTCTTTTAGATACAAGGGTGGATACTAACAAAATAAATGTTACATAAACACCAAATATAAAGGAGCCATACTAACTGATAAATTGGAATTTTGTTTAGAGGGAAACTTGGATTGCAATATATCTGAAACTGCTTTAAATATCAAAACTGAAACCAACTAAAAAGAGTGAATAACCAACTTCAGAATTTGTGGGGCTACTAGAAGAGGACTACACTATTTTTGTTGAACTACAGATTGGCGGGAAGAGGAAACACCTGAACAGATACAAACACACTCACATACATTTAAAAGCAGATTAATTTATCAAAAGCAGTAACAGGCCAGGCATGGTGGCTTTGCGCTTGTAATCCCAGCCCAGTACGAGGTAGGAGGATCTCTTGAGCCCAGGAGTTCAAGACAGCCTGGGCAATATGTTGAGAACCTGTTTCTACAGAAAAAAAAAAAAAAATTAGGCAGGCATGGTGGTGCACACCTGTAGTCCCAGTTACTTGGGAGGCTGAGGCAGAAGGATTGCTTGAGCCTGGGAGGTGGAGGTTACAATAAGGTGAGATCACACCACCGTACTCCAGGCTGGGCGACAGAGCAGGACCCTGTCTCCAAAAAGAAAGAAAGAAAAAAGCAATAACAGATTCTTTATTCCAGAAATGAACCCTCTGTCACTGAGCTCACATCCTCATGGGAATAGAGAAGGGTCAGGATCCAAATGCTCCTGAACAGTATCTTTACTTCTAGATTTCCAGTATTCCAAACTGCCGTTCCTCATAAGAGTTAAATAGTCTCATTTCAGAAGGCAAAACAAAAATAACGTTCAAAGTTACAAAGGAGGCAAATTTAAATTTAACATAAGAACTTTCCAACAAATCACAGCTGGTTTTCAAAAGAAGTATTCTTTCAGGAGGTAAGACATACCATCTTACCCTTAGCCCCAGCCCTTAGGAGGTATTAATCTAAGGCAAGCTCAGATCATCCATTAACCATCTCTGAGAGCATGTTATATAGCAGTCTTCCCACCTCTTTCCCCTTAATATTTTGGTACGGGTTGAAATGAGGTTAAAATGAACATAAATTCTGAAGGGACACAGGAGTAGTCTGATGGTCACTGCGGGGGCAGTCTGATGGACACTGGAGGGCACAAAAGCAGTTGTAACTCCTTGTCTTGCCTGGAGGGTCTGTGGACTGATTCTAGGCACATAAACCACCTTTCTAGCACTCTAGTGTGGCCTCTGCCTCCTTGGGCTATTGCTCACCTACCAGGAACTCTACCAACCTAAAAAATTAAACTGTCTTGGTATGAAGAAAACTGGTTAACAATTTAGAAAACAATCTAAATCCTTACTTTATACCACAAACCCCAGATGGAGCTATAAAGGAATGATTCATTTGAGTTTGTTGAGTAGCAGAAGAAATAAAAAGACTGATCCAGTTATTTAAAATGTTGACTCTCTGTTCCTTGAGAAATAATCAAATTCTAAGAAAAGTAACAGAATGGGAGAAATAACAAAGGACTGAAATGTAGATAATATAAAGACCTTAAAACCAAAATAACAATTGCTCAATAAACAAGAAAAGAATTCACACAAGATGGAAGAGTGGAAAAAATCAGTAAACACACATGAAAAAATACTGAATTTTCCTAGCTATTAAAGAGATGCAAATTAAAATGAGTCTATATTTATGCCTGTTATATGTTCAATCCATTTAGATATTTACACTACCATTTAATTTCTAATTGGACAAAATTAGAAAATAATAAAAAATGTTGAACAATAAGAAAAGTTAAATCTTGATTTACCAACTTTATAACTTTATAAAATATTATGTAATTAATTTTGTAAAAATTATGTAATTAAAATTAATAAGTATTAGAGTTATAGTATTATAGTTAACATAGTTTAAAAATACTATGTAGTATAGACTAGGCAGCAACATGATAAATGCTCACATATACAAGTGTAAAACACAAAAAGCAGAATTCAAAGTTGTCCTTACTAGGGACAAAGATTAGAAGAAAAACAAAAGCTTTGGAGTATTTTTCCATATACTATTTTTACAGTATTGCATATTTTTTTAACAGTACCACAAAATCTAAGAATACCTATAGCTGATTCTGTACTATGTGGTAATCTTGAATAGATAAACACGGAGGTTCCTTCATACTTTAAATCTTTGACTTTTAAAAGATGACTCTGGCCGGTGCGGTGGCTCATGCCTGTAATTCCAGCACACTGGAAGGCCGAGGTGGTTGATCACCTGTGGTCAGGAGTTGAGACCAGCCTGGCCAACATGGTGAAACCCCATCTCTACCAAAAATACAAAAGTTAGCCAGGCGTGGTGGCGGGTGCCTGTAATCCCAGCTGCTTGGGAGGTTGAGGCAGGAGAATCGCTTGAACCCGGGAGGAGGCTGCAGTGAGCTGAGATCGCGCCACTGCACTCCAGCCTGGGTGACAGAGCAAGACTCTGTCTCAAAAAAAAAAAAAAAAAAAAAAAAAGAAAGATGACTTGAACCAATATATGCTGTCTAAAATAGATGTGTTAACTTTTAGGATTGAAGTCTTTATTTTTTTTGAGACGGAGTCCCAGAGGCTATCAAGTCTACTGCAGATTTTTAGGTAAGTGATGATTGTAGCCTGTACCAGAGAAATGAACGGATCCTAAACTTCATTTCAAATTTCAAAAAAAGAATAAATTTTATGCTACTTTAGAAAGTTTCAATTGGAAGCCAAATTTATACTTGCCTATACATAGGATCTTAAGCAAAGATCAAAAAGGTTGATTTGTTTAAGGACTGAGAGATTAGAAAATTAAATCAACTTTCTAAACAAAGTTTTGCAGTTTATTTTTTTAAATTCCAGGTACAGATATATTGCTTGCAGAAAAAAAATCAATTGTGGGGCCAGAGTTAAAAGGGTGAGCATGGTGGTTCGCGCTTATAATCCTAGCACTTTCAGAGGCCGAGGTGGGAGGATCTCTTGAGCCTGGGAGTTCGGGATCACCCTGGATAACATAGCAACACCCCACCACTACCAAAAGAAAAAAAAAAAAATTAGCCCAGCATGGTGGTGCCAGCCTATAGTCCCAGCTACTCTGGAGGTTGAGGTGGGAGGACTGCTTGAGGCTGGAGTGAGCCAGGATTGCACCACTGTATTCCAGTTAGGGTGACAGTGATACCTTGTCTCAAAAAAAAAAAAATTTTTTTTTTTTAAATTTTGAGACAGAGTTTCACTCTCGTCACCCACGCTGGAGTGCAATGGCATGATCCTGGCTCACTGCAACCTCCGTCTCCTGGGTTCAAGCAATTCTCCCGCCTCAGCCTCCCAAGTAGCTGGGATTACGGGTGCCCGCCACCATGCCTGGCTAATTTTTGTATTTTTAGTAGAGATGGGGTTTCACCATGTTGGCCAGGCTGGTCTTGAACTTTTGACCTCAGGTGATCCACCCGCCCTGGCCTCCCAAAGTGCTGGGTTTACAGGTGTGAGCCACTGCGCCAGGCCCCACAAAATTTTTTAAAGCTCATTCTTACCTTAAAAAACCTTCCCAGCTGCTGCTGTTTGTCAAACTGTAAAATCATGACATTATGTTTAACTGCCATCCTAGAACTTATATACACTCAAGTGAAAGCTGTTCTTTAATCATATTGGGATGCTGGTTGTTTTGACACTGCTGCCAATACTTAAAATTTTTATTTTCATATTTCTTCTTTTGAAAACATATTCACCACATTTACCTCAACTCAACAAGAAGCTGATAACTCTAAAGCAATTAGAACAAGAAATTAACTGGTTTAGAGTGATTGGGTGCCTTTAAAATACCTGGCTTTTTATGCGAAAAGAAAAGGGCAATTAATTCTGCATAGTGAAGTTAGACAGCCAAAGATATGACATTGGAGTTGGGCCTCCAAGGAGTTGTAAGGAAGATAAGGAAACCTATAAAGAGAACAGCATGCATAAATACTCGAGGTGGAAAATTCCTAGTGAGAACAGGGTATGATGGCTGCACTGAAGGGGACATAGGGGAGAGAACGGCTGCAGGTAAACTGTGGCCATTTTATAAAGAATCTCCTATATTTCCTGAAGGAGAATGGACTATGTGAGTAAAAAGTTCAAATCATGTCATTCTCCTTCCCCACTTTTAAGAAAATGATAGTGTAGAAGAGGGAAGAAAGAGATACTGAAGAAGTCAAACAGGAGATTCTAGGTAGGATTCTAGGCACAGCACCAGGGGTCTTGATGAAATAGGGGTACTGTAGGGATGTGTCGGAGAAACCGTCAAGATTTAAAGGCCAAGTGGATCTGTGTGGAGAGAGTGAATGTGTATTTATATGCTTGGGAGGTAGAAATCAGAGGAGTGGGCAAGTATAGTCAAGGATGCTTTCAGAGCACGTGCTTTAAACATACTAATTTAGAGCTGTAAACATCTGGGAACTATCCAGATGGTTGTCTAATAGGTGTCTAGAAATTGGGCTGTTTTAATTATAAATTTAAGTCATCAGCACAAGGGAGTGAATAGTCCTGAATGAGTGAGATTACTAGTGGGAGGGGCAGAATTACAATATGGCTGCAATGAAATCATGGGGGAAACAGGTGGAAGGGGAAAGACCAGAGGCAAAGATAGGGAGAGAGCAGTGTCAGAGAGGTCAATAGAGGAGTTAGTTTCCAAGGCTTCCAGTGGGAGTTGATAAGGGGAGAGAAAAATGGGATTCAGAAAAGGATAGAACAGGGATCAGCATTTTTTCTTTCTGTAAAGGGCCAGGTAATACCTTACGCTTTGCAAGCTAGTCTTTAGCTCAGAAGTCATACAAAAACAACAGTAGCTTGCCAACCCCTAGGTTAGAGATATATCAAGATTCTAAGTGTTCAAGCCAAGCTATGCTTTACAATTTCTACTGGAAATGGATCCAATGTCAATATATTACTTCGTCTAGACCTATGGGTATTCTGCAGTTAGGAACAGAGGCCGAAGACCGAAAAACTGCTGCCAGGAAAATTAAGGATGCTAGTAAGAGTATAAAAATGATTGTATATAGGAAAGGGTATCAAGTGAGGAGGAGTCTTGAGACTGGAAGAATAGCAATAAGAGAAGCACTCTTACAGTCATACCACAGTAAGACTCTTTTTTTTTGAGATGGAGTCTCACTCTGTCGCCCAGGCTAGAGTGCAGTGGCGCGATCTTGGCTCGCTGCAAGCTCTGCCTCCCAAGTAGCTGGGACCACAGGCATCTGCCACCACGCCCGGCTAATTTTTTGTATTTTTAGTAGAGACGGGGTTTCACCGTGTTAGCCAGGATGGTCTCAATCTCCTGACCTCGTGATCTGCCCACCTCGGCTCCCCACAGTGCTGGGATTACAGGCGTGAGCCACCGCGCCCGGCCCACAGTAAGACTCTTTAATAGTTTTCTTTTTTTTTTGAGACGGAATCTCTCTCTGTCACCCAGACTGGAGTACAGTGGCATGATCTCGGTTCACTGCAACCTCCACCTCCCAGGTTCAAGTGATTCTCCTGCCTCAGCCTCCTGAGTAGCTGGGATTACAGGCACCCTCAGCAACGCCGGACTGATTTTTTTTTTTTTTTGAGACTGAGTCTTGCTCTGTCTTGCCCAGGCTGGAGTGCAGTGGTGTGATCTCGGGTCACTGCAGCCTCCGCCTAACGGGTTCAAGTGATTCTCCTGTCTCAGCCTCCCGAGTAGCTGGGATTACTGGGGCCCACCACCATACCTGGCTACTTTTTTGTATTTTTAGTAGAGATGGGGTTTCACCATGTTGGACAGGCTGGTCTTGAACTCCTGACCTTAGGTGATCCACCCGCCTCGGCCTCCCAAAAGTGCTAGGATTACAGGCATGAGCCACCGTGCTGGGCCAAAGTGCTGGAATTTACAGGCATGAGCCACCACCCCCGGCCAGTTTTCTTAAACTTGATTCCCTTTTTTTTTTTTTTTTTTTTTGCCTTGGTTTTGGGAGTGAAGATGACCTCTCTCAACTACTACTGCAATTCCACATGATCACCAGGATGATACTAAACTTTTAGAAATAAGTTTAAAATAGGGTTTTCTTAAAAGCTTTCTTTTTTTCCGACTTTAGTGAGCATCGGAATAAGCCTTATTTCTTTACAGCAAGATTTCTCAACCTTATTACTAATGACATTTTGAGTCTGGTAATTGTTACTAAGGGAGACAGGGGACTGTCCTGTGAACTACAGGATCTTTAGTAGAATCCCTGGCCATCACCTCCCCCTCCATGTGACAACCCAAAACGTCTTCACACATTGCTATACCCCCAAAGGGCAAAAATCACCTAGTTGAGAATCACTTCATTATAGATGATTGCCTGGTTTCCCTTAAAAATATATCCCCACTTGAAATAAAAATGAGGTTAGTTGCCCCAGAATATTTCCAGATATATTCAAACAGGATCTGGGTTAAAAAATCTGGTATGTCAAACCTTACAAAGTACCTCATCAGGCTGGGCACAATGGCTAACACCGGTAATCCCAGCACTTTTGAGAGGTCAAGGTGGGAGGATCACTTGAGCCTGGGGAATTGGAGACCACCCTGGGCAACACAGTGAGGCCTTGTGTCTGTAGTCCCAGCTACTGGGGAGGTTGAAGCAGGAGATCACTTGAGCCCAGGAGGCTGGGGTTGCAGTGAGGGGAAACTGTGCCACTGCACTCCAGCCTGGGCCACAGAGCAAGACCCTGTCTCAAACAAACAAACAAAAAAACCCCACAAAGTACCTCCATCAAACTCCATGTCAAGTCAGACCAGAAATCTTTTATCTGGCATTACAGGAGGGGGAAAAAATACTTTTCCTTTAAGACTTAGATCCCATTTCATGAAATAATCTCACTAATAACAAAGAGGATGGGTGGGACTATACACAACTGACTAAAATGGTGTTGAGTACTTGAGGTACAGTGGCTCTCGTCTGCAATCCCAGCACTTTGGGAGGCTAAGGCAGAAGGATCATTTGAGCCCAGGAGTAAACCAGCCTGGGGAACAAAGCCAGACCCTGTCTCTGCAAAAATAATTTTAAGTTAGCCCGGCAGGATGGTGTGTGCCTGTAGTCCCAG
This sequence comes from Homo sapiens, assembly GCF_000001405.40. Taxonomy (NCBI): domain Eukaryota; kingdom Metazoa; phylum Chordata; class Mammalia; order Primates; family Hominidae; genus Homo; species Homo sapiens. Next base: position 146,310 of record NW_003315917.2, read on the forward strand.
CTACAAGGGAGGCTGAGGCAGGATGATCACTTTAGCCCAGGAGTTCAAGGATGCAATGAGCTATGATCAGGCCACCACACTCCAGCCTGGGCAACAGAGCAAGACTCTGTCTCAACCAAATGAAATGGTTTAAGTACTGGTAGGAGAGGACCCAAAGAAGAGGAAGACAAGTGCCTTATACTGGATTGTCCTTGGTCTGGTGTCACCATTGCTCTCAATGCTATTAATGCTCTAATTAGTTTAGAAATGTTAAATTGAGTGAAAGTAACATTGGAATGCATGAATGAAATTGACTATTATGTGACTCAGAAATCACTTGTCAAAAATGGTGGTGTTCAACAGTGAGGAACAAAACCACATTTCATATAGATATAAAACAGAAAGGCCGGGCTGGGCGCGGTGGCCCACGCCTGTAATCCCAGCACTCAGGGAGGCCAAGGTGGGTGGATCACGAGGTCAGGAGATCGAGACCAACCTGGTTAACACGGTGAAACCCCGTCTCTACTAAAAATACAGAAAATTAGCTGGGCGTGGTGGCAGGTGCCTGTAGTCCCAGCTACTTGGGAGGCTGAGGCAGGACAATGGCGTGAACCTGGGAGGCAGAGCTTGCAGTGAGCCGAGATTACACCACTGCACTCCAGTCTGGGCGACAGAGGGAGACTCCGTCTCAAAAGAAAAAAAAAAAAGGAAAGGCCAGGTGAGGTAGCTCACACCTGTAATCCCAGCACTCTGGGAGGCCGAGGTGGGCAGATCACTTGAGGCCAGGAGTTCAAGACCAGCCTGGACAACATGGCAAAAGCCCATCTCTACTAAAAATATAAAAATTAGCCAGGTGTGGTGGTGCACACCTGTAATTCCAGCTACTTGGGAGGCTGAGGTGCAAAGATAGCTGGAACCTGGGACATAGAGGTTGCAGTGAGCTGAGATTGTGCCACTGCACTGCAGCCTGGGCAACAAAATGAAATTCTGTCTCAGGAAATAAAATAAAATGAAATGGAAAATGAGTAGTTGTATGATAGCAAATAAAAATCTAGGTTTTAGAAACTATAACCTTGATAAATTGACGTTCTTTTGGACAAAAAAATATTTTAAATTAAAAAAAATATATATATATATAAACACTATAACCTAATTATCAGCCCTGGATCAAAAATGAACATGATACTGGCTTATAGTATCAGGAATATGAAAAACAAAGATGCTCAAAATTAACCTGCAAAAAGAGACACTTATAAATTTTTTTTTAAAAAGTGGAGACATACTGGGAGACACTAAGGGTCCTTAATATAACCAAAAGGACAGAAAAATGGGACCTAGGAAGTTGGGCAATTGAGGAAGATAATCAAAGCAGGTTAAGAATTCACTATGAATAAAAATCCTGACCAACTGGTCTCTCCAAAGGGGAGTCATGGTTATACTTCAGCAATCTGAGAGAACAGATCACAAGAGTGACGTACACACCAGAGATCATACTATGATCTATGTATCTGAAGACGTTTAAGGTGACACTCTAGTGGTCAAAAATAGACTGCAGTACTGCAAATTGCTGCAACTGCCAACTGTTACTCCTCTTGGTGACAACAAGGAGAAAATTGCTTTTAAAAACATAACTGCCAAAGCACCAACAATCGAATGAATGACAACTTTATTTTTCTTACACTTTTAAGGCTGATGAAAAACCTTCATTTCAATTGAAAAGTATGGTAACTGTGTTTACTCATTATTATTAGTTTTCTAAAACACAACTTGAAAACATCCAGCATGCATGTTTAATATCAGTACAATGAATTCAAGACCAAGTATACATGTTACATTCAGCAAGGCTAGATTACAGATTATCATAGTCATCATCATCATCATCGTCATCATCATCATCTTCACGTTTTCTTTTCAATGCATTTGATGATTCATTGGCAGTATTTTGTGATGACATCATATTAGTGGTAATAAGAATGTTTTTGGACCCGATTAATGATGGATTAATCAGAACATTCTGAACTGCTGAGGTTGCAGGAATTGAAGCTTTTACAGCTGGAGACTGAGAAGTAGGCATCTGTACTGTAAACCTTTGACCTGTGAGGGACATGGGAGTCCCTACTTTAGTTGAAACAGACATGGTCTGTGGGGTTGGTGTGCCTAGTGTGGGAGTACTTGGTCTGCTAGTAACTGAACCAACACTTAACCGCGGGACTGTTATTCTTCCCGCAGAAGTTGATGCCTTTTTCTGTAAAGATTTCAGCCTATAGTTTGGAGCTGTTAAGCAGTATCTATCAGGTGGCAACCTAGGACCTGAATATGGCTTGATCAATGGCAAAGGGGTTTGATTTCTTTGCCTTGCAATATCTAATAAAAAATCTCTTGGGGGAGGAGAGGTAAAAGACTGATCAGCGCGGCACTGGATTGCCAATCGCACATCATCTGCATCAACAGTAGCTTTCTTAGCATGGCTTGAATAAATTTTTGCATCATCTAGAATTGTGGTCACATATCGGAAGGCAAACTCCAACATCTGATTTATAACTCTTGGCTCATATTCTGTAATCCCCATATCCTTCAGGATTTGTGCCATCATCTGTGCATCTTTCGGCATGCTCTTGGGAGAAGCCGTCTTGCCAGACTCCATGATATCCGATGATCAGACTTTAGATCATTTGAAAAAAATATGTACATTAGATCAATCTGAAATAGTTACTTTAGTAGCAACTGTCAGGAACTTAAAAAAATTTTAAATCTATGTTAAACTGTAAAAAAATTTTTAAAATTTAAACCATATGTTTTCTTAATTTTAATGAGGCAACTTAAGGTCGCTTTAATTTATTGAGTTCCTACCATGTACAAATCATTGTCGACTATAAAAAGATGAAGACACAAATAAGGGAGCGATGAAAGATTAGGGGAAAACAGGGTAAAATAAATAAAAACAATGATCATCTTAGAATATATGCAGTTGCATGCAAATCTCACACTAATCTAAGATACCATAGCATAGTCAGGTCCCACACCTGAGCTCAAAACAGTCTCTTTCCAGTGAGACCAATATACTCACTGTGCTCATATATATGTTTAGCAGTACCAAACCTTTGTTTGTTCAACTTAAAAACATTCTCCTTATTCACATTCTACCTATCCGAAATCCAGTCTCTTTATAGGAGCCTTCCCAACTATTCACAAGAATTGCCAGCCATTTTGAAGGCGGAAGGGAAAATGGTCAAAATAACCAGGACATAGCATTAGACACTTAATATTTCTGTGGATTCCCTAACAGAGTATATATTCTTTAATGGCAATCTCTGTTTTTTGTACCCTATGACAATACCCAGCACTAACACTCCACTTACCAGACCTTAAAAAAAAAACAAAACAAATCTAACACCAAAGTGTCCCTTACCTTCTCGAGCTAAATCACCCACATTAATGTATTTCAGTCCTGATTTTGACGCAAGTTCTTTGCCTAGTGTGGTTTTTCCAACCCCTGGTGTACCTGTAAGACAAGCCACAGAAAAATACTGTTTGTGAAATACTACTTATCACACTGCGGTCCACCTTCTGCCTTTCCTTTTATTTTTGAGACAGAGTCTCACCTGGCCTCTGCCCTTAAAAGTTCTTGACGACTGAAATGAAAAATTTCCTAATTAGCAATCATATGTAAAATTTTTTTTTTGAGACAGAGTTTCACTCTTGTCGCCCAGGCTGGAGTGCAGTGGCACAATCTTGGCTCACTGCAACCTCCACCTCCCAGGTTCAAGCGATTCTCCTGCCTCAGTCTCCTCAGTAGCTGGAATTACAGGTGCCCACCACCATACCCAGCTAATTTTTGTATTTTCAGTAGAGACCGGGTTTCACCATATTGGCCAGGCTGGTCTCAAACTCCTAACCTCAGGTGATCTGCCAGCCTCGGCCTCCTAAAGTGCTGGGATTACAGGCGTGAGCCACCATGCCTGGCCATATGTAAATTAGCATGTACTACGATCTAATAAAAATTTTCCAAAGCTAACTGAATGTCAGAATATTACCCAGTGTATTGATTCTCCAGGGGTGGGGCTCAGCAGATTCTGACGCCAATTCAAACTGCCTGCTGCTACCGGGGAACTGCTGAGAATAAAATTAGCCATCTCGTGCTGGGCGCAGTGGCTCATGCCTGTAATCACCGCACTTTGGGAGGCCGAGGCGGGCAGATCACAAGGTCAGGAGATTGAGACAATCCTGGCCAACATAGTGAAACTACATCTCTATTAAAATACAAAAATTAGCCGGGCGTGGTGGCGCGTGCCTGTAATCCCAGCTACTCAGGAGGCTGAGGCAGGAGAATCCCTTGAACCAGGTAGTTGTAGGATGCAGTGAGCCAAGATCGCGCCACAGCACTCCAGCCTGGCGACAGAGACTCCATCTCAAAAAAAAAAAAAAAAAAAATTAGCCACCTCGAATCAATTACAATAATTTATTTACCTTTTTCTTTTTTTAAAGACAAGATATCTCTTTGTTACCTAGGCTGGAGTGCAGTGGAACTTGGCTCACTAGAGCCTTTACCTCCTGGGCTCAAGCAATCCTCCCATCTCAGCCTGTCCGGTAGCTAGGACCACAGGTATGCACCACCATGCCCTGGTTAATTTTTGTAGAGACGGGGTTTGGCTATGTTGCTTAGGCTAAGCTCAAACTCCTGAGCTCAAGCGATCTCCCCACCTCCACCTCCCAAAGTGCTGGGATTTACAGGCATGAGCCACCCACCTGGCCTATTTGCTTTAACTTATAAAGATTTAAAAACTGTTCATGGCCACGTGTGGTGGCTCGCGCGTGTAATCCCAGCAATTTGGGAGGAGAAGGCGGGAGGATCGCTTAAGCGCAGGAGTTCGAGACCAGCCTGGCCAACATAATGAGACTCTGTCTCAAACAAAAACAAAAACAAGAACAAAAACAAAACTGTTCATGTTAAAATTAAGCAGTCTGAAAATTACCTCTACTGACCCCTTGCGCCCTTCCCTAGAGATAACCACTGTAAACCAGTTTCCTTTCCCAAAGAAACCCTATTTATGTTTGCATGTAAATGTACATATATGTACATACTCTTTGTTATATAAATACAACACATATTCCCTTTTACATAAATGACAATACTATATACATTGTTCTTTACCTTCCCCTTCTGATACCTATTAAAATTACATTTCAAGATCATCAAATTCATAATTTTCAGCTATTCAGATTTAACATCCCTGAAATTAAACTTAAGCATAAAGATAACAGGGATAATCCAGTTCCCATACCCAGGAGAATAACGGTCACCTCAAGTCCACTATAATACACCAAGTCTGAACCCTGGACTCAACATGTTTTCAATAAAATGTTCACTTTAAAGTTTTGACAATGACTTAATAACCAGGGCACTATGTTTGATCCATGCAAAAAGATGTAAAATCTTCCGCTTAAGGAATCTAAAATTCTAAACGTTATTTGTGGGGTGGTTAATCTGCACCTCTCAGAAACAGACATGTCTTGTGCGCTGCCAACAATTTTACCTTTGGGTGAATGATGTAACTTTACTGTTCCCACAAAGAGTCTTAATTTTTCTGTACCTTGTAATAAAATCTACATGCATTAGATTTTTCCACGAATGGCCTACAATTTGATAAACACTTTCAGGACTAAACGGCTAGCAAAAATATTCGTTAAAGTCGTTATGCAGCATTTTAATTCCCTTCACTGATAACACGCACCCTGAGTATGGCTTCAAAGACCCACTCCTACGCGAGAAACGACCCGAAATGCTCTATATGCCTTCCTTTTAAGGGGCGGGGGGATCCTTTGATGTAACTCAACAAAAGCATACAGCAATTTCGTCACGTCACAAACATCTGAACTCGTTTACCGAAATCTAATCTGAGGCGTTTATCAGAAGCAAAGAAAAAATAAAATACGGCCCACGGAGGCCTAAGGAGTGAGGCATCCACCATTAATGACTCTACCGGGAAGCAGATATGGCCTTACGTTATTTCGCTAAAAATCCCAAGGCCAACCCTGCCAAAGAATCAACAACCCATTTTACAAACGAAATACCAGATTCAGAAAGACTAAGCAGGTTGCCAAGCTGGAGAGCTGGATCTGCCGACCTCTCTCCACCCCCCCCCGCCCCCCCCCGGAGCCTCAGGCCAACGGAATTAACGTTCCGCGTCCCCTCCCTCGCCTCCCGCAACGCCCGCGAGGGTCGGCTCCCGGGGCGCTGACAACCGCCTCGTGGCCCTCGGCCGGCCTCTGAAGAGGGCAGTGAGGGGCCCCCACCTGGGCGCCCGATGCCCAGAGCACTCTGCGCCCCCAGCCTGCCCCAGCCCAGTCCCTCCCGGCCGCGCGCCCTGACCGGTGAGCAGGATGTTCGGAAGCAACATGGTCCCCGCCGCGACGGCTTCGGGCGCCTCGCTCACGTGCCCTTTGCTCTACAGGGAGGAGCCGGAAGGGGCGGGCGGCAGCAAAAGCCCACGGCCCCAAAGGCCCCGAAGCCCACCGCGGCGCCCCTAGCCTGCCCCGGCGGCCCAGCCGCGGCCCACTGGTTACCTGGCTTTCGATGACACATTTCCGTCGCAAAGTTGGAGGGTGGGCATAACTCGGGTCGGTACTTCGGGTCAGGCAGTGCGCTGGATGCCTAAGTCACACACTCCTTCGGTGGTCCCCGCCCTTCGCTTGCGCCGACCAGTCTGGAAGGTCCCCGGGAGGCCGTACCTCCGAGAGGCTCGGCGTTGAGCCCGGGTAGGGCCAGGTGGCTGCCCTTTCACCTAGGGTAGTCCCTGGTCGCCTCCGCTCTTCGCCCAAAAGGGGATGCAGCTCCGGGAAAGTAAGGCCGCCGCGGTTGCGGCTATATTATGTATATGTCTTAGAGACGCGAGTCTATCTCTGCCTTCAAGCTTTCCTGGGCTCTCGTCGCTCCTCCTCCCGACCCGCCCATCCCATCTGGGGATGAGAAGATTGAGGGTGCAGAGCCCTGTCCTGCAGCGGGGATTTGCGAGCTCAACCCGGCACCCCACTGATTACAGGATTACGTTGGACGAATATTTGAGCTTAGTATTCCCTGTTCACTGTGTGGGGTGGTGGTGGGTCGGCTAGGAATAGTCTTGAAGGTCTACCTCTGACATCTCATTTCAGTAACCTCGCATCTTCAGGGACAGTTATCTGCTTTTTAAAGGAGGTAATTGTCAATCTTGTTTTCAAGAGTGAATAGAGACCTGACCGTGACAACAGTCTGCACCTTTTTTTGTTTGTTTGTTTGTTTTTGTTTTGTTTTGAGACGGAGTCTCACTCTTGTCGCCCAGGCTGGAGTGCAACCTCCGCCTCCTGGGTTCAAGTGATTCTCCTGCCTTAGCCTCCAGAGTAGCTGGGATTACAGGCGCCCACCACCACGCCCGGCTAATTTTTGCATTTTTAATAGAGACGGGGTTTCACCATGTTTTGGCCAGGCTGGTCTCAAACTCCTGACCTCAGATGATCCGCCCGCCTCGTCCTCCCACGGTGCTGGGATTACAGGCATGAGCCACCGCGTCCGGCCCCTGGTCTGCATCTTTTATTTCGAGCTACAAACTATATTTACTCAAATAGGTGTTTTTTTTCCACCTGTATACCTTTTGAAACGTCACAGTCTCTAATCGTGAACGATTTGGGGCGGAGGGCTGAACAATGTGTTTTCTAGTGTGTCGAGGTGTTTATAGGCTATGTGTGCCTCCAAACTGTAAAGTAGTCCAGTATACTTTCCAATGTATAAGTTTGTAGACCTTAAACTTTTCTTCTGGCTAACTTAAAATCGTTGAATTCACTAGTTTGCATAAACATTTAAGAATTTGAAAACACGGTTGAAAAACAGTGTTACCAAGAAATTTTGTAATAACATGTTCAAATGAAGACAAAAATTTTACAGTTTAAGACTTAAATTCTTCGTCCACAGCAAGTGAATTCATGGTATTTTACTTTTTTGGGAAATACTGGAAATGAAGACCTGCAACTGTAATTTGAAATAAGGAAAACTTTAATTTTCAGTATAAAAATTGCTCAAATAGAATTGCCTGATTTTAATGACAAAAGGTAAGTACATAGTATGTGTGGTTTTTTTGTTTTTTTTTTTCTAATACATCATTGAGTTCATGTGAAAAACTCTTAACACCACAAGTAGATTATTTGATACAGTTATAGTCATTAAAATTATTTTAGAATTTTGATTTCTTGTATCACTTAAATTTACTGTTCTTTTTCACTAGTTCTTGAGCCTTTATTGTATTGTTGATTATATCAGTATACATTTATTACTATAATTGGGCATTTACAGTTTTTCTTCATTTGAGGGCTTCTTCCCCCCCCCCCCAGGTGAATTATAGTTTAATGTACTGCAAGTCCTAAACTACGGATGGGAACTATTACAGTTTATAATGTCAAAAACTTTTCTTAGACCAAAGGTATCTTCCACAAAGGTATGATACACTGGAATGGCCATGTAATAATTGCCTTAAAATAATTATAAATTTTTATATATATTCTTAATAACTTATTACTGCTATCAAAGTAATAGAGCCGAGTATCTATTGTAATTAATGATTTAAGCAAGTCTGGTAATAAGTTGTGAAACAAGTGTTCTCTAAAAGCACAACCTTAATTTTGAAAAAGTGTTTTACAGTCCCAGTCACAAAGGCTGAAAACATTTGAATGAAAGAACATAGAAGAGAGAAATATGAGTGGTAGTTGGTGTTATAGCTTAACCAAAAGCACTGCTTCTTAGAAGTAATGTAATTCAGTGTGTGAGTTCTCAGCAAGATAGGGGTTAAGGTGGGATGGGGGTCAGACAGTTTCATGCATGCAGGGTAGCTATTTCCCTAAGTGGTAGCTCTAAATTTTCTTTGATGTTAAGTAAGTTACTTAACTTTGCTGTTTATCTTTCTCTTTTTTTCAGTATATGGGAGTCCACATTTATGTAAGAAATGAAACTATAAAATGTATAAATAATTTGCAAATCAGAATTGCTGTCGAAAGTTTTACTATAATGAAAGATATTTTCATACTCTCAAAAATATAGAGGAAAGGGGCCAAGATTATAGTACCAGTCACAATCTTTTGATGAGGACGAAATGAATCAGGTAGCTATGACTAAAATTTTTTCCAGTGGTCTTCCTTTTTTAATCCACTGCCGATAATATTCCTAACTCTGTCTTAAAAGAAGAGTGAAGTGTGACTTAGCATTCGTAAAGTATTTATAAGCCCCAAATTGTCTCCCCTAAGCCTACTTTCAGCTCCAACTTCTGGTTCATTTTCTTCAAGAGAGGAACATTGTCTAATAAATAGCTCAACTGTGGCTGAGTATTCTTGAAAGAAATATATAACTTGGTTTCTTTTTGTTAGCCAGGCAGTAGATTCTACAACCAGATCTGAAGCTATATTTTTCTAGATTTATGCTATTAGAGTGTTAAAAAATCTAGTAAAAATTTCTAATTTCTAATTATTTGTAATTATTAGCTAATAATTTCTAATTATTAGCAAAATTTTTTTTTTGAGACAGGGTCTCACTCTGTTGCCCGGGCTGGAGTGCAGTGGGGTGATCATGGTTCACTGCAACCTTGACCTCCCGCGCTCAAGTGATTCTCCCACCTTAGCCCCCCAAGTAGCTGGGAATACAGGCGTGCGCCACCATGCCTGGCTAATTTTTTATTTTTTGTAGAGTTGGGGTCTCCCTATGTTATGCTAGCTGTTCTCAAACTCCTGGGCTCAGCAATCCTACTGCCTCTGCCTCTGAATGTGCTGGAATTATAGGTGTGAGCTACCACACCCAACCATTCCCAGGCATTTCTGAGTGACAGTTCCCCCTCTGGAAAGCCTGCCTCAATTATAAAAATATTAGTTGCTTCATACACTGAAGAAAAATATAATCCAGTCATAATTACAGATTACGTTATGATCTTTGGCCTATATCTTCACTAAGTCTTCAAGCTGATACGGATTATTTGGATGTATGAAATGGTTCTTAGTTTGTGAATGTATTAACCTGGCCAAGGCAGATATATTACTCTTATTGCTGTTTCTGTTAAAATATTATCATTTGTTTATTTTGTTTTGCTTTTTTTAATAGGTAATTTTAATATTTATGTTTCAATCCTACAGAGAGTTTAAAAAAATCATTCTAGTGTTTATGCTGGGAAGGTTACAATTAATAAAAATAAGTTTGTGTTCTTTACTCCTTTAAGGTCAAGTAGACAAGTATGCACTTGCACTTACTGTAAAGTAGAAAAACAACTATTACAGACAGAGTTTTATTTAAAAAGAGTTAATTTGTAAGATTTTTAGGCCGGGTATGGTGGCTTATACCTTTAATCCCAGCTCTTTGGGAGGCTGATGTGAGAGGATCACTTGAGCCCAAGAATTGTTTGAGACCAGCCTGGGCAACATGGCAAAAACCCATCTCTACAAAAAATACAAAAAAATTAGTTGGGCATGGTGGTGCATGCCTGTAGTCCCAGTTACTCAAGAGGCTGAGGCTGGAGGATTGCTTGAGCTGAGATTATACCACTGCAGTCCAGCCTGGGTGACAAAGTGAGACCCGGTCTCAAAAAATTTTTTTTTTTTTTTTTTTTTTTTTAGTTTTAAAGGTTATAAATATATGAATATGTTGTTTCCAGAGTAGTTCAGTTATTTGGGGGAATAGATGGGAGAAAATGTGATTATATTTACATGATTTCTTTTTTTTTCAGGTAACAGACTGGGTTGACCCATCATTTGATGATTTTCTAGAGTGTAGTGGCGTCTCTACTATTACTGCCACATCATTAGGTGTGAATAACTCAAGTCATAGAAGAAAAAATGGGCCTTCTACATTAGAAAGCAGCAGATTTCCAGCGAGAAAAAGAGGAAATCTATCTTCCTTAGAACAGATTTATGGTTTAGAAAATTCAAAAGAATATCTGTCTGAAAATGAACCATGGGTGGATAAATATAAACCAGAAACTCAGGTACTGAAAAGCATGCAGACATATCTACATAATTTAATTTCAGGGTGCATAAGGGTAGATGGGAAGCAGAGGGATTTACATTTTCAGATTTTTTACTCATAAGAATCTTTCTAAGTGTTAGAAAAAATTCTGGATTTTTTTATTTTCCAAGGCTTAGATTTTTCTCAATAGTTATTCTAAAGTTGTGTGATTAGTTGTCTTAGATTTAATTTAATCCCAACATAGAATTGATCTTTTTAAAAATTTTTGTACTAAATGTAATACTCCTCTCTACTGTCTTCTCAAAATGTATTTCTGAATTTTAAAAAATGTTATAACTGCAAACTTGCCAAAATTATCATACAGAGGTATCAACTTAAGAATATAATTTTTCCATAATAGTATAAAAATTCAAGTATAATCAAAAGGATCATTTTATTATATAGATTGTTACTGATTTGCTACTTCTTTTCGTTAATAATGCTTAGGTTCATATGTGCTGATGTACCAAAAAATCTTCAGTTAAGAAGTTTTGTTTTAAATTTGAAATTTTTGTTGTAGCATGAACTTGCTGTGCATAAAAAGAAAATTGAAGAAGTCGAAACCTGGTTAAAAGCTCAAGTTTTAGAAAGGCAACCAAAACAGGTAACTAAGAAATGTGTTTTTAAATATTTAACATCAAATATTTTTCTGACTTACAGTGTGTTGTTAGAAGTTAAAGTTTTATGATGATTTTGTTCAAAATAAGTCTAGATCTCCTGCAGTAGAAAGCTCCCTAGTGGGGCATGGTGACTCATGCCTGTAATCCCAGCACTTTGGGAGGCCAAGGCAGGAGGATCACTTGAGCCCAGGAGTTCGAGAGCAGCCTGGGCAACATAGGGAGACTGTCTCTACAGCTAATTAGCTGGGCATTGTGGTGCATGCCTCTGGTCTCAGCTACTTGGGAAGCTGAGGTGGGAGGATCGCCTGAGCCCAGAAGGTGGAAGCTGCAGTGAGCTGTGATCACACTAGTACACTCTAGCCTGGGCAACAGAGCAATACCAAAAACCGTAAAAAGCAAAACAAAACAAAAAGCGAAAAAGAAAGCTTCATGACTTTACTACTTCCAACTTGACTAAAAGACTCAGAGACTTTGAGTTTTCCCCTTTATTTGTAACTCTTTTTCTTTATGTCTTATTGTTAGCATAAAGAATCAGTAAACCAATTAGGGTGCTAGTGTATTTAGCACATCAGATTATCTCAGGCTGAGGAAAGCAGGCAAATTACATGTTAGTTTCTCTACTAAATATAGCCAAAAACAGTCATTATTTATTTTAGACTGATATTTTTTGTTTCACTTCCTTACTGCACAATTACCTTGAACCCCCAAGGTAGAATATTCTCTCCTTCCATCAGTCTCCCTTTTTAAATGTTTTTTATTTTGAGATTTTTCAAGCATAAAAGAAAATAGAATAATAAAAAAATATATATAGAATATACTCATTGTTTCCCCCTTAAGTATTTTAAAGTAAATTATAAACATTGTGACATTTCAGTTAGACTTTTAGATACTTCAGTATGTCTCTGTTTTTTTAAAAAAATGATTTTCCTAATTAATTATGCATACCATTATTCTCTCTAACAAAGTTAACCAGGATGCCGTAATGCTGTCTAATGATGAATTCATATTCACGTTTCTGCATTTGTCCCCAAAATGTCTTTTGTAGCTGGTTTGTTTCAAACAGGATAGGATCACACGTTGCATTTGGCTGTTATATATCTTAGGCCTTTTTTTTTTTCCCTGAATCTAATAATAGTTTACTAACCCTTTCTTTTCTCCAAGGCACTGACTTATGAAGGAGACCAGGCCGGTTGACTTGTAGAAGTCTCACACTGGATTTGTTAGGTTGTTTCCTCCTAATAATGATTAACTTATTCGTCTATCCTGCATTTCCTATAACCTGAAATTTTGAATCAAGGGCTTGATTAGACTCAAGTTGAACATTTTTGCAAGAATAAAGGTCATGTTGTATGTTGTATAGGGTGTCAAATTGGAAAGTATTTGTGGTTCTCCTGCTGTCTTAAGTTTGGTCACTAGATCAAAGAGATGAAAGTCAAAAATCTTCATTGTAGAGTAACTTTCCCTCACAACTGACACATAATCCATGGGGAGATACCGTGGCAGCATGTGAGTGCCCAGTTCTCCATCAGTCGTCCACCTAAGTGCTGTAGCTTCAGTTTTTCAATCCTTGCCTGAATCACTTATTTTATTAGAGTTGTACAGTAGTAACTTTCTTATAGTTCTGTTATTTCTACAGTTATTACTGGCATTTTTCTACAAAGAAAAGTTTGCCATCACTAGCTAGGGTTGTTTAGTTACCTTGAAATACATTTCCAACTAGAAAGGCAGGATAAGTTTTGTATCTTTTCCTTTTTTAAAAAATAGACTTATTTTTGGAGCAGTTTTAGGTTCACAGCCAAATTGGGTAGAAGGTACAGAGATGTACCTCATATCCCCTGCCCCAACACATGCATAGCCTTCTCCCGTTACTAACCTTCCCTCACCAGAGTAGTACATTTGTTAAAACTGATAAACCTACATTGACACATCACTAACACCCAGAGTCCATTGTTTACATTAGGTCTTTCCTTTAGTTTTCAACCTTGAGATGAAGGAGTTGGTGTTTTAGTTGCTTTGATGGTAACAGATCCTTCTCTCTTTTTTTTTTTCTCGAGAGTCTTGCTTTGTCACACAGGCTAGAGTGCAGTGGCATGATCTTGGCTCACTGCAACCTCTGCCTCCTGGGTTCAAGCGATTCTCCTACCTCAGCCTCCCGAGTAGCTGGAATTACAGGCATGCGCCACCACACGCAGCTAATTTTTGTATTTTTAATAGAGACAGGGTTTCACCGTGTTGGCCAGGCTGGTCTTGAACTCCTGACCTCAGGTGATTTACCCGCCTCGGCTTCCCTAAGTGCTGGGATTGCAGGTGTGAGTCATCACGCCCAGCCAATCCTCCTCTCTTGAACCAAGCTCCTTTCTCTCTGGCCTGTGGATCTAAACCTTTTGGTTTAGGGCTAAGATCATGAATTCAAGTTGGATTTTCAGTGTCAGCATTGGTATTCCTCTGATGTTTCATAGAAATCTCGTCTCTTGTCTCCGAATACAGATTTTTGGGCAGTCTATCTGACACACCTCTTACATCCAGGCTTTTTCTCATTGATTTGTTTTTGGTCAGCTTAGCTAATAGTTTTTATTTTTCAGTGTCCATTGTGTTTTCTCACTTAGCAATACTCCGTCAGTATAAACATTGTCACATCATAAACCTACATTGGTGTTACTATTATTATTCTACCAGTTGGATAAACTTAGGTATATATGTGTGTGTGTGTGTGTGTGTATATATATATATACACACACATATATATACGTATATATGTATATATATGTATATATGTGTATATATATACGTATATATATGTATATATATGTGTATATATATACGTATATATATGTATATATGTGTATATATGTGTATATATATACGTATATATGTATATATGTGTATATATATACGTATATATATGCATATATATGTATACATATATATGCATATATATGTATACATATATATATGCATATATATGTATACATATATATGCATATATATGTATACATATATATGCATATATATATGCATACATATATATGCATACATATATGCATGCATATATATATGCATACATATATGCATGCATATATATATGCATACATATATGCATGCATATATATATGCATACATATATGTATGCATATATATATGTATACATATATGTATGCATATATATATGTATACATATATATATGTATTGGGAAAAGTATTTATGGTTTCAAAAGTTTTCCCCCTAAGGAGTTGGACTTTAATCATATACTCTGTTTATTTGTTTATTAATTTTTTAGAGACAGGGTCTTGCTAGAGACGGTTGCCTACACTGGATTGCAGAGGTGCTGTCATAGCTCACTGCAGCCTTGAACTCCTGGGCTCAAGCAGTCCTCCCACCTCAGCTTCCTGAGTAGCTGGGGACTGCAAGTGTGTGCCACCGCATCTGGCTAATTAAAAAAAAATTTTTTTGTAGAGATGGGGTCTTATGGTGTTGCCCACGCTGGTCTTGAATTCCTGGCCTCAAGTAGACCTCCCACATTGGCATCCCACAGTGTCAGAATCAATAGGCATGAGCCACACCATGCCTGGCCCAAATCACTTACCATTTATTTTACAGAAGTTTCAGGGATGTCAGTAATTAGAAAATGTTTTTATTCAAAAAAATTGGTAAGATCTAGATTTATCAATGGGCAAACGAAATTTACTTTTCAAAATTTATTTTAAATACGATATACCAAATATTTGCAGAGTTTAATTTTTCAGGACAGCTTCTTTCCTTCAAAATTCAGTAAAACTCTGTTACAGTGTAGACAAATGGGATTAACAAGATTCTTCACATTATAATGTCCTGATAAGAAACTACCTCCTAGTTCTCTTACTGGAAGGGAAACTTGCTATGTGGCTGTACCCACTCTGTCAGAAAACAGGCACTTAAGTATATTATTACATGAGAAAAATGTATAATGCCTGTGCATAGGCTTCTTTTTCTTTGTAAAGAAGTGATCTGTCTGGTATTGTAGTTCTCATTATTCAAGGTAGTTATGTTCTGTAAAGTTGCTGAATTAGCAAATACTGAACCATTATTCTAAGAAAAACACTAAATTAGGTTTTTGCAAACCTCTGGTAACAACATTTTTGTCAACCCATCAATATATAGCCTTGTTGTATATGTGTTTTTATTTAAAGTTATTTAATGTTCAGTCATGCTTCAATTAATGATGGGGATACATTCTGGGAAATGTGTCATTAGGTGACTTCATTGTTGTGAGAATATCATAGAGTGTACTTACACAAACCTCCACCTAGGCTATATGGTATAGCCTCTTGCTCCTATGCTACAAACCTGTATAGCTTGTTACTGTATTGAATACTGTAGGCAATTATAACACAGTGGGAACTATATGTGTAAATAAACATACCTAAAGCATACCATTAAAAAGTACAGTAAAAAGGCCGGGCTTGGTGGCTCAGGCCTATAATCCCAGCACTTTGGGAGGTCGAGGTGGGTGGATTACCTGATGTCAGGAATTCGAGACCAGCCTGGCCAACATGGTGAAACCCCATCTCTACTAAAAATGCAAAAATTAGCCAGGCATGGTGGTGTGTGCCTGTAGTCCCAGCTATATGGGAGGCACAAGAATCACTTGAAAGCGGGTGGCGGAAGTTGCAGTGAGCTGAGACAGTGCCACTGTGCCCCAGCCTGGGCAACAGAACAGAGACTTTGTCTCAAAAAAAAAATATTTTTTGGTAAAAACATGGTTATAAAAGATAAAAAAAATGCTAGTATACATTTATATAGGGAACTTACCATGAATGGAGCTTGGACTGGAAAATGGTTAAGTCAGTGACTGTGAGTGGTTAGTGACAGTCTAAGGACATTACTGTGCACTATTGTAGACTTTTATAAACATTGTACACTTAGGCTACACTAAACTTAAACAGTTTTTTATTTAATAAATTAACCTTCACTTACTGGAACTTTTTGTAAAGGCCATGTGAAGGACTTTATGTAGCTTTTTTACTTTATAAACTTTTAGATTCTTTGATAATAACACTTAGCTTAAAACACAAATAAATGGTACGGCTGTACAAAAATATTTTGTCTTTATATCTTTATTCTATAAATTTTTTTTGTATTTAAAAAAAAATTTTTAAGCTTCTTTTAAAATTAGAAATGAAGACACAAACACACCAATTAGCCTAGGTCTACACAGGATTAGGATCATTAATAGCACTGTCTTCCACCTCTATGTCTTGTCCACTGGAAGGTCTTCAGAGGCAACAACACGTAAGGAGCTGTCATCTCTTATGACAACAGTGCCTTCTTCTGCAGTACCTCCTGAAGGACTTGCCTGAGGCTGTTTTATAGTTAACTTCTTTTTTTTTTTTTTGACAGAGTTTCACTCTTGTTGCCCAGGCTGGAGTGCAGTGGTGCAATTTTGGCTCACTGCAACCTCTGCCTCCCGGGTTCAAGCGATTTTCTTGCCTCAGCCTCCTGAGTAGCTGGGATTACAGGAGTGCACCACCACGCCCGGGTAGTTCTTGTATTTTTAGTAGAGATGGGGTTTCTCCATGTTGGCCAGGCTGGTCTTGAACTCCTGACCTCAGATGATCTGCCTGCTTCGGCCTCCCAAAGTGCTGGGATTATAGGCGTGAGCCACTGTGCCCGGCCAACTTTTTTTTTTAAAAAACAAGTAGATTCTAATAATAAAGATGGGCACTGTAAATACATAAACCAGTAAGATAGTTGTTTATTATAATTATCAAGCATTATGTGTTACACATAATGAGATATACGTGTTACACTTTTATACAGCACAGTAGGTGTGTGTACACCAGCATTACCACAAACATGAGTGATGTTTTGCATTATTGTTACTAGGAATTTTTCAGCTCCATTATAATTTTATGAGACTACTGTTTATATGTGGTTCATCATTGACTGAAAGTTGATTATCTGGCACATGACTGTATATTGTTGATCCATATAGTTTGAACTCATGGTGAACAGCGCTATAACTCATGCACTGCCCCTTTCAAAAGTGGAGCAGGCTCTCTTTGTCCAAGTACATAGGTTCTTATTAAAGGAAAATAAACAAGAATTATAGCCTACCATTGTATGTAGGAAATCTTTTGATATTTCTGTAGCTTCAACTTTTTTTTTTTTAATCAAATTTACGGTATGAGGGAATGTTACTGGGATCCACAACCTCTAGTCTCTCGTTAGAGTCCTATCTCTGGTAAATATGTTTCTTTTTTTTCCTTTTTTTTTTTTCTGAGACAGGATCTTACTCTAATGTGCAGGATGGAGTGCAGCGGCAATCTTGGCTCATTGCAGCCTCCACCTCCCAGGCTCAAGTGATTCTTCCACCTCAGCCTCCTGACCAGCTGGGACTATAGGCGCACACCACCATGCCCAGCTAATTTTTTGTATTTTTTTTGTAGAGACAGGGTTTTGCCATGTTGACTAGGCTGGTCTCAGACTCCTGGGCTCAAGGAATCCGTCTGCCTCAGCCTCCCAAAATGCTGGGATTACAGGTGTGAGCCGCCGTGCTCTTCCCAAATATGTGTCTTAATATGCATTTCTTAAAGAATCTAATAACCAAACTGAGGTCTTTCCATAAGAATATTGTATTTGTATAACAGTAACTTATATCATCCAATGAGATGTCTATATTAAGAATAAATTTTGCTGGGAGCGGTGGCTCACATCTGTAATCCCAGCACTTTGGGAGACCATGGCGGGCAAATCACGAGGTCAGGAGATTGAGACCATCCTGGCTAACACGGTGAAACCCTGTCTCTACTAAAAATACAAAAAAATTAGCCGGGCGTGGTGGCGGGCGCCTGTAGTCCCAGCTACTCGGGTGGCTGAGGCAGGAGAATGGCGTGAACCCGGGAGGCGGAGCTTGCAGTGAGCCGAGATTATGCCACTGCACTCCAGCCTGGGTGAAAGAGCAAGACTCGTCTCAAAAAAAAAAAAAGAATAAATTTTATGAGTTCAGGTAACCTCTAAAAATCTTTGTTTCAGACATCACCTCCCTAATTTAGCCAAAGTTTAGTATTTGGCTACTAAATAGTCCTTGAGAGGGACATAATGCAAAAATTGAGAAATTATCAGAAGCGGAATTGAGAGTTGAAGAATTAAGATTCTCTTATTTCCATATTTGCAGATGTTTTTGTATGGAAAAGGGGGGAAAAAGGCAATTTTTAAAAAAGAAAAAAATAAAGCTGGTTTATTCCAGCAAGCATTATTATGAAATTTAATGTGCTTATATGAGACATTCAGCAAATATTTATAGAAGTAAATATATTTAGAATGAAAAGTCAGAAATAATATTCTAGCATTCCAGTGATTTTGGTTTTTAATTCATATTTGTATTTGATTTTAGGGTGGATCTATTTTATTAATAACAGGTCCTCCTGGATGTGGAAAGACAACGACCTTAAAAATACTATCAAAGGAGCATGGTATTCAAGTACAAGAGTGGATTAATCCAGTTTTACCAGACTTCCAAAAAGATGATTTCAAGGGGATGTTTAATACTGGTAAGATTTGCTGTGAAGGTAGTAGAAGTAGTGGGGCAAACCTGTGCTTAAGGGAGCTTTCAGATAAAGTTCTATGAGTGCATTTTTTCCCATACTTCTTGCTTTCAGAGGGATGGAATTTCACAGGCCAGGTGCGATGGCTGTCACATGGGAGGCTGAGGCAGGAGGATTGCTTCAGGCCAGGAGTTAAAGACCAGGCTGGGCAACATACAAAGAACCTGTCTACAAAAATAAAAAAATCAGCTAGGTATAGTGTTGTGTACCTGTAGTTCTAACTACTCAAGGGCTGAGGTGTGAGGATCACTTGAGCCCATGAGTTCAAGGTTGCAGTGAGCTATAGTGTTACCATCGTGCTCCAGCCTGGGCAACAGAATGAGACATTGTCTCAAAAAATAAATAAATAAAAGTTATTTCAGGAGAAGGAAAGAAAGCATGTCTCCAATGGAAGACAATGGAATTTTTTGAAGATTAAGTCTTAACTGTTTTGTTAACATATTCTTCTGTTTGCATTATTTATCTGCTTTTTTCTAAGATCTGGCTAGGAGGTTAGACAGTATTAACTAAGATATTTTATTTGTTAAATCAAGCCTTAAGATGTGTTAAAAAGAACTTGCCCCCCAACAAGATAGCTTAGATCAGTAAGTACCTGTTAGAACAATATCAAATGAAAGCAAAAGACAAAGATGTCTTTGGAATTTGGAAGGAGGCCTTAAGATAACGATTTAAAAATTGATAATAGTAACAATTTTATTTATTTTTATTTTTTTTGAGACAGAGTCTCACTCTGTCGCCCAGGCTGGAGTACAACCTCTGCCTCCCAGACTCAAGCTATTCTCATGCCTCAGCCTCCTGAGTAGCTGGGATTAGAGGCATGTGCCACCACACCCAGCTAGTTTTTGTATTTTTAGTAGAGATGGGGTTTTGCCATGTTAGCCAGTCTGGTCTCGAACTCCTGGCCTCAAGTGATCCACCTGCCTCTGCCTCCCAAAGTGCTGGGATTATAGGCGTGAGCTACCATGCGTGGCAATAGTACCAATTTAAAGATGTAATACGTTATAAGTTCATGCATATGCTTATGTACCTTAGCACTATCATTTTTATCTTTCATAGTTTTTCATATTGCAACTCCAGGTGGTGAAACTAGGGATAGCCAAATCTCCTAGGCCATTTTGAAGGGAAAAGGGTTCTGTAGAAGGATAATTTTAATGTGGAGTGTTCCTCAAAATCCCTTCTCTGGACTCTTCTTTAATGTACTCCCTTGTGCTACTAGTATCCCATCCTGCTGGGGCTTTTACTGTTTTCTTTTCTTTATTATTATTATTACTATTATTATTATTTTTTTTTTGAGATGGAGTCTTGCTCTGTCACCCAGGCTGGAGTGCAGTGGTTTGTCTCACTGCAAGCTCCGCCTCCTGGGTTCAAGCAATTCTCCTGACTCAGCCTCCCAAGTAGCTGGGATTACAGGCGTCCACCACCATGCCCGGCTTATTTTTGTATTTTTTAGTAGAGATGGGGTTTCACCACGTTGGTCAGGTTGTTTTCGAACCCCTGACCTCAGGTGATCCAACCACCTCGGCCTCCAAAAGTGCTGGGATTACAGGCGTGAGCCACCACGCCCGGCCCATTATTATTATCATTTTTTTAAGAGAGAAAGTCTCACTATATTGTCTAGAATGAACTTCTTAAGCATTTAAGGGATTCTCACGACTCAACCTCTGGGGTAGCTGGGACTACAGACGTGTGTTCCTGCATCTGGCTTTTACTGCTTTCTAAATAGTAGCATTACTTTTGACAGTCTGATAAGCTTTAACTTAAACAGTCTTCAATATGAAACATGCCTTCAGAGAGCTTCCCTCATTCTCAAGTTCACTAATCAGTTATTCTGTTTTTGTTGTTAAACCTTTATCACTCCAGCCTGACCAACATGGAGAAACCCCATCTCTACTAAAAATTCAATAATTAGCCAGGCGTGGTGGTGTGTTCCTGTAATCCCAGCTACTCAGGAGGCTGAGGCAGGAGAATTGCTTGAACCTGGGAGGTGGAGGTTGCAGTGAGCCAAGATTGCGCCACTGCACTCCAGCCTGGGCGACAGAGCAAGATTCCGTCTCAAAACAAACAAACCAAACCCTTATCACTGAAGGTAATTCATTTATAGGCTTGAACTCATTTAGAGATTCTTCATTGGGTAGGCCACAGTCATAGATATTTTTACCAATTATATGAATGTTATACCGACAGCTGTGTTCTTAGGTCAGTTAACTCCATATTACACAGGGTCTCACTCTGTCACCCAGGCTGGAGTGCAGTGACACAATCTTGGCTCACTGCAACCTCCACCTCCTGGGCTCAAGCTATTACCCCCACCCTCTGCCTCAGCCCTGCAAGTAGCCAGAACTACAGGCACAAGCCTCCACACCTGGCTAATTTGTGTATTTTTTTGTAGAGACCGGGTTTCACCGTGTTGCCCAGGTTGCTCTTGAATTCCTGAGGTCAAGCGATCCACCTGCCTCGGCCTCCCAAAGTGCTGGGATTACAGGCGTGAGCCACTGTGCCTGGCTACATGTTGACTCTTGTCCTTTGAAAGGAATATCCTATTTTAAATTTAAATGATTTTTCCTAATTGGGAAATAGTCTACAGTATTGTGAGATGCATCAAGTATGTGTGTGTGTACATACAGATGTATAATATTAATGTATATCATTTGTTGAAAATAAAAGTGGTTATGTGTTTCCTTTCAGAATCAAGCTTCCATATGTTTCCCTATCAGTCTCAGATAGCAGTTTTCAAAGAGTTTCTACTAAGAGCGACAAAGTATAACAAGTTACAAATGCTTGGAGATGATCTGAGAACTGATAAGAAGATAATTCTGGTTGAAGTAAGGACAACTTTTAAAATCTTTTTTTTTTTTTTTTTGAAATGGAGTCTTGCTGTGTCACTGTCACCCAGGCTGGAGTGCAGTGGCGCGATCTCAGCTCATTGCAAGCTCTGCCTCCCAGGTTCACGCCATTCTCCTGCCTCAGCCTCCGGAGTAGCTGGGACTACAGGCGCCCGCCACCACGCCCGGCTAATTTTTTGTATTTTTTAGTAGAGACGGGGTTTCACTGTGTTAGCCAGGATGGTCTCGATCTCCTGACCTCATGATATGCCCACCGTGGCCTCCCAAAGTGCTGGGATTACAGGCGTGAGCCACCATGCCTGGCCTAAAATCTTTTTTTTTTTTTTTTTTTTGAGACAGAGTCTCTCTTTAACCCCTAGGCTGGAGTGCAGTGGTGCAGTCTTGGCTCACTGCCACCTCCGCCTCCTGGGTTGAAACAATTCTCATGCCTCAGCCTCCCCCGAGTAGTGGGGATTACAGGAACCTGCCACCATGCCGGCCTAATTTTTGTATATTTAGTAGAGATGGAGTTTTGCCACGTTGGCCAGGCTGGTCTCAAACTCCTGACCTCAAGGTAATCCTCCCGCCTTGGCCTCCCGAGTGCTGGGATTACACATGTGAGCCACCACACCCAGCCAACTTTTAAAATTTTGCTGTAGCTATTGACTAAACAATTGTGAGATATATCTTACATGATAATGTTAACTTGTCTCTATAGTAGTGATATTGGTAAAATACAACACAAAGGCTTTGTAATAGTAGAAACCTAAAGTCTCTTCTAGTAAACTTGAATGGAATAGCTGTAGGATAAGGAATGTTATAAATTTTAATGGTTTAAGTATAGAAAAACAAAAGAAAAGTTGGGAAAATTACTTCCTAGTGAAAATACTGTAACTGGAAAGCAACCCAAAGAAATTTGATCTAAAAATTGGGATCCCCATTGATGTATATTACTGTTTCGGATATCATCTATTTCATGTTTCCTGTGAAAGTTCTGTTTAAAATACATTGAATAAATATATTTTTGCCTACCTCAATAAATATAAATTTGAAAAATAAATTTGCAATGGAATAAAACTATACTATTATTTATTTTTTATTTTCAATAGGATTTACCTAACCAGTTTTATCGGGATTCTCATACTTTACATGAAGTTCTAAGGTAGGTTTCAGTGAAGTATTCTAAAACTCCAAATTAAATGAGAAGTGGCTTAAATTTCAACATTGCTGTATTTTGTTATTTTAGGAAGTATGTGAGGATTGGTCGATGTCCTCTTATATTTATAATCTCGGACAGTCTCAGTGGAGATAATAATCAAAGGTTATTGTTTCCCAAAGAAATTCAGGAAGAGTGTTCTATCTCAAATATTAGGTAAGAAAGAAATTTCTGCTTATAAAGGTCACATACATATTATATTTTTAAATTAATCATTTAACTGCTATCTTTCTTTATAAAACTTAGTTTCAACCCTGTGGCACCAACAATTATGATGAAATTTCTTAATCGAATAGTGACTATAGAAGCTAACAAGGTAAGTCTCTGATTAATTAAACCTTACTCGATAACTATAGAAAGCCTAGCTTAAATAGTATTATGTAAACTGAAGGAGTGTTATTTTAATTTTTTAGAATTAAAACATTTTATTATACTCATAAGGCATGTCATTTTAGCAAATGTAGGAAATACTGATTTTAAAAATCTTTAACATTTTTCTACTATTAAACTTTCACTTTCACATTGAGGTAAATTTTTCCTTTGCTTGGTTTACTGTTCTAAATTGTGTCTGTCATCAAGAAAATGTTTTCTGGCATGTAGGTATGGTAGTTATCAACAATTCAACTCTTCCTATTGTCCTGTTGTCACTTTTTTATTTTCACATTTTTTTTAATTATGGTGAAAAACATGTATCATAAAATTTATCATCTTAACCATTTTCAAAGATACACTTCAGTATTGTAAAGTCTATTTACATTCATATACAGCTGTTGTCACTTTTTTTTTTTTTTTTGGAGACAGGGTCTCACTCTGTTGCTCAGGCTGGACTGCAGTGGCATAATCATGGCTCACTGCAGCCTCGACCTCTTGGGCTCAAGTGTTCCTCCCACCTCAGCCTCCCAAGCAGCTGGGACTACAGGCTGGTACCACCACGCCTGGCTAATTTTTTAATTTTTTTTAGAGACAGGGTCTCTCTGTGTTGCCCAGGCTGGTCTCGAATTCCTGGCTCAAGTGATCCTCCCTCCTCGGCCTCTGAAAGTGCTGAGATTTCAGGCATGAGCCTCTGTGCCCGGCTTCTTTTCACTTTTAGTACGTCATTTTTTCTGTATTTCAAATCAAGATGATGTTAAAAAAAAATTGATGGACCTTCTGCTCCCAGCGTCATGGTTTTAGGGAATCCTATTGGTATAAATCAACCAAATCTTGCATGAAACATAATTTTTGTTGCACTGCTAGGACCACAGGAACTGAGGGAAATATCCAAGGGAGAGGTTGTTTTGAGGATTAAATACGTTAGTGTAGAGCACCTAACTGAATAAATAACAGATATTAATAGTGAAAAATGAGAAACAAACTGAGTCCAATAATACAGGAAGCAATTACTGTGATGAATTATTATGCTATTAGTGTTTTGAAAATATTTAATGGGTCAGGTGCGGTGGCTCACGCCTGTAATCTTAACACTTTGGGAGGCCGAGGTGGGTGTATCACCTGAGGTCAGGAGTTCATGACCAGCCTGGCCAACAGGTGAAACCCCATCTCTAATAAAAATACAAAAATTAGCCGGATGTGGTGGCGGGTACCTATAATCCCAGCTACTCAGGAAGCTGAGGCAGGAGAATAGCTTGAACCCAGGGGGTGGAGGTTGCAGTGAGCCGAGATTGCGCTACTTCACTCCAGCCTGGGCAGCAAGAGCAAAACTCTGTATCCCAAAAAAAAGAAAAAAAATTACCTGGGCATGGTGGTGTGCTCCTGTATTCCCAGCTACTCAGAAGCCTGAGACAGGATGATCGCTGGAGCCTAGGAGTTTGAGGCTGCAGTGATCTAGATGAAATGACTGTAGTCTGTCATGGACAGAGCTAGACCCTGTCTCTAAAAAAACATCTACATTCTCTACTATAAGCATGAGAACTGCAAATTGAGCCATGGTGCATGCCTGTAGTCCCAGCTACAAAGGCTGACAGTGGTGGGAGGATTTGTTGAGCCTGGGAGCTCAAGACCAGCCCAGGTGTGATATAGTAAGACCTTGTGTCAAAACAAAAATTTTTTTTTTAGTGAATTGATTAGTTCAAGTGGCTCTGGTTTAAAAAAGAAGAAGAAGAAATAATTGGTGTAATTATGGCTTTTTCATCCTCACCAGACTGTATAATGTATAACCCCAGTAAAGGAATTTTCATGTAAATTTCATAAATTAGTTAGATTATTTTGTGTATATTTAATTTTATCACAGTCTGTTGCATTTTGAGGGTTTTTTTGTGTGTACACATATATGTTGTTATATATCTGTGTGTATGTAGTGAGAAAGAGTAAAAACTTCAAAATACAACCTGGTCAAAGTGAAAAAGTAAAATAATACAGTATTTAATATTTCCTGAAAGTATACCTTAAACTGTAATAAGTCATTGAAGCTTGTATCATTCATAGACCAGTGTTTAGCATGAAGGCTTTTTAGTTTTTTATTATTATTTTAAGATAATTTTTTTTTTCTGGCTCTATTGCCCAGGCTGGAGTGCAGTGGCAAGATCATAGCTCACTGCAGCCTTCATCTCCAGGTCTCAAGTGATCCTCCCATTTCAGCCTCCCAAGTAGCAGGGACTACAGGCGCATGCCACCATGCCCAGCTAATTGTTTTGATTTTTTGTAGAGATAAGGTCTTACTACCTTGCCTAGGCTGGTCTCAGACTCCTGAGCTCAAGTGATCCTCCTGCCTCAGTCTCCCAAATTGCTGAGATTATAGGAATGTGCCACCGTGCCCAGCCCTTTTTAGTATTTAAGTTTAAAAGAATCTAATTTACGTTAATTAAGTTTAGAAAATAGGTTGGGGTTTTTTGTTGTTGTTATTTTTAAGAAAATACTTTTTTTTAAATTTAATTTTCTTATTTTAGAATGGAGGAAAAATTACTGTCCCTGACAAAACTTCTCTAGAGTTGCTCTGTCAGGGATGTTCTGGTGATATCAGAAGTGCAATAAACAGCCTCCAGTTTTCTTCTTCAAAAGGTAACTATGGAAGATACAGTCATGTGGCATTATATAGGTGACTGACTTTCTCTTAATTCATTCAATGAAATCAAACATTTTAACTTACATTTGGTCTATACCTATTTATCCTTCTTTATTACTGAGACAGTGGCTTAAAATTAAATATATACACATGCATACATACCCTTCTATGAATATGTCGTAGTATATATCCTTGTTTCTGTTTGAGATAGTTTACCTTTCAAAGTTAACTTAGAACCAGATTTCCTGGATAAAAATTCTGCCTCTGCCACTTACCAGTTATATAGGCCTATGCAGGTGACTCTTATCTTTCTGTGCCTCTGTTTTCTCACCTTTTATGTGAGCACTTACCTCTTAGGGTTCTATGAAGAATATGTGAGGTGACACTATTATAGAGTGCTTCTTACAGTACTTGATTCATATTAAGTGTTCAATAAATGGCCAGCCATTAATCAGTTTAATAATACTGTGCAGAGGTAGGTTTACTTTTGGAATTATTATTATTTATTTTGAGACGGAGTCTCGCTCTGCCGCCCGGGCTGGAGTGCAGTGGCATGATCTTGGCTCACTGCAAGCTCCGCCTCCCAGGTTCACAGCATTCTCCTGCCTCAGCCTTCTGAGTAGCTGGGACTACAGGCAGCTGCCACCACGCCCAGCTAATTGTATTTTTAATAGAGATGGGGTTTCACTGTCTTAGCCAGGATGGTTGCTATCTCCTGACCTCGTGATCCGCCCGCCTTGGCCTCCCAAAGTGCTGGGATTATAGGTGTGAGCCACCTCATCTGGCCTGAAATTATTTTTATAATAATTTATGAGATATGTTTAATAAATTTATTTCCTGTTAATGTTAAAAAGTATAAATTTATGAGATATGTTTAATAAATTTCCTGTTAATATGTAGAAAGATGTAGTAAAAAGATAGTTTCACTAATGGCAGTGAGTTACATTTTTACTGTAATGGTCATCGTTTACTGCATAGTCCTCCTTCAGAAGGCATTTAGCAGACTACTTAATGCTTAACGTTGATAATTGACATCAAAGAGTGGGCCAGGAACTGTGTTAGCAATTATGTTTTTTTCATTTAATTCTCATATCAACCTGATGAGATAGACAGTATTTTGATTCAAATCCAGATCCTGTGCTCTTTCTGCTGTTCAAGGTAGCTTTTAAGCCATGCACTCTTGAGTTCTAAATATTAGACTTAAAAATGAAACTTGGGTCAGGCATGGTGACTCATGCCTGAAGCCAAGGTGGGTGGATCACTTGAGCCTAGGAGTTTGAAACCAGCCTGGGCAACATAGCAAGACCTTGTCTCTACAAAAAAATTAAGGAAAAAAAATAAAAACCCAAGAAATGTGATCACATGCATATTCATAAATTGGATACTCTCAACATCAATAGAGAGGTTGTTAAACATAGATTGCAGAACCAGGCTGCCTGGATTCCAGTCATTCACTCACTGATGACCTTGAGCCAATGACTTTACCTCTTTGTATCTCATTTCATTAACTGTCTAATAATAATTGGTCAGGTGCAGTGGCTCTCGCGTGTTATCCCAACACTATAGGAGACTGAGGTGGAAGAAAGCTTCAACCTCAAGAGTCTGATACCAGCCTGGGCAACATAGCGAGGCCTCGTCTCTAATTAAAAATATATATATATATAGCCAGCATGGTGGTGCATGTAGTCCCGGCTACTTGAGAGGCTGAGGTGGGAGGATCACTTGAGCCTGGAGGTTGAGGCTTCAGTGAGCTATGATTGTGCCACTGTACTCCAGCCTGGGTGATAGAGCCAGACCCTGTGTCAAAAAAAAAAAAAAGGCCGGGCATGGTGGCTCATGCCTGTAATCCCAGCACTTGGGGAGGCCAATTTGTGTGGTTGGGAGGTTGTGACCAGCCTGGCCAACATGGTGAAACCTCATCTCTGCTAAAAATACAAAAATTTAGCCGGGCATACACCTGTAATTCTAGCTGCTCGGGAGGCTGAGGCAGGAGAATCGCTTGAACCCAGGAGGCAGAGGTTGTGGTGAGCCGAGATCACACCACTGCACTCCAGCCTGGGCAACAGAGCGAGACTCCATCTCAAAAAAAAAAAAAAAAAATTCTCCCTTCACAGGGTTGTTATGAAGATTAAATTCCTATGTATTACATGCCAAGAACAGTATCTTGCACATAACACGATGAGAAACCAAGGCGATGTGACTGTACAGGTTGAATATCCTTTATTTGCAATTTTTGGGAATAGAAGGATTGCAGATTTTTTTAAGATTTTGGAATATTTGCATTATACGAATTGAAAATCCCTTGTCTGAAAATCTGAAATACAAAGTGCTCCAATGAGCATTTCCTTTGAGCATCATGTTGGCACTGCAAGTTTCATATTTTGGAGTATTTTGGAGTTTGAATTTTTTGGATCAGGAATGTCAGCCTATATTAGAGATTGTGCTATTGTGCATGTGAAAGTTTGAAATCTGCATTATGAAATAACTTTCAGATAATACTTTATTCCATTTTAATGTTAGTAACCCAAAGAGGATTCCAACTCAGTTAATGTCATTTATAATTTTTGTTTATTAGGAAAACAAATTGTAATTAGAATATTTAGTGTAACTATATCTGAAGTGTTCTTAGTTTTAATTTTCATATTTTAATTTAAATATTGTCACTTGGATGTATATTATTCAGGAGAAAACAACTTACGGCCAAGGAAAAAAGGAATGTCTTTAAAATCAGATGCTGTGCTGTCAAAATCAAAACGAAGAAAAAAACCTGATAGGGTTTTTGAAAATCAAGAGGTCCAAGCTATTGGTGGCAAAGATGTTTCTCTGTTTCTCTTCAGAGCTTTGGGGAAAATTCTATATTGTAAAAGTAAGAAATTTTTACACTTTTAAAATCTGTTGGATATCACATAGTCTTAAAATGGAAATAAAATGTCACTTTTAAAAAAATGTCATGTATTTTGGTTCTGCTCTAAGAGTTAGAGCTAGGTCAGATACTGTTTGCCTAGGCCTAAGACATAGTAGGAAATCAGAATATTTTCTGACCGTAAGCAGGATTAAAAGTAAAAACATGCAATTGCAGGCCATATCCATGTGTGTAAATCTTTAAAATTATAGTTTGCTGAAGGTAAGAGAGCAGATCATCTAGACTTGTAGTGGCAAGTGTTGGTAGCCTAAAGCCCTCTTAACACTGGGCTCCAGCCAACAGAGCCTCATACAAATTACCAGGTAGTTTAAGGTTTCTTTCAATCGTCTTGTATTTCTCTAATTTACAAGCGTTCTGTCTCCCCAACCAGAGATGTTTATCGCCTTTTCTGTCTTTTTTGATGACTGCTCCCCCTCAGTTCTTTCACTCCCTATTGCCCATTTTAGTGTCCCAAATAATCCCTCCTTTTGATAGCAAATGCCTGTTTTCAGTCTGATGACCCTAAAGGAAAGAAATTAGGATTTCTAAATGGAAACCTTCATACCATCTGAGGAAAATGGGCATCACTTAGGTGGCAGTGAGGACACTCCTCTGTCACTGGATCCTCTTACTTTGAACCTGAGTGACTATTCCCACCTGATTCTTTTCTTTCTCTCCTTTCTTTTCCTCCCCAACATACGTTTATCGTCTCTTGCATTAGTGAATGGAATCCGTATTCTTTCATGTAGAGAGCAACATCTTCCTACATAGTAAATAAAAGAGTAAAGACCACTGTATTGAGATGAGAAATCAAGGGAAGAAAGCAACCCAAAGCTGAAAAAGGTGAAATGGGAGTGCATTAGGAAATGGAATATTTTAAGTCTAGAGAAGCCATAATCTAAGCATCAGAATTGTTAATTTAGTTCTTGCTAATGTGGAAAAAATAGGTGCTTGCTTCCAGTTGTTTTTTATTTATTTATTATTTTTTAACAGTTTGTTACTATGTTGGTATTGTATGTCTAAAATTTTCAAACTCTTCAAATGAGAGGTGCTATATAATTATAAAGAAGGTATTATCTTTAATAATTCCAGAAATTTTTTATAGGAGCATCTTTAACAGAATTAGACTCACCTCGGTTGCCCTCTCATTTATCAGAATATGAACGGGATACATTACTTGTTGAACCTGAGGTAAGTTCTTTGATGACACTTAGTATAGGTTACAAAGGATATATTATTCGTGTGCATATATATTTGACCATTGCATTTTTACCAAATTTATGTATATATGCTTCTTTTTATAGGAGGTAGTAGAAATGTCACACATGCCTGGAGACTTATTTAATTTATATCTTCACCAAAACTACATAGATTTCTTCATGGAAATTGATGATATTGTGAGAGCCAGTGAATTTCTGAGTTTTGCAGATATCCTCAGTGGTGACTGGAATGTAAGACCATTTGACTTAAAATGTTTATGTTTATAGTATTTCCTTAGAATTAAGAAAAGAAAGTTTACTTTTATCCCTAATTGCCTGACATTATTTTATGTGACTTTTCTTCATAACTATGCTAAAGTTAATGTAACCAACTCAGTGTTTATAATGAAGCTTCAGTAGCAAATCTGATTTTTCTGCTGATAATATAGCACCAATTGTTTCTAAAGTTATTTTCTTTTTTTCTTTTTTTTCTGTGTGTGTGTGTAGAGACAGGGTCTTACTGTGTTGCTCAGGCTGGTCTCAAACTCCTGGGCTCAGACAGTCCTCTCACCTGAGCCTCCGAAAGTGCTGGGATTACAAGCGTGAGCCACCACACTCCTGTCTCTAAATTTTCTGATTTTGTGTTTTGTGTTATGGTGGTTTTTTTTTTTTTTTTTTTTTTTTTTGAGAAGAGGCTCTGTCTACAGCTATGTTACCCAGTCTGGTCTTGAACTACTGGGTTTAGGGAATCCTGTCCTCTCTGCCTTCGAAGTAGCTAGAAATACAGGCACACACCACCATGCCCAGCTTATTTTTTTTTTTTTTTCGAGACAGCGTCTTACTTTTTTGCCCACGCTGGAGTCCAGTGGTACAAACATGGTTCACTGCAACCTTGACCTTCTGGGCTCAAGCGATCCTCCAACCTCAGGCACTCCCCATC
The DNA here is from genome assembly GCF_000001405.40 of Homo sapiens. Lineage (NCBI taxonomy): Eukaryota > Metazoa > Chordata > Mammalia > Primates > Hominidae > Homo > Homo sapiens. The sequence goes on from NW_003315917.2 coordinate 177,578, forward strand.
TAGTAGCTGGGACTACAGGCAAGCACCACTATCCTTAGCTAATTTTTTTTTCTTTGTTTTAGAGACAGGGTTCACCATGTTACCCATGCTGGTCTCCAACTCCTGAGCTCAAGCGATCTGCCTGCCCTGGCCTCTCAAAAGTGCTGGGATTACAGGAGTGAGCCACCATGCCCAGCCCCAGCTTATTTTCTGATTTTAAAATTAATACATACTCAAAATATGACAACCATTAAGAAGTAGATACAAGAGAAAGAACTGTACATGTTGCTACACTTTCTGCTAGTTTTTAAAATTTATTTCTTTTACATATTTGAAACTATTTACCATAAAATTTGTATTTTGTTCTTAACATCTTAACACTGCCCTTACCAGTACAACAGCCACCAACCACATGTAGCTATTTACATTTAAATTTAATTAAAAATTCAGTTCCTCAGTCATACTAGCCACATCTCCAGTACTTGATAACTGCATGTGGCTGATGGCTACTTTATTGAACAGCCCAGATACAAAACATTTCCATCATTGCAGGGCGTTCTGTTGGACGACACTATTTTGATACGTTAATATTTCTGTGTGCTATAAATATTAAAATAAGGCCGGGCTCAGTGGGTCACACCTGTAAACCCAGCACTTAAGGAGGCCGAGGCAGGTGGATCACTTGAGCTCATGAGTATGAGACCAGCTGGGGCAATGTGATGAAACCCCATCTCTACAAAAAAATACCAAGAAAATTGTTTGGGTGTAGTGGTCCCAGCTACTCAGGAGGCTGAGGTGGGAGGATGGCTTGAGCCTGGGAGGCAGAGGTTGCAGTGAGCTGAGATCACACCACTGCACTCCAGCCTGGGCAATAGAGCTGGACCTTGTCTCAAAAAATTAAAAAATTGAAATAGCAGTAATAAGTAAAATTAGGAAAGACACAGAAAAACCATTTATGTTATAGAGCTTCATTACTCAGCAGTTGAATTTGCTTAACTTTTAAAATAATTGTTTCTTTCTTATTTTGAAATTTTCCATCCTATAAATAAATTAAAAGGATAGTACAATGAGCCAGGAGTGGTGGTTCCTGCCAGTAATTCTGCACTTTGGGAGTCCAAGGCAGGAAGATCACTTGAGGCCAGAAGTTTGAGAACAGCCTGGGAAACACAGCGAGACCCCATCTCTAGAAGAGATTTTAAAAATTAGCTGGGTATGGTGGCATGCACCTGTAGTCGTAGCTACTTGGGAGGCTGTGGTGGGAGAATCACTTGAGCCCAGGAGTTTGAGGTGGTAGTGAGCTGTGATCGTGCCACCACATTCCAGGCTGGGCAACAGACTGAGACCCTATTTTAAATAATAATACAAAATAACGAAAAGAGTATAATTGACTTGTTTGTGACACCAAGGATAAATGCTTGAGGTAATGGATACCCCATTTAACTTGAGGTAATTATTACACATTGTATGCTGGTATCAAAATGACCCCTGTACCTCATAAATATATACAGCTACTAAGTACCCACACAAATTAAAAATTAAAAAAAAATGATAGTACAATGAATAGCTGCATATCCTTAACTTTTGTTTAGCAGTTTGCATATTTTGCCACTTTTTCTTAATCTCTCTATATATTTACGTATTTGTTTCTGGCTGAATAATTGGAAAGTATTAGTAATTGCGAACATCGTGACACTTAAGCAGCATAAGGACATTGTTCTATTACAACTACCATAGCATTATCATACCCCATTGAAACTAAAATATAACTAGTTGATATAACTGGCCTCTCAAAGTGCTGGGATTACAGGCGTGAGCCACTGCGCCCAGCTGCATAGTCATATTTTAGTTTCAATTATATTTTAGTTATATTAACTAATTAGTTACATTAACTAATTAGTTATATAATTAAGTTAACTTTCCAGAGAAACTTGACACTAATCTAGCAATATATTGTCCCTATTCAGATTTCCTCATTTGCCTCAAAAATGTATTCAAAGTTGTTTCCTCCACCCCTGTCCAAGATCCAGTCAGGGTTTACACATTTAATTTGATGGCTATGTCCCAGTGGAATTTGCTTTAGATAAGTTTATAGTGCTGTTATTTATAGGGCTGTAGTGATGTTGAAGAAAGTGAACACATAGAAACTAAATACGGTTAGTATTTTTGTATATATCAGGAATACCAGTAATGCTCTTTTATAAATCTATTTTCTTTCACATCTTGTCTCATTTGTTAGACACGCTCTTTACTCAGGGAATATAGCACATCTATAGCTACGAGAGGTGTGATGCATTCCAACAAAGCCCGAGGATATGCTCATTGCCAAGGAGGAGGATCAAGTTTTCGACCCTTGCACAAACCTCAGTGGTTTCTAATAAATAAAAAGGTAAAAAAAAAAAAAAAAAATTCTGTACTTTCAATATGTGAACTTTATGGTACGTGAATTATAACTCAAAGCAGTTATTTTCTTTAAAACATAACAAAGGAAAAAATATTTCATTTTTAATAAAATAGTTGCTAAGGTCCACAATTAGATTCTGAGTTTTTATAAAACATAAAAAGGTGACTCTTAAATGCTTGTACAATTTTTTAAGGGAAAAAAGACCATCACAATTTGAAAATATTAGTTCAGTTTTATTGGAATCAAAGCGTAGTTACATTTTATTTTATTTTTTATTTTTTTATTTTTTGAGACGGAGTTTCGCTCTTTTTGCCCAGGCTGGAATGCAATGGCATGATCTCGGCTCACTGCAACCTCCGCCTCCCGGGTTCAAGCAGTTCTCCTGCCTCAGCCTCCCAGGTAGCTGGGATTACAGGCGCCAGCCACCACGCCTGGCTAATTTTTTGTATTTTTAGTAGAGACAGGGTTTCACCATGTTGGCCAGGTTGGTCTCGATCTTTGGACCTCATGATCCTCTTGCCTTGGCCTCTCAAAGTGCTGGGATTACAAATGTGAGACACCATGCTCGGCCATATTTTATTTTTTATTTTTTATTTTTATTCAGACAGAGTCGTTCTCTTGCCTAGGCTGGAGTGCAGTGGTGCCATCTCTGCTCACTGCAACCTCTACCTCCTAGGTTCAAGCAATTCTCCCACCTCAGCCTCCTGAGTAGCTGGGATTACAGGCATCTACCTCCATGCCCAGCTAATTTTTGTATTTTTAGTAGAGATGGGGTTTTGCCATGTTGGCCAGGCTGTTCTTGAACTCCTGACCTTAAGTGATCTGCCCGCCTTGGCCTCTCAAAGTGCTGGGATTACAGGCATGAGCCACTGTGCCCAGCTGCATAGTTATATTTCAGTTTCAATTAAAAACAAACTTTAGGGCCAGGCATGGTGGCTCATACCTGTAATCCCAGCACTGTGGAAGGCCAAAACAAGAGGATCACTTGAGCCCAGGAGTTTGAGACCAGCCTGGTCAACATAGTGAGATCCCATATCTACAAGAAAAAGAAAAAAATTGTAAATAAATAAACCCTAGTTCAACCTGAGAATGCTGATTGGAAAATAGAAATCCCTAGTATATAAAATTTCAGTTAGGCAGGAGGAATAAGTTTTTTTTGTTTTTGGTTTTTGAGACGGAGCCTCGCTGGCCAGGAGGAATAAGTTTTAAGTTCAAGAGATATGTTGTATAACATGGTGACTATTAACAACAATGTGTCATGTATTTGAAAATCATGGCCGGGCATGGTGGCTCACGCCTGTAATCCCAGCACTTTGGGAGGCTGAGGCGGGCAGATCACGAGGTCAGGAGATGGAGACCATCCTGGCTAACACGATGAAACCCTGTCTGTACTAAAAATAAAAAAACTTAGCCGGGTGTGGCGGCGTGCGCCTGTAGTCCCAACTACTCTGGAGGCTGAGGCAGGAGAATGGCGTGAACCCAGGAGGCGGAGCTTGCAGTGAGCTGACATGGCGCCACTGCACTCCAGCCTGAGAGACAGAGCGAGACTCCATCTAAAAAAAAAAAAAGAAAATCACTAAAACGGTAGATTTTAAGTGTTCTCACCACACACAAAAAATATATGTATGTAAGGTAATGCATATGTTAATTGGCTCAATTTAGCCATTCTACCATATATACATATTTCAGAACATCATGTTGTATACCTATAAATACATACAGAGCTTATTTGTCAATTTAAATTAATCAAAGAAAGGAGAAGAAATCTTGGCCTTGCCTCTGTGTGGACAAGGTATTCACCTAATGTGTTCTTACTCTCCACAGCTAAAAATGTAGATGATTGAATTATTTAGAGGTAAAAAATGGGAGGCACACAAGTTGAAAACAAAATACACAACAGTTTTCAAAATGAATTGCCAATCTTTAAAAATCAGACTAATGATTAAAAGTCAGATATGAATTTCGGCTGGGCGCTGTGACTCACACCTGTAATCCCAGCACTTTTGGGAGGCTGAGGCGGGCAGAACACAAGGTCAGGAGTTCGAGACCAGCCTGACTAACATGGTGAAACCCCATCGCTACTAAAAATACAAAAGTTTGCCAGGTGTGGTGGTGCGCTCCTGTAATCCCAGCTACTCAGGAGGCCGAAGCAGGAGAATCGCGTGAACCCGGGAGGCAGAAGTTGCAGTGAGCCGAGATCATGCCACTGCACTCCAGCCTAGGCGACAGAAAAAGACTCTGTCTCAGAAAGAAAAAAAAAAAGTTAGATATGAATTTCTAGCTTCAGAATTTCTGGAATCTCCTGGTTAAAAAAAAAAAAAAAAAAAAAAGAGGCCAGGTGCAGTGGCTCACACCTGTAATCCGAGCACTTTGGAAAGCTGAGGTGGAAGGATCACTAGAGCCCAGGAGTTTGAGACCTGCCTGGGCAATATGGTGAAACCCCATCTGTATAAAAAAAAAAATAATAAAAAAATTAGCTGGGTGTGGTGGCAAACACCAGGAATTTGAGACCAGCAATATAGTGAGATCCCATATCTACAGGAAAAAGGAAAAATTTTTTTTGTTTTTCCTACCTAGTCCCAGCTACTTGGGAGGCTGAATTGGGAGGATTGCATAAGCCTGGGAGGCAGAGTTTGCAGTGAACAATGATTGTGCCACTGCACTCCAGCCTGGGCAACAGAGTGAGACCCCCATCTCTCAAAAAAATGAAAGTGAAGTATAACACTGGCTCATATTTCTGCGTAGCAACAATCACCTCGCCATGTAGCATCTGCCCCTTTGAGATGAGAGTAGTAGGCACCACTGTCCCCAGCTGGTTCATTCACTTATATTGCCTGCTTGACTTCTGTAATATCTGAATTCGTGACCCCTGGACTGGGTCGTCTCTGAGATGTCTTCCAGTTCTAAAATCATACAGCTGAAAATTACCCTATAATTTATTACCTAGGACATTTTTTCCAACAGATTTCTTGGAGAATTTAATGACTTTTAAGCAATTTATATCTCATTGACTTGCTTTGTCTTTTATAGCATATATATTAATTTTGCATTGTTGCTGCATATAAATTATCTAAGACTGTTAGCTTCTTGAAGGCAGGGATTGTGCTTTTCTCTTGCTCAGCATAACGTTGTGTTGACTAAAGAAAACAAATTATTTCATTGAAAACTATTTTCGTGTAATTTATGATGTGTGTGTGCTCATAAACAATTCCTTTGAGTTTTAAATTTGGTTTTCTTATACATTCAATGTCTTTTAAAAATTGTTGTTTATTAAATGTGGAATAGTTGTGTAGGTAAAATACTTTATTAAACGATGCTAAAAAAACTATAAAGGACTACTTAAATAAGCTATTAAAAGTATATTTGTGATATATAAACCCACAAGTTAATATAAACTTATTGTGTAAGTTTATATAATAAACTTAGTTTGTCTAGGAATACATATTTTTAATTTCATTTTTCCTTTCATCTTTTTTTTTTCTTTTCTATACAGTATCGGGAAAATTGCCTGGCAGCAAAAGCACTTTTTCCTGACTTCTGCCTACCAGCTTTATGCCGCCAAACTCAGCTATTGCCATACCTTGCTCTACTAACCATTCCAATGAGAAATCAAGGTAATAACATAGGTTTTTCTTTTCTTTTAAGAAGTAGGGTTTATTTATTTATTTATTTATTTATTTATTTTATTTTTTTAGGGGGAGTCTCTACTGTCCAGGCTGGATTGCGGTGGCACGATCTCGGCTCACTGCAACCTCTGCCTCCTGGGTTCAAGCAATTCTGTTCCCTCAGCCTTCTGAGTAGCTGGGACCACAGGCACGCGCCCCCACACCTGGCTAATTTTTGTATTTTTAGTAGAGATGGGGTTTCACTGTATTAGCCAGGATGGTCTCGATCTCCTGACCTTGTGATCTGCCTGCCTCGGCCCCCCAGAGTGCTGGGATTACAGGTGTGAGCCACCGCACGCGGCCAGAAGTAGGGTTTTATAGCAATATCTTTTTGTGGGCCAATTTATTGCTATATGCAGTGAGATACTTTTTTTCCTTTTATTTTTTGATCCAGATAATTCTGGATCCTTTATGTTTTTTTTTTTAAAACGCATCAAACAGGCCAGGTGCAGTGGCTCATGCCTGTAATCTCAGCACTTTGGAAGGTCAAGACAGGGAGATCACTGGAGGTTAGGAGTTCGAGACCAGCCTGGCCAACATGGTGAAACCCTGTCTCTACTAAAAATAAAAAAATTAGCCAGGTGTGGTGGCATGCGCTTGTAATCCCAGCTACTCGGGAGGCTGAGGCAGGAGAATCACTTGAACCCAGGAGGTGGAGGCTGCAGTGAGCCAAGATCGCACACCTGCACTCCAGGCTGGGTGACAAAGTGAGGTCTGTCTCAAAAAAACAAAAAGCATCAGATGATACAGAAATATATAAAGAGCCGAACGTGGTGGCTTATGCCTGTAATCCCAGCACTTTGGGAGGCCAGGGCTGGGAAACCCCATTTCTACTAAAAATACAAAAAATTAGCCAGGCGTGGTGGCACGCGTCTGTAATCCCAGCCACTCGGGAGGCTGAGGCAGGAGAACCTTCAACCCCGGAGGCGGAGGTTGCAGTGAGCCAAGATCAGGCCATTGCACTCCAGCCTGGGCGACAGAGCAAGACTGTCTCAGAAAAAAGAAAAAAGTTTCTAAAGTAAAAATTGAAAGTACTTCCCCTACAACCACAGGTTGCTTTGACAGATTAATGTAAATTCTTCCAGATACTCTTCTGTGGATGTAGAAACATGCAGAATGAGGCAAGCTTTAATTTGCTTATGTCACTTACTGTGGATAGCCTTTCATATCTTATAAGTTAATGTCAGAGCAGCAATCTCATTTTTTTCCAATTTGTAAACATTTTATTTAACCTTATGATGGATATTTTGGTGGATTTCAGTATTACAAAAATGCCTATTAATAGTATATTTTCATTATATTTCTGTTACGAAATTATAATGCTACAAACATTACTATGCCTGTGGCAGTATACATCTGCACAAGTTTTGAAAATGTTATGCATTCATAGGCAAAAATGGGATAACTTTTGGGCAGTGGTCATGATTAATCTGTTGATCAGAATCCAGAGATTGCCCTTCTCCTTGCCAATTGCTTTAAGAGTACACTAGTTTTTGGCCGGGTGCAGTGGCTCATGCCTGTAATCCCAGCACTTTGGGAGGCCAAGACGGGCGGATCACAAGGTCAGGAGATCGAGACCATCCTGGCTAACATGGTGAAACCCCATCTCTACTAAAAATACAAAAAAAACCCACAAAAAACAAAAAAAACCAGGCCTGGTGGTGGGTGCCTGTAGTCCCAGCTACTTGGGAGGCTGAGGCGGGAGAATGGCATGAACCTGGGAGGCGGAGCTTGCAGTGAGCCGAGATTGCACCACTGCCCTCCAGCCTGGGCAACAGAGCAAGACTCTGTCTCAAAAAAAAAAAAAAAAAAAAAAAAAAGATTACACTAGTTTTTAAACTTTTTGTTTTTTTTTTTGAGATGGAGTTTCACTCTTGTTGCTGAGGCTGGAGTGCAATGGCATGATCTCGACTTACTGCAACCTCTGCCTCCCAGGTTCAAGCGATTCTCCTGCCTCAGCCTCCAAAGTAGCTGGGATTACAGGCATGTGCCACAACACCCGGCTAATTTTTTTTGTATTTTTAGTAGAGGTGGGGTGTCACCATGTTGGCCAGGCTGATCTCAAACTCCTGGCCTTAAGTGATCTGCCCACCTCGGACTCCCAAAGTGCGGAATTACAGGCGTGAGCCACCGCGCCCGGCCACTGGTTTTTAAACTTTATTTTGAAATTATTTCAGGCTGGGCGCAGTGGTTCACGCCTGTAATCCCAACACTTTGGGAGGCCGAGGCGGGCGGATCACGAGGTCAGGAGATCAAGACCATCCTGGCTAACCCCGTCTCTACTAAAAATATAAAAAATCAGCCGGGCACGGTGGCAGGTGCCTGTAGTCCCAGCTACTCAGTGGGCTGAGGCAGGAGAATGGTATGAACCCGGGAGGCGGAGCTTGCAGTGAGCTGAGATCACGCCACTGCACTCCAGCCTGGGAGACAGAGTGAGACTCTGTCTCAAAAAAAAAAAAAAAATTATTTTAAATGTAAGGATGCAAGAATAGTACAAAAAATTCTTGTATATCCTTCACTAAGTTTCCTGATTATTACATTTTTTACCATATTTGCCTGATTATATTCTCTCTCTTTATAAGCATGCACATATATGTATTATTTTGCTAAACTAGTCTTGAGTAAATTGCAGGCATGATATCCCATTATTCTTAAAAACTTAAGTCTGCACTTGCCAAAAACAAGGACATTTTCCTGCATAACCACAGTGTGCAATCAAATCAGGAAATTAACATTAATACCGTTTATTTTATAGTCCCCATTCAAATTTTTCCAATTGTCCTAATAATATCCTTTTTTAATTATTTTTAATTAATAGAGATGGGATCTCGCTTTGTTGGCCAGGTTGGTCTTGAACTGCTGGCCTCAAGCAATCCTCTTGCCTCAGCCTCCCAAAGGGCTAGGATTATAGGCACAGGCCACTGCACCCAGCCCTAATAATCTCCTTTGTAAAATGATAACTCCCCATTTCTTGTCCAGAATCCAATGAAAGATAACCTGATGCATTTAGTGATTTAGTTTCCGTGTGTTTTTAGTCTCCCTTGATCTGGAACAGTTTTGTAGTCTTTCTTTGTCCATGACATTTTAGAGGGATATAGGACAGTTACTGTACGATCCCTCAATTTGGGTTTGTCTGGTGATTCCTCATTATTGGATTCAGGATATGTATTTTTTTGGCAGAAATACCACAGAAGTGATCTTAAAAAAAATTGGCAAGGAGAGGAAAGATATCTGGATTCTGACCAACAGATTCATCATGTCCACTGCATAAACGTTATTTTTGCCTATGAATACACAACATTTTAAACACTTTAAGTATCAGTACTTACAAAAGCTGTAAGATAAAACACTTCATTGTATCAAAGTAGATATTTAGTCTTTAATCCTTTCTTCTGATCACTGATAAGGTCAACTCTATCTTTAAAATTTCTGGGCCAGGCATGGCGGCTCATGCCTATAATCCCAGAACTTTGGGCGGCCAAGGTGGGAAGATCGCTTGAGCCCAGGAGTTTGAGACCAGCCTAGGCAACACGGTGATACCTTGTCTCTACAAAAAAATTTAAAAATTAGCTGGGTGTTGTGGCTTGCACCTGTAGTCCCAGCTACTCGGGAGGCTGAAGTAAGGGGATCACTTGAGCCCGGGAAGTGAAGGGTGTAGTGAGCTGTGATCACCCCACTGCACTCTAGCCTGTCTAGCTTGGGTGACAGGGTGAGGATGAGACCCTCTCCAAAAAAATAAAATAAAATTTCTGAGATGTTTTGATAAGTTATATGGTAGATTACTAACATTTTTAATATGACACAAATTCTGTTTTCTGTTTTGAAGATTAGCACCACAGACAGGTGATCATTAATGAAATATGGCCCTTAAAATACACATTACAAAAGAGAAACTGATGGTAAAATTGCTGGTGAAGTTAACTTTTATCATTTCTCCACTAATTAAAAGTTCAGATTCTGGGATCACATCTCTAAGCTGTTCATATCAAAGAGCTATTTTTTAAAGATCCTGATTATAGGCAACAAAAGCAAAAATAAACAAATAGGATTACATCAAAACTGAAAAGCCTCTGCACAGCAAAGGAAACAACAGAATGAAGAGCCAACCTACATAATGGGAGAAAATATTTGTAAATTATACATCTGATAAGGGGTTAATAATCAAAATATATAAGGAACTCAAAGAATGCAATAGTAAGAAAACAACCCAATTAAAAAACAGGCAATTCCAGCCTGGGCAACATGGTGAAACCCTGTCTCTACAAAAAATAGATAAAATTGGCCGGGCACGGTGGCTCACGCCTGTAACCCCAGCACTTTGGTTGGCCGAGGTGGGTGGATCGCCTGAGGTCAGGAGATCGAGACCAGCCTGGCCAACATGGCAAAACCCCACCTGTACTGAAAATACAAAAAATTAGCCGGGTGCAGTGGTGGGCGCCTGTAATCCCAGCTACTCGGGAGGCTAAGGCAGGAGAATTGCTTGAACCCGGGAGGCGGAGGTTGCCATGAGCCGAGTTTGCACCATTGCACTCCAGCCTGGGCAACAAGAGCAAAATTCTGTTTCAAAAAAAAAAAAATAGATAAAATTAGCCGGGTGTAGTGGCACACACCTGTAGTCCCAGCTACTTGGAGGCTGAGTGGGAGGATGGTTTGAGCCTGGGAAGGGAAGGTTGCAGTGAGCCGAGATCACGCTGCTACATTCTAGCCTGGGGGACAGAGTGAGATGCTGTCTCAAAAGGCAAAGGACCAGATAGACATTTCTTAAAAGAAGACTGGCCAAAAGGTATATGAAAAACTGCTTAACATTAAGGCTTAACACTAATGATCAGGGAAACACACTTAAAACCACAATGAGATATCATATTACACCAGTTAGAATGGCCGTTACCAAAAGATAAATGATAACAAACGTTGGCTAGGGTGTGGAGAAAAGGGAATCACAGAGTTAGTAAGAATGTAAATTAGTACAGCTGTTTTGAGGAACAGTATGGAGGTTCCTTAAAAAACTGAAAATAGGCCGGGCGCAGTGGCTCACGCCTGTAATCCCAGCACTCTGGGAGGCTGAGGCGGGCGGATCACGAGGTCATGAGTTTGAGAGCAGCCTGGCAACATAGTGAAAACCCATCTCTACTAAAAACACACACACAAAAAAAAAAAACACCAAAAAAACTAAAAATAGGCCAGGCGTGGTGGCTCACGCTTGTAATCCCAGCACTTTGGGAGGCCGAGGTGGGTGGATCACCTGAGGTCGGGAGTTCGAGACTAGCCTGACCAACATGATGAAACTCTGCCTCTACTAAAAATACAAAAATTAGCTGGGCGTGGTGGCACATGCCTGTAATCCCAGCTACTTGGGAGGCCGAGGCAGGAGAATTGCTTGAACTTGGGAGGCAGAGGTTGCAGTGAGCCACGATCACGCCATTGCACCCCAGCCTGGCAACAAGAGCAAAACTCTGTCTCAAAAAACAAACAAAAAAAAAACTCTAAAAATAGAACTACCATATGATCCAGCAGTCCCACTACTGGACATATATCCAAAGAATATGAAGTCAAGGCCAGGTGCAGTGGCTCATGCCTGTAATCCCAGCACTTTGGGAGGCGAGGCAGGCGGATCACTTGAGGCCAGGAGTTTGAGACCAGCCTGGCAAACATGGTGAAACCCCGTCTCTACCAAAAATATAAAAAATTAGCCAGATGTGGTGGTGTACTCCTGTAATCCCAGCTACCGTGGAGTCTGAGGCAGGAGAATTGCTTGAATCCAGGAGGTGGAGGTTACTGTGAGCTGAGATTGTGTTGCTGCACTCCAGCCTAGGTGACAGAGCCAGACTCCATCTCAAAAAAAAAAAAAAAGAATATGAAGTCAGTATGTTGAAGAGATATCTGCCCTCCCTCCCAGTTTTATTGCAGCATTATTCACAATAACCAAGATATAGCGTCAGTCTAATTGTCCATTGGATGAGGAAAACATGGTATATATACACAGTGGAATACTATTCAGCCATAAAAAAGAACAAAATCTTGTCATTTGCAGTAACATGGATGAACCTGGAAGACCTTATTTGAAATGAAATAAGCCAGGCACAGAAAGACAAATATTGCATATTCTCACTTATATAGGAGCTAAAAAAGTTGATCTCATAATAGTAGAGCACAGAATGGGATTACCATGGGCTTGGGTGGTAGGGGAGTTGTTGATCAAAGAATACAAAATTTTGTTATGTAGGAGGAATAAATTCAAGAATTCTATTTTACAACATGGTGACTATAATTAATAGTATTTTGTGTGTGTGTGTGGTTTTGTTTCTTTTTTTGAGTCAGAGTATCACTCTTGTCACCCAAGCTGGATTGTGGTGGTATGATCACGGCTCACTGCAGCCTAAACCTCCTTGGCCCAAGTGATCCTCCTACCTCAGTCTACTGAGTAGCTGGTAACCACAGGTGCGCACCACCACACTTGGCTAATTTTTGTATTTTTTTTTTGTAAGGATGGGGTTTTGCCATGTTGCACAGGCTGGTCTTGAACTCCTGGGTTCAAGCAATCCTCCCACCTCAGCCTCCCAAAGTGCTGGGACTACAGGTGTGAGCTACCACACCCAACCAATATATTGTATTCTTGAAAAATGCTGAGAGTGAATGTAAAGTGTCTTTGCCACAAAAATAATAACTCTGTGAGGTAATATATATGTTAATTAGCTATAGTCATTCTACTATATATATATTAAAACAATATGTTGCCCACAGTAAATATATACAATTTTGTTTGTTAATTAAAATAACTCTGTTTGTAGTAGATTTTTTTTTTTTTTTTTTTTGAGATGGAGTCTTGCTGTATCTCCCAGGCTGCAGTGCAGTGGCACCATCTTGGCTCACTGCAACCTCCAATTCCCAGGTTCAAGCGATTCTCCTACCTCAGCCTCCTGAGTAGCTTGAATTACAGGCGCATACCACCACACCCAGCTAATTTTTGTATTTTTAGTAAAGATGGGGTTTTACTATGTTGGCCAGTCTGGTCTCAAACTCCTAACCTCAGGTGATCCGCCTGCTTCGGCCTGTGTAGTAGAATTTTTAACAGGTTAAGTATCCAAAGGTCCTCATAGTGTTAGATGTGCAAACTTTAAAAGGTTCATAAAAATTAGTAAAAGTAAGATGTTTTCGTTTTTCTTATCAATTTTTATACTGTTTCTTCCGCTTTTATTTACTATGTCATTTTCAGCCATTATTTCTTTAAATATTTTTCTGCTGCTTTCTGTCCTTCTAGTCTTTCATTAGGGTATGTTCACTTGAAAGTGTTCCACATTTTTCTGAGATTTTGTTTATATTTCTTCTGTCTTCTATATGTCAATCTATGTCCAAGTTTTTTTTTTTTTTTTTTTTTTTTTTTTTTTGGAGACAGAGTCGCCCTCTGTTGTCCAGGCTGGAGTGCGGTAGCACCATCTCAGCTCACTGCAATCTCCACCTCCTGAGTTCAAGCAATTCTCCTGCCTCAACCCCCTGAGTAGCTGGGAATACAGGCATGTGCCGCTATGCCCGGCGGGGTTTCGCCATGTTGGCCAGGCTGGCCTTGAACTCCTGACCTCAGGTGATCTGCCTGCCTCGGCCTCCCAAAGTGCTGGGATTACAAGCATGAGCTACCACGCCTGGCCTATGTCCAAGTTTGATGATACTTCTGGTTCAAATCTACTGTTGAGCCCCTTTAGTGAATTTTTCATTTTAGTTATTGTACCTTTTGACTGCAGAATTTTCATTTGGTTCTTTTTATAATTTTTGTCTTTTTGTTGATGCTCTTTTTCATGAGACATTGTCATTACAGCTTTGTTTACTACTTTGAGCATGATTTCCTTTTCTACTTTGAAAATATTTATAATGGTTTATCTGAAGTCTTTTTCTGTTAAATTTAATGTGTGAGCCCTCGCAAAGGCAGTTTCTTTTACCCACCTTTTTCTTGTGTGTAGGTCACACTTTCCTGTTTCTTTACAGTCATAATTTTTTGTTGAAAACTAGATGTTTTAGGGAATATATTGTAGCAATTTTGGAGAATATTGATTCTCCTCCTCTGGGGCTTGTTTTTATTGTTGTGTGCTTGTTTATTTGTTTAGTGACTTGGCTAAACTCATGTAATGAAGTCTGTCTTTTGCAACATGAAGCCTTCCTCCCTCTTCAGAGAGCTTATCCTTGGCTGTGCCCACAGTTTACTTGGGATGATGGTGGTTTTAGCAGAGCTCACTTTGTCTCTTTCCCTGATATGTCTGTATAGCTCTTTGCTTCCTTTGTTATCACACTGTTGGCTACCCTAATTACTTTTTTTTTTTTTTTTTTTTTTTTTTGAGGAAAGAGTCTCGCTCTGTCACCCAGACTGGAGTGCAGTGGTACGATGGCTGACTGCAACCTCCGCCTCCTGGGCTCAAGCAATTCTTATGCTTCAGCCTCCTGAGTAGCTGGGACTACAGGCATGTGCCACCATCCCCAGCTAATTTTTCTATTTTTAGTAGAGATGGCGTTTCACCATGTTAGCCAGGTTGGTCTTGAACTCCTGACCTCAAGTGATCCACCCACCTTGGCCTCCCAAAGTGCTGGGATTACAGACGTGAGCCACTGTGCCTGACTACTCCCTAATTACTATCTAATTGCTCTGTTTTCAGCAGTGCTCTAGGACAAAAATTTCTCCACAGGCTGATCCAATTTAATTTGGGCAGGTGTAGGCTTTCAAGCCAGTTTCTGAGGGTTGTTCTGAAACCAGGAGGGCCCTTCTTAGTTGTCTCTTTCCCTGGTTTCTTATGAACTAGTTGGCTTATGTTTAGCTTGTTCTTATTTAAGAGGAGCTGGTTTCCAGGGTGCCCTTTAGGCTTGAACTTCCCCACACTATGTTTCAAATAAAGTGAGTTCCTTTGGGGAAGGCTTCGGAGCTTTTTCCTACGGACTGCCTCTCCTCTGGGCAAAATCTCTAAGCCACTTATTCTGGGTGGGTGCCCAGCTGCAGAGGTAGCCTCTGATTATTTTGGCTTGCCTCTCCCAGTGTGGACCCTCTGCTATGTAACAAGCTGGGGTAAGGGAGACTGCAGCTGGGACAGGGGACAGTGCCTTTGGGTTAGAACCTCTTATCCTATGAGTAGGGCCGGGTGGGGAAAGGAAGCCCCAAACACCCTGCTGCACTCCAGTAGGAAGGAGTCCTTAGTTCTTGGCTGTACCCACCTGGAATGAAATGTTCATCAAGCTGAGCCCTCTCAGCTCAGGGTTGGGAATGGGAGGGAGGAGATAGTGGCTCAGATGCCTCAGATTCTTCCTGTTTGGTTTTCTTGAATAGATCTTTTCTCATTTGCTGTATGCTATTAGGACAATTTCCAGAGACTTCAAATGATTGATTTTTAAAAGTTTTCACCGATTTTGCTTATCTTTGGGAGTGGGTACACAAGAGCTTATGCTGTCATCCTGAAAGTTTACTATGTCATTCTTTTTCTTTTTGCATTTTTAATTGTGATAAAGTATACAAAGCATAAAGTTTATCATCTTAACCATTTTGAATTCTACAGTGCAGTAGTGTTAAGTATATCCACCTTGTTCTGCAACCAGTTTCCGAAACTTTTGCTTCTTGCAAAACTGAAATTCTATAACTATTAGCATTAATTCCCCATTTTCCCTTCCCCCTGGCAGCCACCATTCTACTTTCTGTCTCTATGAATTTATGACTCTAAATACTTCATATAGGTGGAATCATACAATATTTGTTCTTTTGTGACTAGTTGCACTTAGAATGATGTCATCGCAGTTCATTTGTGTTGGAGCATGTGTCCTTTTTAAAGCTGAGTAATATTCCATGAGATGTATATACCATATTTGGTTATCCATTCATCTGTTGATGGACACTTGGGTTGCTTCCACCCATTGATTATTGTTGATGCTGATATGAACATGGGCATACAAATATCTTTTTGAGACTCTGTTTTTAATTATTTTGGGTATATACCCAGAAGTGGAATTGTTAGATCATACAATAATTCCATTTTTAATTTTTTGAGGATGCACTATACTGTTTTCCACAGCAGCTACACCATTTTACATTCCCATGAGCAATGCACAAGGGTTCCAGCTTCTCCACATCCTTACCCACACTTCTTGTTTTCTGGTTTTTTGTAACAGTCATCCTAATAGATGTGAATTGGTATCTCACTATGGCTTGGATTTGCATTTCTCTAAAGATTAGTGATGTTCAGCATCTTTTCATGTGCTTATTGGCCATTTGTATATTTTCTTTGGAAAATTGTTTACAACTTTTAAAAAATCTGTTTCAGCTCAGATTTCTTTTATCCAAGATATTGGAAGGCTCCCTCTGAAGCGACACTTTGGAAGGTAAGCTGATCATCTCAATTTCCAAAAAGCTGATAATGAAATGTCTACTGAATATGTTCAATATGAATCAATAACTGTTACCTGTAACATCCAAGAAAGACATACTGTACCTAGTAATTTATAAACATAATTGTATTGTAGACCCTTCCTTTTCTTAAATATAACAGCATATCTTCACCCACTCCCAATGGACTATACCAGATTAAATGGAAGCATGGAATCACAAAGGCAGAGGAATCTTTAAAATCCTCCAACTCAACAAATCTAGAAACCCCTTGCCAGCTTTCCTGTTGAGAGATGTTCTTAGCCTATGCTTGAAGACCTGCAGTGACTAGGAACTGCCTCAGAAAGTAGAAGAGTCCTTCATATTTTCTTATTTTAGAAAATTTAAACAAGCAAAAAATAGATGTCTATCTGTCTATATATATATATATATATATATATATATATATATACTGTTCATTTTATTGGAAAGTAGCTTCTGTGCCATTATCAGTGATTAACACAAAACTTATATTTCAGTTTGACTTAGCTTATTTGTAAGATCGAATTAAGCACTTAGGAATTGTTTAAAGATTTTAAAAATGGCCGGGCGTGGTGGCTTATGCTTGTAATCCCAGCACTTTGGGAGCCCGAGGCAGGTGGATCACCTGAGATAAGGAGTTCAAGACCAGCCTGGACAACATGGTGAAACCGTGTC
Organism: Homo sapiens; assembly: GCF_000001405.40. NCBI lineage: Eukaryota > Metazoa > Chordata > Mammalia > Primates > Hominidae > Homo > Homo sapiens. Next base: position 194,667 of record NW_003315917.2, read on the forward strand.
TCTACTAAAAATACAAAATTTAGCCGGGTGTGGTGGCACATGCCTGTAATCCCAGCTACTCAGGAGGCTGAGGCAGGAGAATCGCTTCAACCCGGGAGGTGGAGGTTGCAGTGAGCCAAGATCACACCATTGCACCCCAGCCTGGGCAACAAAAGCAAAACTCCATCTCAAAAAAAAGATTTAAAAAAATCTTGCTTACTGAATGCATGGACAAAAGTAAGTGATAGAAATGGCACCTCTGACTCCTCCTACCTTTTCTCCTATTTCTGGTCCCAAATGGAAAACTCCTGTGATGTGAGCTTATTCCCCCTCTTTACCCTCCAAGATTCATTAAGGCCTTTGTAGTGTTAATGTTTTTTTCTGTATACTGGCTTAGCTATGTGGGGCCCATCTTTCCTATCGCAGAAAGACCATGATGGATGGATCTTGAAGCATCGTCCCACTGGGATGTGATCAGGGCTTACACATTTCATAAACACTGCTTTTCTTCTCACATCCCTCTGAATGAAAGCAGGACCAAGTCTCTTTGATGGCTTCTCTCCCCAACCCCCTAAGATTATGGCATCAAAATAAAGACAAGTATGTTCTATTGTATTTTTGCTCCTGAGATGTATTGAGTTGCTGCAATTTACACAAGGCTAAATTGAATGAGAATCTTCACTATTTTATTATTGGTTCAACTACCTACTTGATGTGACTTGAGAGGCAGTATTTTCTTTTCTTTTTTTTTTGTAGACGGAGTCTAGCTTTATCGCCCAGGCTGGAGTGCAGTAGCACGATCTCGGCTCACTGCAAGCTCCACCTTCTGGGCTCACACCATTCTCCTGCCTCAGCCTGCCGAGTAGCTGGGACTACAGGCGCCCGCCACCACGCCCAGCTAATTTTTTGTATTTTTAGTAGAGACAGGGTTTCACTGTGTTAGCCAGGATGGTCTTGATCTCCTGACCTCGTGATCCGCCCACTTCGGCCTCCCAAAGTGCTGGGATTACAGGCGTGAGCCACCACGCCTGGCCACGAGAGGCAGTATTTTCAGTGCTATATATTACAATGACTGGTACTATCTTTTATTTATGTTGACCATATTTAAAACCATTGTTCATATGTTTAGTATTTAGTATTAAATATTAATACTTAATATTTAATAGGTGTTTAATTTCCTGTAATTCAACCTACACGTTATTTTTGCCCATTTAGCTTTTTTTCAGCTTTTACTATCCCAGCCTTATAGATAAGTCATCATGCACTTCAAATACTATTTACTTAGGGTGAATTCCTACAAATGAAATTGCTGGATCAATAGGTATATACCTTTTGGGGCTTTTCCTCTTTATTGCCAAATTGTTGGCAAGAATATTTTGCCAGTTTTGTATCCACTTACAGTGTATCAGTATGTTCTTTTCTCCTAACCCTTGCCACCACTGGGTTTTAAAAGTATCTTTGCCAGTTTAGAAGATGACAGTAATAGGCCAGGCGCAGTGGCTCATGCTTGTAATCCCAGCACTTTGGGAGGCTGAGGTGGGTGGATCATCTAAGGTCAGGAGTTCGAGACCAGCCTGGCCAACATGGTGAAACCCTATCTCTGCTAAAAATACAAAAACTAGCTGGGTGTGGTGGTGCCCGCGTGTAATCCCTGCTACTCCAGAGGCTGAGACAGGAGAATCGCTTGAACCTGAAGTGGAGGTTGCAGTGAGCCAAGATCGTGCTACTGCCCTGTAGCCTGGGTGACAGAGCAAGACTGTCTCAAAAAAAAAAAAGATGACAGTAGTAGCTCATTATGTTAATTTTCATTTTTAAAATTACAAATTAGATTTAACAATTTAGGAACCATTTGTATTTGTTTTATAAGTTGTCCATGTTTGTGCCCATTTTTCTATTTCATTTTTTCCTTTTTAATTTGTAAAAATTCTTTACTGAAGGCTGGGTGTGGTGGCTCACACTTGTAATCCCCGCACTTTGGGAGGCGGAGGCAGATGGATCACCTGAGTTCGGGAGTTCAAGATTACCCTGGCCAACATGGTGAAACCCCATCTCTACTAAAAATACAAATTAGTTGGGCATGATGGCATGTGCCTGTAATCCCAGCTACTTGGGAGGCTGAGGCAGGAGAATCGCTTGAACCTGGGAGGCAGAGGTTGCAGTAAACTGAGATTGCACCACTGCACTCCTGCCTGGGCGATAGAGAAAGACAGTCTCAATGAAAAAAAAGAAAAAAGAAAAATTCTTTACTGAAGACATTATTTCTTTTTATTTTTAGGTGTTTTTGTTGTTGTGGTTTGGTTTGGTTTTTTTGTTTGTTTGTTTTTTGTTTGGAGACAGAGTCTTGCTCTGTCGTACAGGCTGGAGTTCAGTGGCACGAGCTTGGCTCACTGCAGCTTCTGCCTCCTGGGTTCAAACAATTCTCCTGCCTCAGCCTCCTGAGTAGCTGGGATTACAGATGCATGCCACCACGCCTGGCTAATTTTTCTATTTTCAATAGAGATGGGTTTTTGCCATGTTGGCCAGGCTGGTCTTGAACTCCTGGCCTCAAGTGATCTGCCTGCCTTGGCCTCCCACAGTGCAGATAGTACAGGCATGAGCCACCGTGTTCAGCTCCTTTTTGTATTTTAAGTTGTAGGAACTTATTCAGTTTGTCATTTACCTTGTAGTTTTGTTTTTATAGTTAAAGGGACTAGCTAAACAGCACAATGTAGGTAAATGAAAGATGGCTTCATAATCATCACACTCATGGTGTAATTTAAAAATCTTCTCCTTTGGTTCTTATTAATGCCTGCACTGTGAATCTGACAGATTGAAAATGGAAGCCCTGACTGACAGGGAACATGGAATGATAGACCCTGACAGCGGAGATGAAGCCCAGCTTAATGGAGGACATTCTGCAGAGGAATCTCTGGGTGAACCCACTCAAGCCACTGTGCCGGAAACCTGGTCTCTTCCTTTGAGTCAGAATAGTGCCAGTGAACTGCCTGCTAGCCAGCCCCAGCCCTTTTCAGCCCAAGGAGACATGGAAGAAAACATAATAATAGAAGACTACGAGAGTGATGGGACATAGAAGCCAGCCTGCTAATCAGATTGCTACTTCACAGCTTCATTTTTGTTTCATTCAGTGGTACTTCAGCAGAGTTAATATGCTTTTCTGATGAATTACACAACAGTTTGTTAATTCTTCATTCTTGTAGTATTTCATCACAAGAAACCTACTCTTCTGTCATCTTGAAGTAAATAGAAGATCAAGCCTTCAAATCTCTTAATTTTTTCGGTATTTATTAAATCTGTGAGTGGTTTAAGGAGCGGTCAGTGTGTATAAAGTGTGTTTGAACATTATGCCAAATATCAAGATGTGAAGGACTAATTCAGGATGCAAAAACGTTATTGGGGGGTTGTAAATATCAACTATTCAACAGTTTAGGATGCAATTACGAGTGTAAACTGTGTGCCTTATTTACACTTTATTGTCTCCCGCTTCTCAGATAGTTTTGATGTGTTGTACAGTGGAATATCTTAGATACTTTTTGGAAAGTATTTACATAAGTTATATCACAATTAAAATGTTGAATTTAATTTTGTTTCTCCTGTCTTTTAACATTATCTAGCACGCACTCTCTGCCATGGGTCCTTAAGCACAGTGCACCAATCTCCCTCCCCCAGTGTCAAACTTTTCAAAAGATAGGGAAGAGGATGGCAACGTTGCGATGAGAACTGTAAACTCTTTCCAAAAGAGCCCAGTGTGTGGTCATTGCCGCGACGTGCCGGCTGGTGGCACCGAGCAGCCTGGGCCCAGAGCGGTTGTCGGGCCGACAGATCCGGGCGGGGCAAAGCCGGGCGGGGAAAGCTGGGCTCGTCCCGTCCCGGCCCCGCCCCCACCCCGGGAGCCCGATACCGGTTTCAGAGTCCTGGGCAGCGTGCGCGCTCTTCCTGGCGGCTGCGCAGGTAAGTGGGACCGGGGTGGGGCCACGTGACCGGGAGAGGAGGGCCCGGCGGCCCCCGGCCCAGGTGTGCTGCGACGGACGGCTGCCCGCGCTCGGCGCTCAGCCTGCCATAGCCCGCGGGGGAGGCCGGAGCCAGGGATCCGGGGAGGCCCGCGTCCCGCCAGGTTTCGCTCTGCGGACGCAGGTGCGGCCGAGCCGCCGTCCTTCCGGGCGCGGGGCGGGGCGCGCACCTCGGGGCGATCTCGGTGCTCCTTACCTGGGAGGTCTCCCGGCTTAGTTTCGGCCTCGTTGGGTCGGAATCTCCAAAGACAGTGGGTTTCAGCCAGAAACGCGAAGACGAACGCCTAGCCGGCGCGGGCAGAACCGAGGACACAATGAGATTTGTGGGACCGGGCGCCCAGAGGCTGGCGCGGGGGAGACCCCACAGCTAAAATGCTCGGTACCCCCGGGCAGTCGTGGGTTAGTTAGAACCGCAGAGCCTTTCCCGACCCCTCGGAAGCGCAGAAGTATCCGAAATCTACCCGTTTCTTGGGTCCAGCAAAACTTTTAAGCCAGGTAAACCGGTGGTTCTGTTTGTGTAAAGGTGACCAGGCATGATTCCTGTGACACTTTGCTGGGGCAGCCATTTCTCCTGCCATTGCCGCGGCTTTCCAAGATGAGTGTCCAAGAGTGGAGTAAGGGTCCGGGGCCTGAGCAGGACAAAGACACACGCTGCCGCGACCTGCGGGACCAGAACGAACTCTCAGTGACATCTTGAAAGACATTAGGGGTATCCAGATATTTAAGATGTAATGAAATACAGCTAACCATTCCCTTCTAAAAATCACATTATCTTGCTTTTCCACAACTCTTTAATAATTGCTTGTTTTTTCTTTAAAAATGGATAGGGTGGTTTGATTCAAATAAGCCACTTCACAGGTGAAGAGTTAAATCCATTACAGTGAATCGTATTTTTACCAGTGAGTTGAATTAAGCATAGCGTATCCTGTAAATGCTGTGTAAAACTTGCTAAAATCATTTGTTGTGCTTTTGCTTCTACATTTCTTAGGAATGTGTTTCAAAAACTAGAGTCGTAATAGCATTTCTAGAACTTACACTTTTTTAGAGAAAGAAAGAGAAAGGTACAAAAATAACTGATTGTTATAATATACAGAGCCGCTTTGCATTGGGCACCCTGCTGGGGCCATCACAGTTAATCCTCTAAGGTCGGAGTGCCCTATTAGAAGACCCTGGGTTTCCACCGCATTCCCTTGTCTCCAGTCTGTACATACCCTGTGTGCCTTGCTTGCCCTCTTAACGTCTCTACCTGGATTTTTAACGCATCTGAAACACTCTTCAGTCTGCTGCTCCCCAAGGCTAAGCTGGAGGGGTGGAGAATGAGGTATAGATAGATAAAATGATCAGATGTCTGGGGTTTACTTCAGAGGACTCTATTGGCAGAGGAAATAGTATGGGGAGTATAAATGAAACAAGTTTGGCCATAAATCGATAAGTGTAGAAGCTGGATGTGGGTACACAAGGGTTCATAATGCTATTCTTTCTACTTTTTATTATGTTTGAAAAATTCTATAATAAAAATTTTAAATACCTGTCTAGCATTTGACCTCTTCTCAAGATCTCAGTGATCCATTGGATTATTTCAATGGCCTAGCCAGTCTTCCTGTTTTACCTCTTGCCTTCTGGAGTGTACTCTCAACACAGCATCCATAGTGATACTGTTAAAACAAGTCAAGTCATGTCACTCCTCTATTCAGAATCCTCCAGTGGCTTCTCATTTCACTCCTAGCAAAAGACAAAGTCCTTTCTTTCCAGTGGTTTTCAAGGCCCTACATGATTCAGATGGCCTCAGTTCTACTATTCACCTTCTTACCCACTTTGCTGCTGCCACAGTAGCTTCCATGCCTAAATATTTCTTGAACATACCAGGCACTCCTGCTTCAGGGCATTTGCGCTAGCTATTCCATCTGCCTGAACACTTGTCCCTGATAATGGCCTGGCTTCCTCCTTCACCTTCAGTTCTATACTCAGATATCCCTTTCTCTGTGAAGATTTCCCTGCCCACTCGGTTTAAGATGGTAACATCCTGTCCCCATTGCAGTCTTTACCCCCTTTCTCAACTTTGTTCTTTAGCATACTGTATATTTCATTTATCTATCATCTGTCAATCTGCCCGGCACTCCCCCGGTTAAAGCATCATGAAGGCAAGGATTTCAGTCTGGTTTGTCCACCAGTATACTTTCAGCATGCCTGGTGCAAGGCAGGTTAAATGAAGGGTCTTCGTTTTCCAAAGTAAAATAAAATAAAGCCTTAGGAATTTCCAAATTGTTCAACAGTATAAAGATGGGGTTATCAGACCAGGTGCAGTGGCTAACGCTTGTAATCCCAGCACTTTGGGTGGCCAAGGCAGGAGGATCGCTTGAGCCCAGGAGTTCAAGACCAGCCTAGGCAACATAGTGATACTTAATGTCTACTAAAAATTTTAAAGAATTAGCGGCCGAGCGTGGTGGCTCACACCTGTAATCCCAGCACTTTGGGAGGCCGAGGCGGGTGGATTATGAGGTCAGGAGATCAAGATCATCCCGGCTAACATGGTCCCCATCTCTACTAAAAATACAAAAAATTAGCCGGGCGTGGTGGCGAGCACCTGTAGTCCCAGCTACTTGGGAGGCTGAGGCAGGAGAATGGCATGAACCTGGGAGGCGGAGCTTGCAGTGAGCCGAGATGGCACCACTGCACTCCAGCCTGGGCAACAGATTGAGACTCTGTCTCAAAAAAAAAAAAAAAAAGAATTAGCTGGGTATGGTGGCATGCACCTGTAGTCCCAGCTACTCAGGAGGCTGAGGCAGCTGGAGTGCTTGAGCCAGGGAGATTGAGGCTGCAGTGAGCTATGATTGTGCTCCTATGCTCTGGCCTGGGAAACAGAGTGAGACCCTGTCTTAAAAATATTAAATAAATAAAACAATAACAAAAAAGATGGGGTTATCCATTTTAATTTTGAGACCTTCATAGTATCAAGTACAATACCATGTGCCCAGTTTAAGTCTTCAATAATGAGTCTTGGCAGGGTGTGAATGAAAAAATTTTTTTAAGTCTTCAAACAAAATACTTATAAACAATTCGAGAGAGAAATTCAGCATACCTTAAAACTAGTAGTTAATTCACAAATGGTTTCCTTCTTTCTGTATATGGGTGCAGAGCATTGATTTCATGAATCAACAGGCTTAGTAAAAGTGCATTTTCTATGCTTTATTTTTGAGGTGGATTGAATACCTTCTGAGATACTTGAGTCTCTCCTTGGGAACAGTAAATCACCTGAATTGCCCTCGAAAGAGTAATAGTAATGGTCATTGCTGCCATTCTCTATTGTGCCTTGGGGGAGCCTTAGCCTTTGGTGATGTTGTCTCTGAGATTCAATTTTTTTACATCTAGTTTCAATTGTTAATATTTTAGACTGGAAGAAGCAAGTCCTCTAAAATGACTTTGTTGATTTAGGAAGGGGAAGGGCTGTGCATACCCTGTGTTTTAACAGACTGCCTCTCCTAGGCTATTCCAAGTGAAAATGAAGAATATTTGCTGACCCATCAAATTTCGCTACACTCAAACTCTTAGTATTTTGATTTAGATGTTTGAGGAAATGACTCTACTTGGGAGTGTGTTCGCGTTCTGTTGTGTTAAAGTTTTGTCACTTTTGTTTTTTATTTTATTGTTTAATAGGGCTCACAGATAAATTAGATTTATAAATCATTTTTCATTTCTTTTTTTTTTTCTTTTTTTTAGAGACAGAGACTCACTGTGTCAGCCAGGCTGGAGTGCAGTGGCGCAATCTCGACTCACTGCAACCTCTGCCTCCCGGGTTCAAGCGGTCTATACCTCAGCCACCTGAGTAGCTGGGATCACAGGCGCATGCCACAACGCCTGGCTAGTTTTTGTATTTTTAGTAGAGATAGTGTTTCACCATGTTGGTCAGGCTGGTCTCAAACTCCTGACCTGAAATGATCCGTCTGTCTTGGCCTCCCAAAGTGCTGGGATTACAGGCATGAGCCACCGTGCCCGGTATCATATTTATCATTTTTGTATATCATAATAATTAGACATGATCCTGTTGGTCTCCTAAATACTTTTTGCTACTACATGAATAAAATCAGCATCATTGAGAGGATAAGTAACTAATCATAAGTGATAACTTTAAATTTGGCCACAGGTGTGAAAATCACAAATGTCAAATGATGGAAGATCCAGGAATCGGGACAGGCGCTACGATGAGGTCCCAAGCGACCTGCCCTATCAAGATACCACCATAAGAACCCACCCAATTCTTCATGACAGTGAGCGGGCAGTGAGCGCTGATCCCTTGCCACCACCCCCTCTCCCATTACAGCCACCATTCGGCCCAGACTTCTACTCAAGTGACACAGAAGAACCAGCTATAGCGCCAGATCTCAAACCAGTAAGGCGCTTTGTCCCTGACTCCTGGAAGAACTTTTTCAGAGGGAAGAAAAAGGACCCCGAATGGGATAAGCCGGTGTCTGATATCAGGTACATCTCCGATGGAGTGGAGTGTTCACCACCAGCCTCTCCAGCAAGACCAAACCACCGTTCGCCCCTCAACTCCTGCAAAGATCCCTACGGAGGGTCAGAAGGAACCTTTAGTTCCCGGAAAGAGGCTGACGCAGTGTTTCCCCGGGATCCCTATGGATCTCTAGACCGACACACACAAACAGTTCGAACATACAGTGAGAAGGTGGAGGAGTATAACCTGAGATACTCCTACATGAAGTCGTGGGCAGGCCTGCTGAGAATACTGGGTGTGGTGGAGCTGCTTTTGGGGGCCGGTGTCTTTGCTTGTGTCACAGCTTACATTCACAAGGACAGTGAGTGGTACAACTTGTTTGGATATTCACAACCGTATGGCATGGGAGGCGTTGGTGGATTGGGCAGTATGTATGGGGGCTATTACTACACTGGCCCTAAGACCCCTTTTGTACTCGTGGTTGCTGGATTAGCTTGGATCACCACCATTATTATTCTGGTTCTTGGCATGTCCATGTATTACCGGACCATTCTTCTGGACTCTAATTGGTGGCCCCTAACTGAATTTGGAATTAACGTTGCCTTGTTTATTTTGTATATGGCCGCAGCCATAGTCTATGTGAATGATACCAACCGAGGTGGCCTCTGCTACTATCCGTTATTTAATACACCAGTGAATGCAGTGTTCTGCCGGGTAGAAGGAGGACAGATAGCTGCAATGATCTTCCTGTTTGTCACCATGATAGTTTATCTCATTAGTGCTTTGGTTTGCCTAAAGTTATGGAGGCATGAGGCAGCTCGGAGACATAGAGAATATATGGAACAACAGGAGGTAAGTGATTTCATAATCCCTCATTTGTGTGTGTATGTTTGTTTTTTCTGTTATTTGCTCCCTTGTTAAAAAATGTATAGCGCTCAAAACAGAAAGCTTTCATAAAAATCTTTTCTTTCTTCCTTTTTTTTTTTTTCAATGGTCTGAGATTCAAAAGTCCTAGTGCAATATCTGACATGCTTTGACTGGGATAACCCACTCTGGTGTTTGGCTGTTACATAACATTGCAAGTAGACACCAGATGTGTAATATATAGTTTGTTGGCTGCATTATTATGTCTGTCTGAAGCTTAAGGGAAAGATACAGCTACCGAATTTTTGCAAAGAAGAAGAGTGTACTCAGTAAAATAAGTGTCTCATCATTAAGTTTGAGAACAATCTTAATTCTTTAATAAAAGCTCCTAATTTTTCATTTAAATGTTACAATTTACTTTCTCCCAGTGAGTTGAATAAAGCCAAATAAGAATGTGGTAAACCATGTTTGATTTTTTTTAAGTATTGAGAGATTGAATTGTAATGAACATACTCTGAAAACTTGCCCAGTGGTTTTGATAATTTGTCTTTATTTGAGGAAGACGTATGGTCCAAAATGAGAATGGAAGTCCTACATTGTTTTTATATTTCTAGAACTTAATAGGATAATAATGAGAATAAATAATAATGAGAACAATAAGAAGAATAAAATAATAATAACTGAAGGATGAGATAAAAGCCCTACCTAAAATTATTTTGGTTGAACAGTAGCAAATGTTAGAGTATGTTCCACTGGCTACATTATTCTCTGAAGTAAGTTGATATTTTGCCTTCTTCCAAGGATATGTGTATAGTAGACTCTCCTATGCCACTGAAATTTTCAGTATTTACCTTAAAATTTTTTGTAATTTTAAGTTAACTATATTATGAATTTTTGCTTTTCCACTTTTCCTAAGACTTCTTAGATACTATACAATTGCACATGGTATATATTGGGCAAAACTATAAATAAAAATTAAATCCTGTCCTTATAACAGCACACACTGACATATGTATTTTGTTTTTAATCTTTTGCTTGAATCTGATGCATAGCAACAAATAGCGCTTTGGTTTTAAAATTTTTTTAATTTTCTTTTTCTTTAGAGATGAGTATTTGCCATGTTGTCCAGGCTGGTCTCAAACTCCTGGACTCAAGCAATCCACCTGCCTTGGCATCCCAAAGTGCTGGGATTACAGGTGTGAGCCACCATGCCTGGCCCGTTTTTTGGTTTTTTTAATTTTCTTTTCTTTCTTTTTTTTTTTTTTTTTGAGACAGAGTCTCACTCTGTTGCCAGAGTGCAGTGGCACTGTTGCGGGAAGTCAGGGACCCCAAACAGAGGGACCAGCTGAAGCCATGGCAGAAGAACATAAATTGTGAAGATTTCATGGACATTTATTAATTCCCCAAATTAATACTTTTATAATTTCTTATGCCTGTCTTTACTGCAGTCTCTGAACATAAATTGTGAAGATTTCATGGACACTTATCACTTCCCCAATCAATACCCTTGTGATTTCCTATGCCTGTCTTTAATCTCTTAATCCCGTCATCTTCATAAACTGAGGAGGGTGTATGTTGCCTCAGGACCGTGTGATGATTGAGTTAACTGCACAAATTGTTTGTAGAGCATGTGTGTTTGAACAATATGAAATCTGGGCACCTTGAAAAAAGAACAGGATAACAGCAATGTTCAGGGAACAAGGGAGATAACCTTAAACTCTGGCTGCCTGTGAGCTGGGCGGAACAGAGCCATATTTCTCTTCTTTCAAAAGCAAATAGGAGAAATATCGCTGAATTCTTTTTCTCAGCAAGGAGCATCCCTGAGAAAGAGAATGCATCCCTGAGGGTAGGCCTCTGAAATGGCCGCTTTGGGGATGGCTGTCTTTTACAATCATAGATAAGGGATGAAATAAGCCCTGGTCTCCTGTAGTGCTCCCAGGCTTATTAGGACGAGGAAATTCCCGCCTAATAAATTTTGGTCAGACCAGTTGTCTGCTCTCAAACCCTGTCTCCTGATAAGATGTTATCAGTGACAATGCATGCCTGAAACTTCATTAGCAATTTTAATTTTGCCCCGTCCTGTGGCCTGTGATCTCGCCCTGCCTCCATTTGCCTTGTGATATTTTATTACCTTGTAAAGCATGTGATCTCTGTGACCCACACCCTATTCATACACTCCCTCCCCTTTTGAAAATCACTAATAAAAACTTGCTGGTTTTACGGCTCGGGGGCATCACGGAACCTGCCGACATGTGATGTCTCCCCTGCACACCCAGCTTTAAAATTTCTCTCTTTTGTACTCTTTCCCTTTATTTCTCAGACTGGCCGACACTTAGGGAATATAGAAAAGAACCTACGTGAAATATCGGGGATGAATTTCCCCCAATATCTGGCACCAGGCTGGAGTGCAGTGGCACAATCTCTGCTCACTATAACCTCCGCTTCCCAGGTTCAAGTGATCCTTCTGCCTCAGCCCCCCTAGTAGCTGGGATTACAGGCACATGCCACCATGCCCAGCTAATTTTTGTATTTAGTAGAGACAGGGTTTTGCCATGTTGGCCAGGCTGATCTTGAGCTCCTGACCTCTGGTGATCCATCTGCCTTGGCCTCCCAGAGTGATAGGATTACAAGCGTGAGCCACCACACCCAGCCTTAGATTTTCTTTTTACACCTAGTGGAATGGGAAACAAATCGTTTTGTTGTCGTTGTTGTTGTTGTTGATGGTTTGTTTTGAGGAAGGGTCTAACTCTGTCACCCAGCCTGCAATACGGTGGCACAATCATGGCTCACTCCAGCTTTGACCTCCCAGGCTCAAGCAATCTTCCCACCTCAGCCTCCCAGGTAGCTGGGACTGCAGGCATACACCACCACACCTGGCTATTTTTCAATATTTTTTGTAGAGACAGGGTATCACTATGTTACCCAGGCTGGTCTCGAACTTCTGGGCTCAAGCAATCCTCCTGCCTCAGCCTCCCAAAGTGTTGGGATTATAAGTATAAGCCACTGTGCTTGATGGAAAAAAATAGTTTTATAACAAGTACCTACATGTTATACAAAGGACTTTGACATGTGTCCATGTGATCTCTCTCTATATATATTTTAAATTTTTTGTAGAGACGGGGTCTTGCTATGTTGCTCAGGCTGGTCTCAAACTCCTGGCCTCAAGCGATCCTCTCGCCTCAGCCTCCCAAAGTGCTGGGATTACAGGCATAAGCCACCATGCCTAGCTTGATTGTCACAAAATAATTTATCTTGCTAGAACTCTACATAGATTCAAGTTATTTCTAAAAATGTGTCTTAGCATTTTAAGCATATTTCTTACATTTTTGTTTTTTTATGTAACCTTCACATGTATTAAATTTTTGTTTCTTAAAGTTACAATTTATTTCTTAAATGTACATCTCTGTGTACAAAGTAAAAAATGTTAATTCTAATCAGTATGAAATCCAGATAGTGAAACACATACTTCCTCATAAATTTATGCTAGTTGCATAAGTTATTAAATCTTAATATTTAAAAATTCTATATGAATAGAATGATCAACATAATACTTTTATTTCTTTTTCCTTTCTCAACAAAAACTTATGTCTATGAGACTTTTCATAATGCCTAATTAGACTTCAGTCACCTGATGTTGAAAGTTGTGCCTGTCTGTACGTTGCTATAACTTCCTAAAGGTTAGAAGATGTAATGGCCTAGGGCTTTTTTCTATTAATTTTATAGAGTAATTGTCCTAACTCTTTAATCATGCAAAGTAATGGGAGGCAAGAATAAATAAAATTTGAGGGTAATTCAGAGTGGTTTATCTAACAGTTTCCACCATCTCCGTATTCCCTACTCCTCTCTATGCCCTGATTGACAGGGAATTACAGTTATCCCTCTTCTCAGTTCTCCACTGGCCCTTCAAAACCTAGGCAAAAAAAGGATGAGAAACACCCGTCAAGTAGAGGATCAACCTCTTAAAATTGAGGTTGGGCTATAAATGCAAATGGATGAAAATATTTGCAAAGTAGCTTCACATGCCTTTGAAAAACTATTTGAACTCTTTTTGTTCCAGATAAATGAGCCATCATTGTCATCGAAAAGGAAAATGGTAAGAATAAAGTTTACTTCATATTATGCTTTAGATTTGTTAATACTTTTCTCTTAGGTCTGTTTATCTACATAGTAGTATCGTACATCTGTGAAATGTAGCTATTGGCCAGGTGTGGTGGCTCACACCTGTAATCCCAGCACTTTGGGAGGCTGAGGAGGGCGGAGCACTTGAGACCAGAATTTCAAGACCAGCCTGGCCAAAATGGTGAAACCCTGTCTCTACCAAAAATACAAAAATTACCTGCACGTGGTGGCACACGCCTGTAATCCCAGCTACTCTGGAGGCTGAGGCACGAGAACCACTTGAATCTGGGAGGTGAAGGTTTCAGTGAGCCAAGATCACGTCACTGCACTCCAGCCTGGGTGACAGAGTGAGACTGTTTAAAAAAAAAAAAAGAAAAGAAAGTGTAGCTATTACATGCAGCCATAAAAAATGATGAGTTCATGTCCTTTGTAGGGACATGGATGAAATTGGAAATCATCATTCTCAGTAAACTATCGCAAGAACAAAAAACCAAACACCACATATTCTCACTCATAGGTGGGAATTGAACAATGAGATCACATGGACACAGGAAGGGGATTATCACACTCTGGGGACTGTGGTGGGGTCGGGGGAGGGGGGAGGGATAGCATTGGGAGATATACCTAATGCTAGATGACGAGTTAGTGGGTGCAGCGCACCAGCATGGCACATGTATACATATGTGACTAACCTGCACAATGTGCACATGTTCCCTAAAACTTAAAGTATAATAAAAATATATATATATATTAAAAAAAAAAAAAGAAATTGTAGCTGTTACATCGAGTTCATATTAGGACTTTGAGCTTTTTTCCAGATACTAAAAGGACCAAATTAAACAATCATATCTATAGCTGCTTTTAATTTTGTTAGATGAAAATTTATGCAAGTAAACAAACCAACATATGTTTGAAATTTAATTATTTTTTAAATGAAAGTGATTCTCTGAAACTTTCTTCACTTGTATTTAAAGTTCTGTGCTGTTCTTTGTATCCTTCTCACCTTGCTTTCAGATGCCAAATTTTTTACTACACTCACAGGACAGTTAAAAAAGAAATTAATAATAATAATACTTTTTTTTTTTTTTTGAGATGGAGTCTCTGTCGCCCAGGCTGGAGTGCAGTGGCGCTATCTCGGCTCACTGCAAGCTCCGCCTCCCAGGTTCACACCATTCTCCTGCCTCAGCCTCCCGAGTAGCTGGGACTACAGGTGCCCACCACCGCGGCCGGCTAATTTTTTGTATTTTTAGTGGAGACGGGGTTTCACCATGTTAGCTAGTTTCACGAGGTCAGGATGTTCTCGATCTCCTGACCTCGTGATCCGCCCGCCTCGGCCTCCCAAAGTGCTGGGATTATGGGTGTGAGCCAGCATGCCCGGCCAATAATACTTTTTTTTAAAGATGCCAAATTTTGTAGTGTCAGGGAATTTCTATTCCACAATTTACCAACTGTGTGGCAGCAGACAAATTATTTAACCTTTCTATGCCTGCATTTCTTCATCTGTGAGATTGCAATAATAATAATTCATACCTCGCAAGTTTGCTGAGAGGACTCAGTGAGATGCTGTTATCATTATTTACATATATGTAATAATTTATTTTAATAATCATAATTTTACCCTCATTGAAAATTTTACCCTCATTTTTTGAGATACTGGACATTATTATTATTATTATTATTATTATTATTATTATTATTATTATTTTTAGACAGAGTCTTGCTCTGTCGCCCAGGCTGGAGTGCAGTGGTGCGATCTCAGCTCACTGCAACCTTCGCCTCCCAGGTTCAAGCAATTCTCCTGCCTCAGCCTCCTGAATAGCTGGGATTACAGGCGCCCGCCACCACACCCAGCCAATTTTTGTATTTTTAGTAGAGACAGGATTTCACCATGTTGGTCAGGCTGGTCTCGAACCCCTGACCTCGTGATCCACCCGCCTTAG
The DNA here is from genome assembly GCF_000001405.40 of Homo sapiens. Lineage (NCBI taxonomy): Eukaryota > Metazoa > Chordata > Mammalia > Primates > Hominidae > Homo > Homo sapiens. The sequence goes on from NW_003315917.2 coordinate 210,026, forward strand.
CCTCCCAAAGTGCTGGGATTACAGGCGTGAGTCACCGCGCCCGGCCTGGACATTATTTCTTAGCAAGGAGTTGAGAATTCAGTCTTTGGATTTGTTTCTCTGAAAAGAGAGCATATTTACTTGGTTGAAAATTCAAAAGGGTCTGTCACCCAGGCTGAGGGCAGCCGCAAACTCCTGGGCTCAAACAATCCTCCCACCTTAACCTCCCAAGTAGCTGGGACTACAGGCATGCACCACCATGCCAGTTAATTTTTAAATAATTTTTAGTAGAGAAGAGGTCTCACTATGTTGCCTGGGCTGGTCTTAAGTGATCCTCCTGCCTCAGCCTCCCAAAGCACTGGGATTACAGGTGTGAGCCACCTCACCCAGCCAGCAAGTGAACTTCAGAATCAGGCAATCTAAATTTGAGTACTAGGTCAGCTACTTACTAGCTCTGCGATCCTGGGGAAATTGCTTACTTTCTCTGAACTTCAGTTTCCTGTCTGTTGTTTGGTTTAATACTAGGGGGTGCCTTCTTATTTTGTGTTTTAATTAATATAATTTTTAAAAGCAAATAAGACTACTTTTAAAAGAAATAATAGATATAAGATCACATAGAGACAGCAACAAATTCTGAAGTCTGTGCTTTAAGTGCTGTGCAGGTTTATATTATAAGCTAGAAAAGCCGGAATCTAATGTGGGCATGGAACGTGATGGTATGGGTTTGAGGTCAGGGGCCTGTGCATTATTATATTATACACTCAAAGGGAGAGAGAATCAAGAATTGGAGAAATAAATGCATACTGAAACACATAGCTAGTTCTCCCTATATCTTTTCCTTTTTTTTTTTTGGTTTGTTTTTTTGAGACAGAGTCTCACTCTGTCACCAGGCTGGAGTGCTGTGGCACGATCTCGGCTCACCGCAACCTCCGACTTCCTGGTTCAAGCAATTGTCCTGCCTCAGCCTCCCTTAGTTCTCTCTATTTCTAACCTGACAGATATTCATTCAGCCCATTTTTAAGTTGAAAAGTTTAATAATTATATTCATAACATTACTTAGACTAGTTTTTGCTGGAAGCAAAGAACGGTCATGTTACTCTGGGGCACTGGGACATTTTCCCCTTTCCTTTGACATGTCTGTCATCAAGAGTACTGTCTAAGAGTGGCCTTTCCCGTGCTGGAGCTTAATGCAGTCTTCCCACAAAAGCCTGACGAAGATTTAATTCTTTGTCTCATATGTGGTTTTAGATTTCTTCCCAATAGAGAACAGGTGCAGTGGCTCACGCCTGTAATCCGAGCACTTTGGGAAGCCAAAGCAGGTGGATCTCTTGAGGCCAGGAGTTTGGGACCAGCTTGGCCAACATGGTGAAACCCCATTTCTACTAAAAATACAAAAATTAGCCAGGCATGGTGGTGCATGCCTGTAATCCCAGCTACTCGGGAGGCTGAGGCAGGAGAGTGGCTTGAACTGGGAGGCAGAGGTGGCAGTGAGCAAAGATCGTGCCACTGCACTCCAGCCTGGGTGACAGAGCGAGACTATGTCTCAAAAAAAAAAAAGTTTTTTCCCAATAGAGTTTTCCAAACTGATGATCGGGAAGGTTCATCCAAAAAGAGCAGAAAAAAAAGTTAAGACCATAAAAATAAAAAAAAATTTATGTAGAAAACAAATTAATGATGGACCTTCTGCCCAAAGCAGCTTTGACCAGGAGATCTGAGATTGATGCTGGGACTGCTGCTGAGATCCAGAGGATCAACAAGCTCATAGCAGCTTCCTCAGCACCATGAGATCTGGATTGTTAAACATTTAGGAGTTAAACCATGTGTCCATATGGGGGTCAAAAAAAATAAAACAGAAGTTAAAGAGAAATAGAAATTCATTTATTAAAGCCAAAAATGCTCCCCCTAATGTTTAATACCATTATTCGTTTTCAAGACTAAGTATATAGGAATTCATTAGGATGAAGAAATGGCATCCTAATCAGCAAGAAATACAGCAGAATAAATACTAACTTCAAAATGTGTTGCCTAAAAATATCCTGGCTTAATTTCATTTCCTCGGGGTACTCTGCTCGCCGCTCATGTTTTTGCAGATTGGGAGACCAAGTGGCGAGGCATGCTTTCTACATCTAGGTGATCTGGCTTCTGTCCCACCTAGAGCCATGGTTGGAGAGCTTTTCCTTTTCATAACCTTCCCCTAGGGCTGGTTAGCAGCCTCCACACCTAATACAATCTAAAGGGTGTGCTATTTGGTGAGTTAAAGTGCTAGTGGTTTTTAGAATGAGCTAACATTAAACCAAAGCCAGTTTCAGGGTAAGGAAATCAGGAAACAAAGGATTTTTAAAGCTTCCTGGCAAGATGAAGATTAAGGTTTTAAAATCCTGTTTGGTTTTTTATTTGCAGTGAAGTAGGGGCCCTCCCAAGCCACTCTCAGTTTAGTTCAGCAAGCATTTCTCGAAGGCTTAAGGGGTCAGTAGAGGGGAGGGAGGTTACTGCTCCAAAGAGGAATCATGTTCCCAAGCACGATCTTACTTTCCAGTAGCAGTATGGCATTGCTTGCCCTGTCCATCACAAGCTCACTTCTAGTGTGCTACTAGAACTTCATGCAACTTTAGGATATGAACAATATACATTTAAGCTAACAGGTTTCTTTATGTTATTCATTTAAAGTATCAATGAACCAGGTCAGGCACCGTGGCTCACACCTGTAACCCTAGCACTTTGGGAGGCCAAGGAGGGAGGATAGGTTGAGCCCAGGAGTTCGAGGCTGCAGTGAGCTATATGATCTCGCCACTGCACTCCAGCCTGGGTGGCACAGTGAGACTCTGTATCAAAAAAAAAAAAAAAAAGTATCAATAAACCAAATAGTTCTGGGTTATTTATTTATTTGTTTGTTTGTTTTTTGAGACAGGGTTTCACTCTGTCACCCAGGCTGAGTAGAGTGGCATGATCACGATTCACTGCAGCCTTGACCTCCTGGGTTTAAGTAATCCTCCCACCTCAGACTCCCAAGTAGCCTGGACCACAGGTGCATGCCACCACACCCAGTTAATTTTTTATTTTTTGGCCAGGCACTGTGGCTCATGCCTGTAATCCTAGCACTTTGGGAGGCTGAGGTGGGTGGATTGCCTGAGCTCAGAAGTTTGAGACCAGACTAGGAAATATGGTGAAACCCCATCTCTACTAAAATACAAAAAATTAGCCAGTCATGGTGGTGTGCACCTGTAGTCCCAGCTATTCAGGAGGCTGAGGCAGGAGAATTGCTTAAACCTGGAGGCAGAGGTTGCAGTGAGTCGAGATCGTGCCACTGCACTCCAGCCTGGGCCACAGAACGAGACTCTGTCTCAAGAAAAAATATATTTTTTTAATTTTTTTTTTAGAGACAGCATCTCCCTATGTTGCCCAGGCTGGTCTCAAACATCTGGGCTCAAGCAGTCCTCCTGCTTTGGCCTCCCAAAGTGCTAGGATTACAGGAATGAGCTACTGCACGTGGCCTAGTTCTGGGTTTTATTTATTTATTTATTTATTTTTGAGACGGCGTCTCGCTCTGTCACCCAGGCTAGAGTGCAGTGGCACAATCTCAGCTCCTTGCCACCTCCGCCTCCCGGGCTCAAGCCATTCTCCTGCCTCAGCCTCCTGAGTAGCTGGGATTACAGGCGCACACCACCACATCCGGCTAATTTTTGTATTTTTAGTAGAGACAGGGTTTCACCATGTTGGCCAGGCTGGTCTTGAACTCCTGACATTAAATGATCCACCCCCCTCGGCCTCCCAAAGTGCTGAGATTACAGGCGTGAGCCACCTTGCCTGGCCCAGTTCTGGGTTTTAATTGTGGCTTTTCTACTTAATAGTTATGTGACCTTGGAGAATTGACTTGACCTCTCTGAACCTCACTTCTGTTTTTAATTTTTTTTTTTTAAGAGACAGGGTCTTGCTCTGATGCCCAGGCTGGAGTGCAGTGGACCATTCACAGCTCCCTGCAGCCTCGAACTCCTGGCCTCAAGTGATCCTCCCACCTCCCACCTCAGCCTCCCAAAGTGTTAGGCTTACACGTGTAAGCCCCTGCACCTGGCCTCAACCTCACTTCTTTTCTTTTCTTTTTTTTTTTTTTTGAGACAGAGTCTCACTCTGTTGCCCAGGCTGGAGTGCAGTGGCGTGATCTTGGCTCACTGCAAGCTCCGCCTCCTGGGTTCACACCATTGTCCTGCCTCAGCCTCCCAAGTAGATGGGATTACAGGCGCCCACCACTATGCCCGGCTAATTTTTATATTTTTAGTAGAGACAGGGTTTCACCATGCTGGCCAGGCTGGTCTCGAACACCTGACCTCGTGATCCACCGACCTCGGCCTCCCAAGGTGCTGAGATTACAGGCATGAGCCACCGTGCCCGGCCAACTCATTTCCTTTTCTAATCCACTCAGTGGTTACTTACAATTAAATCATCCCAAATTGCCATTATCATTACTTTCTCTTTCCATTTAAGTAGCCTTGTTCCATTTTTATCCTTGAATTTATTTTGAATTACATTTTTTATTCTTTTACGTTTAGTTGGGGTGTAAATTCTAAATAGGTAAGTTCTTAAGACTGCGTGTTTGGCATTGCATCATCCACCTTTGACATGTACACGATTGGGGCTGGAGTGTGTTTTACCTACTGTGTATTACCATATCCCAAATGTGATTCCCTTAGCTATTACAGAAACGTTCAGAACAACTTTGTGACTATAAAACATATAATTGTGATGTGAAATGTTAACTCTTATTTCCACTTTTCTTCCTCCTGTCTTCCTCCCCATTTTCTTCTTCTTCTTCTTTTTTTTTTTTTTTTTTTTTTTTGAGCCAGAGTCTCACTCTATCGCCCAGGCTGGAGTGCAGTAATGCAATCACAGCTCACTGTAACCTCTACCTCCTGGACTCAAGCAATCCTCCCACCTCAGCCTCCAAGCCTCCCAAGTAGCTACTAGCGGACTACAGACACACACCGCTGCATCTGCCAGATTTTTTTTTTTTTAAACAGAGTCTCAGTCTGTCTCCCAAGCTGGAGTGCAGTGGTACAATCTTGGTTCACTGCAACCTCCACCTCCTGGGCCCAAGTGATTCTCCTGCCTCAGCCTCCCGAGGAGCTGGGATTATAGGCACCCGCCACCACTCCCAGCTAATTTTTGTATTTTTAATAGAGATGGGGTTTTACCATGTTGGCCAGGCTGGTTTCAAACTCCTGATCTCAAGTGGTCAGCCCACCTCGGTTTCCCAAAGTGCTGGGATTACAGGCGTGAGCCACTGTGCCTGGCCTTAAACTTTTTATAGAGACAGGGTCTTGCCATGTTGGCCAGGCTGGTCTTGAACTCCTGGCCTCATGTGATCCTCCGGCTTTGTCCTCCCAAAGTGCTAGGATTACAGGTTTGAGCCACCCCACCTGATCTTCTTCCTCATTTTCTAAGAATGAATTCAGAGGGTTTTTTTCTACTTATGTTTATTAACAAATCCTCTTTTTCTCCCTAACTGCAGTGTGAAATGGCCACCAGTGGTGACAGACAAAGAGACTCAGAAGTTAATTTCAAGGAACTGAGAACAGCAAAAATGAAACCTGAACTACTGAGTGGACACATCCCCCCAGGCCACATTCCTAAACCTATCGTGATGCCCGACTATGTGGCGTGAGTGTCAGTCTGAATTCTTCCTCAAGGTAGAAGTTGAGGGGCCCCATTTGGTCCTTTCATTTTCCAGTTTGTCTCCAAGTTAATACTCTGTGCTTAAAATCGTGTATGTAAATAGTTGTTATCTGAGAGGTAATGTATTGAATTGAAGGTACAATATGATCAGTAAGGAATAAGATAAGCTGATTTCCCATTCAGCTTCTTTTAGTGAAACAATTATATCTTTGGCTTATGTTTTTCCCCTAGAAAATACCCTGTGATTCAGACAGATGATGAGCGAGAACGCTATAAAGCTGTGTTCCAAGACCAGTTTTCAGAGTACAAAGAGCTGTCTGCAGAAGTTCAGGCTGTCCTGAGGAAGTTTGATGAGCTGGATGCAGTGATGAGCAGATTGCCACATCATTCGGAAAGCCGACAGGTTAGTATGTGCAGCTGCCTAGGAGGAGCACTGAAATCTAGAGGATGAATAAAATCTGGCTTTTTTTTTTTTTTTTTTTTTTTTCTGTGAGACAGAGTCTTGTTCTGTTGCCAGGCTGGAGTGCAGTGGCACAATCTTGGCTTGCTGCAACCTCCACCTCCTGGGTTCAAGCAATTCTCCTGCCTCAGCCTCCCGAGTAGCTGGGATTACAGGCACATGCCACCACACGTAGCTAATTTTTTTCTATTTTTAGTGGAGACGCGGTTTTGCCATGTTGGCCAAGAGTGGCCTCAAGTGATCCACCTGCCTTGGCCTCCCAGAGTGCTGGGATTACAGTCATGAGCCACCGCATTTGGCATAAAATCTGGCTTTTTTTTTTTTTAAGGCTAGAATCTCACTCTGTCACCCAGGCTGGAGTGCAGTGGCGTGATCTTGGCTCACTGCAAGCTCCACCTCCCGAGTTCATGCCATTCTCCTGCCTCAGCCTCCCAAGTAGCTGGGACTAAGGCGCCTGCCACCACGCCCAGCTAATTTTTTTGTATTTTTAGTAGAGATGGGGTTTCACCGTGTTAGCCAGGATGATCTTGATCTCCTGACCTCGGGATCCACCTGCCTCGGCCTCCCAAAGTGCTGGGATTCAGGTGGGAGCCACCACGCCTGGCCCCCAAAATCTGGCTTTTAAAAAAATTTATAACCATTTACATCTGCTTTCTGTGTCTAGGAAAGCATTTGAGATCCTCAAGGTGTCTAGTCAAGATGATAATTCAAATTATGTAACTTAATATCTTTTGTCTTCAATTATTAAACAGTATTTCTTCTTTTTTTTTTTTCACTCTGTGCTTACCCATATTTTATTTTCTTACTTAAGTAAAATACGAATTTGCCTAAGATAGATACTGAGTCAGTCAGGGTCCCAAAGGAGACAGATAGCACATTCAAACTAGGATAATTCACAAAGGTTTATTCAGAAAGGGAATGTAGGGAAGCCACCAGGGGCATTGCATTCCCCTGCTAAGCCAGAGCCCAGCAGTTAGCACCCCAGGCCCAAAGGCAGAGCGCCCACTGAGTAAGAGTAGAGAGCAGAAATGGCCAGGCGCAGTGGCTTATGCCTGTAATCCCAACACTTTAAGAGGCCAAGGTGGGCAGATCGCTTGAGCCCAGGCATGCAAGACCAGCCTGGACAACATGGTGAAACCCTGTCTCTACAAAAAATATAAAAATTAGCCGGGCATGGTGGCATGCACCTGTAGACCCAGCAGGAGGCTGAGGTGCAAGGATTGCCTGAACCCAGGAGGTGGAGTTTGCAGTGAGCAGTGATTTTGTCACTACACTCCAGCCTGAAGGACAGAGTGAGACCATGTCTCCAAAAAAAAAAAAAAAAGCAAGCAGATATGAGATATGCTACAAATGTGAGCTGCTGGACACACACATCAGACAGGTAGCTGTGATTATGACAAAGAGGAAAACCAGGAGTAGATATGGTAGTTACAGAGGCTTAAGCTTTTTCGTAGTGCTCTTCTGCACCCCCCACATTTTTCACATTTTGAAATAGGAATATTGAAATAGGAATGCCTTATAACCTGTGCCATTTTTTAATTTTTATTTTATTTTATTTTTTTGAGATGGAGTTTTGCTCTTGTTGCCCAGGCTGGAGTGCCATGGCGCGATCTCGGCTCACTGCAACCTCTGCCTCCCGGGTTGAAGCGATTCTCCCACCTCGGCCTCCCAAGTAGCTGGGATTCAGGCATGCGCCACCATGCCCAGCTAATTTTGTATTTTTAGTAGAGACGGGGTTTCACCATGGTGGTTAGGCTGGTCTCAAACTCCTGACCTTATGATCCACCCGCCTTAGCCTCCCAAAGTGCTGGGATTACAGGCGTGAGCCACCGTGCCTGGCCACCTGTGCCATTTTTTAATCAGATGTACTCTTTTTTTTTTTTTTTTTTGAGATGGAGTCTTGCTCTGTCACCCAGACTGGAGTGCAGTGGTGCAATCTCGGCTCACTGCAACCTTTGCCTCCCAGGTTACGCGATTCTCCTGCCTCAGCTTCCTGAGTAGATGGGACTATAGGTGCACACCCGGCTAATTTTTGTATTTTTAGTAGAGGCAGGGTTTCCCCATTTAGGCCAGGCTGGTCTCGAACTCCTGACCTCAGGTGATCCACCTACCTCAGCCTCCCAAAGTGCTGGTATTACAGGCATGAGCCACTGCATCCGGCCCAGATGTACTCTTTTTAATTGAGATCTCATTCACATATAATAAACCCACCCTTTTAAAGTGTACAATTCAGTGAATTTTAGTATAGTTACAGAGTTTTGCAATCAGCACCACTCAAATTCCACAACAGTTTTATCACCCCAAAAAGAAACCCTATATTGGCTGGGTGTGGTGGCTCATGCCTGTAATCTCAGCAGTTTGGGATGCTGAGGCAGGCAGATCACTTGAGGTCAGGAATTCGAGACCAGCCTGGCCAACATGGTGAAATGCTGTCTCTACTAAAAGTACAAAAATTAGTTGGGCATGTTGGCAGGCTGAGTAATCTCAGCTACTTGGGAGGCTGAGGCAGGAGAATCACTTGAACCCAGGAGGTGGAGGTTGCAGTGGGCCAAGATTGCGCCACTGCACTCCAGCCTGGGCAACAGAGTGAGACCCTGTCTCAAAAAAAAAAAAAAAAAAAAAAAAATGAAACCCTTTACGAATTAGCAGTTATTTCCCATTCTCAGCTCTGTCCAACCATTGACAACCACTAATCTACTTTCTGTCCGAATGGATTTGCCTAGTTTGAACATTTCATATCAATCTTTTGTGTCTGGCTTCTTCATTTTGCATAATGTTTTCAAGGTTCATCCATATTTTAGCATAAGTCAATACATATTCCTTTTTGTGGTGGAATAATATTCTGCTATATGGATATACCACATTTTGTTTATCCATTTATCAAGAGATAGACATTTGGTCATTTCCAAATGTCTATATAGTCATTTCCACTCATTGGCTGTTACGAATAATGCTGGTATAAATATTTGTGTAATATTCTGTCTTTTTAAAAGAGGCTGTATTAATCTATTACATGTATGATTAAATTTTAAAAACACAGCTTTGTAAAAACTAAATGTCGGTCTGGCTGTGGTGGCACATGCCTGCAGTCCCAGCTACTTGGGAGGCTGAGGCAGGCAAGTCGTGTGAACCCGGGAGGCGGAGGTTGCAGTGAGCCAAGATCATGCCACTGCACTCCAGCCTGGGCGACAGAGCCAAAAAAAACCAAAAAACAAACAAAAAAAACTAAATGTCAAATTTATGTATGGGAACACACACACACACACACACACACACACACACACACACACACACACATATATAAATTTTTTACCTGAGAAGTTAGGTGTCTTTGTTTCAATCACAGACTCTTTGTTAAGTGTGCATTTAAATCACTTATCGTTATGAGTTAACTAAGCCAAATGTGTATTACAGTAACATTTTCCTAATCCTGGAGCAATGGAATGGTGTTGGCTAAGAGACGCCAGTACCAGGAAGCAAAAGAAATTCAGCAAATATTGAGGTTGAATGTCAGTACCATTTGGAAAATAAGCAAGGCCCACAGGTCTAAGAAGGGTGACCTAGTCTCTCAGAGGCCGTCAAAGGAGTGCAGGAAGGCATGAGGCCCCAGGAATCTGGATCAGCACAGGCTGGGAAATGCAGGCTTGTTGGGAGAAATAATGAAGAAAATCCTGACCTGTAAGGCCGGGTGTGGTGGCTCACACCTGTAATCCTAGCAGTTTGGGAGGCTGAGGCGGGCAGATCACCTGAGGTTGGGAGTTCCAGACCAGCCTGACCAACATGGAGAAACCCCATCTCGGCCAGGCACAGTGGCTCATGCCTGTAATCCCAGCACTTTGGGAGGCCAAGGTGAAACCGCGTCTCTACTAAAAATACAAAAATTAGCCAGGCATGGTGGTGTGTGCCTGTAATTCCAGCTACTCAGGAGGCAGAGACAAGAGAATTGCTTGAACCCGGGAGTCGGAGGTTGCAGTGAGCTGAGATCGTGCCACTACACTCCAGCCTGGGCGACAGAGCGAGACTTCATCTCAAAAAAAAAAAAAAAGAAACCATCCCAACTAAAAATACAAAATTAGCCGCACGTGGTGGTGCATGTGTGTAATCCCAGCTACTCGGGAAGGCTGAGGCAGGAGAATCGCTTGACCCAGGAGGCGGAGGCTCTGGTGTGCCAAGATCGCGCCATTGCACTCCAGCCTGGGCAACAAGAGCGAAACTCTGTCTTAAAAAAAAAAAAAAAAAAAAGCTGGGTGCGGTGGCTCACACCTGTAATCCCAGCACTTTGGGAGGCCGAGGCAGGCGGATCATGAGGTCAGGAGATCGAGACCAGCCTGGCCAGCATAGTGAAACCCCGTCCCTACTAAAAATACAAAAAATTAGCCGAGCATGGTGGTGGGCGCCTGTAATCCTTGCTACTCGGGAGGCTGAGGCAGGAGAATGGCTTGAACCTGGGAGGCGGAGGTTGCAGTGAGACGAGATTGTGCCATTGCACTCCAGCCTGGGTGACAGAGTGAGACTCTGTCTCAAAAAAAAAAAACAAAGAAAATCTTGACCTTGACCTGTAATCTTTGAGCCAACACCCAGTGGTATCTGGTTTGTGTGCTTTGTATGAATGGACAAGGGCTGCAGCACATGGTCTGCAGTTGGGAAATCAAGAGGCTCCTGATGACAGTACAGGTTGAGAGACCAAGTCTTCCCATGATGTTTCCACAAAATATCAACAACAGCCATTACCTGTGATTTTTAACAAGACAGGGCTTGTAAGTAACCCAATGGCAGGCCCACGGTTATTATTATCAGTGTATCCTCCAGTCCTTATCTAAAGTAGAAATATTAACCATATTACAAAAGTTAGCTTCTCCTTGGCCACAGGCTGAGCTTTGTCCTGGGCAGGAGTCCACAGGCTCATTCGTTTTCCCACCATGTCCCCATGGAAGCATGTGAGGCATTTCAAAGCCCAGTGGGCCTGTTTGGAGGCAGGTTCTCCCACAGACATGGTTGTGCACCACTGAAAAATAGTCACATGACTTTTCTGAGCCCATAAAGTAGAAATATTGCCCCAAACAATCCCTCTGGTCCTCACCACTCCTTAAATTCAGTGACAGACTCTAGATGGATGTTACAGCTCATCTCTGCCTGCATCTCCAGCACAGCAGTGCTAACCCCAATAGCAAGTTTATTCCTTGTCCAGGATCTGTTATTACAGATTACAATTAAATCACCAGGTTTATCTTCACTGCTGGCAAGCATTCAAAACACAAACATACTCATGATCTCAGTATGTAAAAGAGATTGAAGAATTAAAATAGTTCAGGCAAGGGGGCTCATGGCTGTAATCCCCACACTTTGAGAGACAAGGCAGGAAGAGTGCTCAAAGCCAGGAGTTCAAGATGAGCTTGGGCAACATAGCAAGACCGCATCTACACACAAAAAAGTAAAAGTTAGCGGCCGGGCATGGTGGCTCACACCTGTAACCCCAGCACTTTGGGAGGCCGAGGTGGGTGAATCACAAGGTCAGGAGTTCGAGACCAGCCAGGCCAACATGGTGAAACCCCATCTCTACTGAAAATACAAAAAATTAGCTGGGCGTAGTGGCAGGTGCCTGTAATCCCAGCTACTCGGGAGGCTGAGGCAGGAGAATCACTTGAACCTAGGAGGCGAAGGTTGCAGTGAGCCGAGATCGCACCACTGCACTCCAGCCTGGGTGACAGAATTGAGACTCCATCTCAAAAATAAAAAAAAATAAATATAAATAAAAATTAGCCAGGCCTGGTGATGTGCCGTATAATCCCAGCTACTTGGGAGGCTGAGACAGGAGGATCACTTGAGCCCAAGAAGTTTTGGTTACAGTGAGCTGTTACACCACTGCCTTCCAGCTTGGGCAACAGAGCAAGACCCTGTCTCAAAAAAAAAAAAAAAAAAGAAGAAGAAAATATACTGGGAAAAGGATATGGGTCAGTGATAGAAAAAGTTCTCAGGCCAAGCTTTTATTTTATTAGTTTTTTATTTATTTATTTATTTTTGAGACAGAGTCTCTGTTGCCCAGGCTGGAGTGCAGTGGCGTGATCTTGGCTCACTGCAACCTCCGCCTCCTGGGTTCAAGTGATTCTACTGTCTCAAACTCCCAAGTAGCTGAGATTACAGGTGCCCGCCACCATGCCTGGCTAATTTTTGTATTTTTAGTAGAGATGGGGTTTCGCCATGTTGGCCAGGCTGGTCTTGAACTCCTGATCTCAGGTGATCCACCCGCCTCAGCCTCCCAAAATGCTGGGATTACAGGTGTAGGGCAAGCTTTTAGAACTATAAATTACTGGCTGGGCACAGTGGCTCATGCGTGTAATCCCAGTACTTTGGGAGGCCAAGGTGGGTGGATCACTTGAGGCCAGGAGTTCGAGACCAGCCTGGGAAACATGGCAAAACTCCATCTCTACTAAAAATACAAAAATTAGCTGGGCATGGTGATGCACACCTATAATTCCAGCTACTTGGGAGGCTGAGGCTCAATAACAGCTTGAGCCAGAGAGGTGGGAGTTGCAGTGAGCTGAGATCACGCCACTGTACTCCAGCCTGGGCGACAGAGGGAGACTGTCTTAAAATGAAAAAAAAAACGCTGTAAATTATTATATTTATTTATTTATTAGGTTTGCATTGTCTGACAATCTCTATGCATAGGTTTGCATGGATGAACGAGGGCATTGCTATAGTAATGTGTTCCCTTTGGATAGGCCGTTCAACTCCTTAACAAAGTTCGTATTTATTATAAAACTTAGAAAAAAGTTACAAGGAGCCTTATATTAGCTATTTTCAAAAGTTGCATACTCTCAAACTTCTTAATCCCAACACCTAATAACTCAAAAAAGAACTTTCCAAAAAGGATGAACATAATCATAGCTAATGTGGTTATTATGTGGCAAGCACTTTATAAGGATCATTTCAAATAAGTGAACCTTCTTACAACCCTTTGAGATCATTATGGTTTTATTTCCATTTTACCAGTAAGGAAACTGAACTTGCCAGCTGTATGACCCTGGGCAAGCTATGTATCCTCCCTAAGGGCCTGGGGCTTGGGTCTGGTTGCATGTGGTCAGGGCCCTTTCTCTCTTTTATCGCCTGGGCCTAGCAGACAGTAAGCCTTCAAATATTTGCCTGTGAATTGAATTTTTGTGTGTGAATGTTTTCATTATTTTCTTAGGTAAAAATTATTTTTTGTTCTAATTCTCAGTGTGCTTTGAGATATGATTTGAGTAAATGCAAATGTTTTAACTTAAGTATACAATGTATTATTTTTAGGAACATGAGAGAATTTCAAGAATCCATGAAGAGTTTAAGAAAAAAAAGAATGTGAGTAAAACAGTTTTCTTCAAACTGTATTCTTATCCAAGTACATATGTGATAATTTACAGACTCTAGATTCTGTTAGCTAAAATAGTTCCTTTTTGTATTTCATGGGATGCTCCTTTTAAGAGAAAATGGCTGCTGGATGCCATTTCTTCTCATGTCTGCTCTGAATACATTTTGCTGTGTCCTGATTTAGCAACCTAGAGAAATGAGCATTGATCAGGAATTCTCCACCTGTTCCTTCAAAAAGATGAACTGATTTTACATCTTTCCAACTCTAACTTAATCTCAAAATCAGTAGAGGTGGCTGGACACTGGCTCAGGCCTGTAATCCCAGCACTTTGGGAAGCCAAGGCGAGTGGAACGCTTGAGCCCAGGAGTTTGAGACCAGCCTGGGCAACATGGCGAAACCTTGTCTCTACAAAAAAATACAAGCATTAGCCGGTAGTGGTGGCACACGCCTGTAGCCCCAGCTACTTGGGAGGCTGAAGTGGGAGGATCACTTGTGCCTGGGAGGCAGAGGTTGCACTGGGAGACAGTACGCCACTGCACTCTAGCCTGGGCAACAAAGTGAAACCCTGTCTCAAAAAGAAAAAAAAAATCAGTAAAGGCTGGAGAGACCGTTTATTAGTATTTTCTATACTTATTACTTTTTCTTTTTTTTTAAAGAGATGGGGTCTTGGCATGTTGCCTAAGCTGGCCTCAAATACCTGGGCTCAAGCAATCCTTCCACCTCAGCCTCCTGAGTTGCTGGGACTACAGGCACATGCCACTGTACCTGGCTTTATCAGATATTAAAATGAAAGGTGTCTTAGCACTTTGTACTTCTGCTTGATTTTGCTGTGAACCTAAAACTGCTCTAAAAAAAAAAGTACATTTAAAAAATATGTAGAGAGCTTAACTGTTACCCTGAGTTCAGAATCTGCTGTAGAGACTTTTGCTATGTATGATCATTTCCTGGGTGACAATGTATGTTTCTGTGTTTTTCACTGAGGAAGCCAGGAGCCAAAATAATACTTATATTTCTTTTACAGGATCCTACATTTCTGGAAAAAAAAGAACGCTGTGATTACCTAAAGAATAAACTTTCTCACATAAAGCAAAGAATTCAAGAATATGATAAAGTAATGAATTGGGATGTACAAGGTTATTCTTAACGCTTATTTGAAACCACTTTATTTTTTTATTTTATTTTATTTTTTTGAGATGAAGTCTCGCTCTGTTACCCAGGCTGGAATGCAGTGGCACAATCTCGGCTCACTGCAACCTCCACCTCCCGGGTTCAAGCAATTCTCCTGTTCAAGCAATTAGCCTCCCCAGTAGCTGGGATTACAGGCGTGCGCTGCCACACCCCGCTAATTTTTGTATTTTTAGTAGAGACGAGGTTTCACCATGTTGGTCAGGCTGGGAAACTACTTTTTTTAAAAAATAGCAAGTTTACTATTTATTTACTGCCTTTTTAATGCTAGCCTCTGTGGTAGAGAAGCAAGCGCTTCCCAAATCAGCTTCCAATTGGTTTAACCAGTATGCAACATTAAAGATTTTACTCAGACATTTTTAAACGAATTCAAATGTTCTAAGGGCCTTTACTAAGAATGGAAAAAATCCTGTGTTCATCTTTCATCTGTGACCAATTTCATATTCATCTATCTCATTTAAATGTGTCATCATTTTAGAGATCGTATCCTGGCAGTGTGATGGGCAAGTGGACCATCAATTCTGGTGCTACTTTTTCCTTTTTTACTCAGGCAGGTTCCTAGGATTTTTCTGGGACAAATTTCTCTTCCTAGAGAAATTCCTAGGGGATTTCTAAAGGATTTTTCTAAGGGAAAAAGGGTGACATCTTTCAAAGGTGTCATTTATTCCCTTGAAAGGTGTTTGAATCCCAGATCAACATTTTCAGACATCCTGATCTTGGGCAAATTGCTTAATCTCTCTGTGCCTGTTTCCTCTTCTGTAAAATGGGGCTAATAATAGTTCCTTCCTCATAGAGTTGTTAGGATTAAAGGAGTTACTAATATGGTAGGAACTATATTAGTGTTTGTGAAGTCTACTGAAGTGTTTGTGAAATGAATAAATTATAAAGAATGAGTCTCAAGAAAAGGTCCTTAATGAGCAAGCCCAACCTACTTAACCAAAAGCCCAAGTGTCTGGTGCCTTTCTGGTTTGTGGTGTTAACTCATGGCCTTAGCCTGGTGCTTCACTGTGGCTCTGTGGCCCCTGGGGTTCCACATGGCCTCCCTGTCTTTCATCAGTGTGACTGTACATCTCTCCATCTCCCCATAGTCCAGCCTGCCCTGGACACATTGAATTGTATGAATGGTATTGCTTTTTTTTTTTTTTTTTTGTGAGACAGAGTCTTACTCTGTTGCCCAGACTGGAGTGCAGTGGTGCGATCTCGGCTCACTGCAAGCTCCGCCTCCCAAGTTCACGTCATTTTCCTGCCTCAGCCTCCCGAGTAGCTGGGACTACAGGCACCTGCCACCACGCCCAGCTAATTTTTTTGTATTTTTAGTAGAGATGGGGTTTCACCGTGTTAGCCAGGATGATCTCGATCTCCTGACCTCATGATCCACCCGCCTCAGCCTCCCAAAGTGTTGGGATTACAGGCGTGAGTCACCGCGCCCAGCTGGTATTGCTTTTCTATTCCCTTTGGACATACATGCTACAGTCCCACAATGTAGCATTTCCTTGGAAACTCCCTTTTTTTTTTTTTTTTGAGATGGAGTTTCGCTCTTGTTGCCCAGGCTGGAGTACAGTGGTATGATCTTGGCTCACTGCAGCCTCTGCCTCCTGGGTTCAAGCGATTCTCCTGCCTCTGCCTCCCAAGTAGCTGGGATTACAGGCACCCACCACCATGCCCAGCTAATTTTTTGTATTTTTAGTAGAGACAGGATTTCACTATGTTGGCCAGGTTGGTCTCAAGCTCCTGACCTCAGATGATCTACCAGCCTCGGCCTTCTGAAGTGCTGGGATTCAGGTGTGAGCCACTGTGCCCAGCAGGGATGCTTCATCTTTCTAAGAATTATCTTGGCTTTGGACTTTATTCATAAATGTTTTATTTCTGTTAGTATGAACAATAGACTGCCTTAACAAAGTTTTTTTTTAAACAAAATCGTTCTTGTTGGATTTTATTCAGCAGCATCTATCATGTAGATAAATTCCCAGGTGTAGCATTACAGCTTCTGACTAATATAGCTGCCATTCAGACAATTAATGTTCAAAGAGTTTTCTAAAGTGATAAAACCAAAGAAAAGCATGTGGAAAAGCAGAAGCTTAGAAAGTTGTGGTCACTGAATGCACTCCCTGGTTTTTATTTGTCAGTGAAATCTTTATGCATTCATTGTTAATATTTTAATTCCATGGCTTTGTAGGCTGTGCTGTGTCTGAAGGGGTAACACCTAGGGAAACATGAGGCCCCTTATGGGACCCCCCAAATGGAACAACTTCACTTTCTCTTTTATGTATTGAGCCCTGTGTTAACATTTCACTTAAGAAGAGCACCAGTGCTTTAAAAAAAAAAAAAAAAAAAAAAAAAAAAAAAAAAAAGGTAAAATATTACCATTTTGATAGACTGTAAAGAGTTAGATTCCTGTTGAAGTGTTAAGGAAATTTAACTTTGTGAAACTTTTAAAATAAAGTTTATAAATGTAGCTAATCTTTGAAAAACCAATGCAGTAACACTGATTTGTAAATGTTGTGGTCAATCCCTAGGTGCATTAAAGTTTCAGTCACCTGCCGTGTGTGTGTGTGCCCTTTTATGTTTGCCTTCCTAGCATTCCTGTGTTCACTGTGCATGTTCTTGAAAATATTTTCACTTGTCAGAAAATAAACTGGAAAGTCATTGAAAACCCGTAGGTCACGATGCTCAGGTGACTCACTGTTTCTCCTTCCCCCATTATTCGCAATAATTCAAAGTCCAGGCCACTATATTAGTTTCCTAGGACTGCCATGACAATGTACTACAAACTGAGTGGCTCAAAACAACTGAAGTGTGTTGTCTCACAGACCTGCAGCCTAGAAGTCTGGAAGCAGGGTGTCAGCTGGGACATGCTCCCTCAAAAACCTGTAGGGGAGTCCTCTTCTAGTTTCTGGTGGTTTGCTGGCCATGTTTGATGTTCCTTGGCTTGTAGATGCATCTCTCCAATCCTCCATTCTCGCATGGCCTTCTCCCTGTCTGGCCATACCAGTCATATTGGATGAGAGGCCCACCTTCTCCAGCATGACCTCCTGTGAACTCATTACATTTGCTAGGACGCTATTTCCAAGTAAAGTCACGTTCTGAGGTACTGGAGGTTAGGAACTTCAGTGTTATCTTTTTGAGAGGCCACAGTTTAGCCTGTAATAGCTACCTTTGGCAAGTTACAAGATTCAGAAGGAAAAGTACTTCCCTGTACATTTTCTTTCTTCCATATTATTTTTTCTTTTATTTTTTGTGATGGAGACTCACTCTGTCGCCCAGGCTGGAGTGCAGTAGTGTGATTGGCTCACTGCAACCTCTGCCTCCTGGGTTCAAGCTAGTCTCCTGCCTCAGCCTCCCAAGTAGCTGGGATTACAGGCACTCACCACCACACCCAGCTAAATTCTATATTTTTAGTAGAGACAGGGTTTCATCTTATGTTGGCCAGGCTGTTCTCGAACTCCTGACCTCAAGTGATCTGCCCGCCTCGGCCTCCCAAAGCAATTCCCCTGCCTCAGCCTTCCAAAGTGCTGGGATTACAGGTGTGAACCACTGCACCCAGCCCTTCCATATTATTTTAACATGTATTCTAATTTGAAAATTAATATGAGGATATGTCAGTATATCTAAAACTTGAAAAAAGTATATGCCAGTTATATGTCAAATGCTTTTATTGTCCCAGATATGTTAGCATTAAAGATACTGAAATCAGTGAAACAGGTAGAGACTTTGGGGGTGGTAATGAAGTACATATTTCTAGAAATTGTTTCTGATATTGAGATGCACCGACATTTGAAAGATACAACACAGGAAAAGTCTACAATTTTTTCTGACCATCTTTTTTTAACTATTATAATTTTTTAAAATAATGAGTATAAAAGCTTAGAAAACAAAAGTCCTACCAGTACCAATTCTATTCCCTGGCAGTATATACTGTTTGCAGTATACCCTCCCAGACCTTTGTGGTGTGTATAATCACCTTTATTTATTTATTTATTTATTTTTACAAAAATGGCTTTAGACATTTTATTTTTGAGATGAAGTATTGCTCTGTCGCCCAGGCTGGAGTGCAGTGGCATGATCTTGGCTCACTGCAACCTCCCCCTCCTGGGTTCAAGTGACCCTCCCACCTCAGCCTCCTGAGCAATGAGGACTACAGACGCATACCACCACGCCCAGCTAATTTATGTATTTTTAATAGAGATGTGATTTTGCTGTGTTGGCCAGGCTGATCTTGAACTCCTGACCTCAAGTGATCTGCCCACCTTGGCCTCCCAAAGTGCTGGGATTACAGGCATGAGCCACCACACCTGGCTGTAAAATCACTTTAAAATTGTCTACTTTAATGCTTTCAATGGGTTTCTTTTTTGGGATTGTTGTTGTTGTTTTGATATGGAGTCTTGCTCTGTTGCCCAGGCTGGAGTGTAGTGGTGCTACCTACCTCCGCTCACCACAACCACCACCTCCTGGGTTCAAGCAATTCTCCTGCCTCCGCCTCCTGAGTAGCTGGGATTACAGGCGCACACCACCATGCCCAGCTAATTTTCGTATTTTTAGTAGAGACAGGGTTTCACCATGCTGGCCAGGCTGGTCTTGAACCCCTGACCTCAAGTGATCTACCTGCCTTGGCCTCCCAAAGTGCTGGGATTACAGGCATGAGCCACCATGCCCGGCTGCTTTCAATGGGTTTTTAAAGGAGAGTATGACAGACCTGCTCGAGCATGTAATAGACTACTTGTCCTATAATAGACAAACTGGGGATAGGCAGAAGGCAGGAGGGATGGTTTAGCCCCGCAGAAGGCGAAGAAGGTGAACTTCTGAGCTCATCACAACCAAGACTCCATTTCTTACTATGTGGCCTTGACAAATTAACATCTCCAACCATCAGCCTCCTTAACTGTGATGTGGCGATAATACCACCTGACGAAATTGTTGTGAAAATTAAATAATGTAAAACACCACGAAGATACTTGCTCAATAACTGGTGGCTAGATACTCAAAATATACTTTTCATTGTGTTAAATAATAAGGTGGCTATAGACTATCAAAATGACTTCTTTTGAATAATAAAAGTTATAAAAAGCTTTTTTAAAAAGTATATAGGTAATATATTTATTATAGAAAATTGATTAGGTCAGGGGTGGTGGCTCATGCCAGTAACCCCAGCCCTTTAGGAGGCTGATGTGGGTGGATCACTTGAAGCCAGGAGTTTGAGAACAGCCTGGCCAACATGGCAAAAACCCTTCTCTGCTGAAAATACAAAAATTAGCTGGGCGTGTTGTCGCACACTGTAGTCCCTGGAGGTAGTCCCGGGAGGCTGAGGCACGAGAACCGCTTGAACCTCAGAGGTGGAGGTTGCAGTGAGCTGAGATCGTGCCACTGCACCCCAGCCTGGGCGACAGAGCAAGACTCTGTCTCAGAAAAAAAAAAAAAAAGTACAAAAATTAGCCTGGTGTGGTGGTGCACGCCTGTAATCTCAGCTACTCGAGAGGTTGAGGCATGAGAATTGCTTGACCCCAGGAGGTGGAGGTTGCAGTTAGCTGAGACCATGCCACTGCACTGCAGCCTGGGTGACAGAGTAAGACTCTGCAGAAGGAAGGGAAGGGAAGGGAGGGGAGGGGAGGGGAGGGGAGGGGGAAAGAGAAAGAAGAAAGAGAAAGAAGGAAGGAGAGAAAGAGAGAGGAAGGGAGGGAGGGAGGGAAAGAGAAAAGAAAGAGAAAGAAGAAAAGAAAGAAGAAAGAAAAAGAAGAAAAGAAGGAAGGAAGGGAAGAGAGAGAGAGAGAAAGGAAGGAAGGAAGGAAAGAAAGAAGAGAGGCCAGGTGCGGTGACTCACGCCTGTAATCCCAGTACTTTGGGAGGCTGAGGCAGGCGGATCAAGAGGTCAGGAGATCGAGACTGTTCTGGCTAACATGGTGAAACCGCGTCTCCACTAAAAATACAAAAAATTTAGCTGGGCTTGGTTGCGGGCACTTGTAGTCCCAGCTACTCGGGAGGCTGAGGCAGGAGAATGGCGTGAACCCGGGAGGCGGAGCTTGTAGTGAGCCGAGATCGCGCCACCACACTTCAACCTGGGCAACAGAGCAAGACTCAGTCTCGGAAAAAAAAAAAAAAAAGAAAGTTATTTTGAAACTCCAACCTCTGATGATAGAATTCAGAATAGGGGTTACCTGTGAGAGAGGTTTATTGGCTGGGAAGGAGCATGAGGGAGCTTTCTGGGTACTATACCTTCATCTGGTTCGTTGCTTACCAGGATATATACATATTTAAAAATCCATCAAGCTAAGCATTTAAAATTGGTGCCTTTTACTGTACATATATTATACATGTATTTTACCTCAATTTTTTTTCTTTTTTAAGACGGAGTCTCTCTCTGTTGCCCAGGCTGGAGTGCAGTGGTGCCATCTCGGCTCACTGCAACCTCCACCTCCAGAGTTCAAGTGACTCTCCTGCCTCAGCCTCCCGAGTAGGTGGGATCACAGGTGTGAGCCACCACGCCCAGCTAATTTTTGTATTTTTAGTAGTGACGGGGTTTCACCATGTTGGTCAGGCTGATCTCGAATTCCTAGCCTCAAGTGATCCACCCACCTCGGCCTCCCAAAGTGCTGGGATTACAAGTGTGAACCACTGCGCCTGGACAGGGTCTTGCTCTGTCTCCCAAGCTGGAGTGCAGTGATGTGATCTCAACTCACTGCAACCTCTGCTTTCCAGGCTCAAGCAGCCCTCCAGCCTCAGACTCCGGAGCAGCTGGGCAGCTGGGACCACAGGAGCAAGCTACCATGCCCAGCTAATTTTTTTTTTTAAGAGATGGGGTTTCCATGTTGCCCAGGCTGGTATATCTCAAATTTTTTTTTTTTTTTTGAGACGGAGTTTTGCACTGTTGCCAGGGCTGGAGTGCAATGGTACGATCTCAGTTCACTACAACCTCTGCCTCCCAGGTTCAAGCGATTCTCCTGCCTCAGCCTCCCGAGTAGCTGGGATTACAGGCGCCTGCCACCATGCCCGGCTAATTTTTTGTATTTTTAGTAGAGACGGGGTTTCACTATGTTGGCCAGGCTGGTCTCGAAGTCCTGACCTCCAGATCTGCCCGCCTTGGCCTCCCAAGTGCTGGGATTACAGGCGTGAGCCACCGTGCTTGGCCCTCAATTTCTAACAATTATACTGTATACATGTTTGAACAAAAGTATGTTCACAGTTTTTTTTTAAGTAATGTTGTTGTTGTTGTTGTTGTTGTTTTGAGACACTGTCTCACTCCCTCGCCTGGGCTGGAGTGCAGTAGTGTGATCTCGGCCCACTGCAACCTCTGCCTCCTGCGTTCAAGTGATTCTCCTGCCTCAGCCTCCTGAGTAGCTGAGATTACAGGTGTGAGCCACCACACCTGGATAATTTTTGTATTTTTAGTAGAGATGAGGTTTCACCATGTTGGCCAGGCTGTTGTCGAACTCCTGACCTCAGGTCATCCACTCACCTCAGCCTCCCAAAGTGCTGGGATTACAGGCGTGAGCCACCGCGCCTGGCCAAAAAAATGTAAATTTAAGAATACAATGCTTTCATAAATTGGGAACTGCCTGTAGTGTTCTAGTGATCTTTGGAAAACATTTACAAAGTTCTGGAGAAACAAAAATCTTACAACTATTGGCTTCATGAGCCATATTTGAAACCCAAGCCTGTGTGTGTGTGTGTGTGTGTGTGTGTGTGTGTGTGTGTATGACTTGAAGCCAAACCCCACATCTAAGATGGTAGATATAACCATTTCGTCCCCTTTTCCCCTATGAGTGGTTCTAAAACAAAAAGTCTGCAAGTGAATGGGCCTGATTTATACCTGTTTAAATGCTTTTATTCAACATAATTGCATTCATGCCTATGAATTCCCTTTGTGTATAGGGCAGGAGGCTGAAGGATGTATGACACGTGGGGAAAATGCTGTTAGTTAATGTGTGAACAATAGTAGCCCTTCCCAATTTAAATCTTGTTTGTGACCAGTAAGCCTGCCAGTGTTAATATTCAAGGGTACTCTGCGGATTGCTATTGCTGAAGGGCAAAGCCAAGTTAAAAGACAAAGTTACTCAGAACTAGCTTCCCAAGTATTTGGAAGGTGCCTGCCATGTGATATAGCTGCCCAGATGCAGCAATGTGGTGAAAACAGTCGGCCACTGTTCTTAGAGTTTATAGTGATATCCAGGATTTTCTTAGAAACCCTCAGGGTTGGCCGGGCGCGGTGGCTCACGCCTGCAATCCGAGCACTTTGGGAGGCCGAGGTGGGCAGATCACAAGGTCAGCAGATCGAGACCATCCTGGCTAACACAGTGAAACCCCGTCTCTACTGAAAATACAAAAAAAAAAAATAAAAATTAGCCAGGCGTGGTGGCAGGCGCCTGTAGTCCCAGCTACTCAGGAGGCTGAGGCAGTAGAATGGCGTGAACCCAGGAGGTGGAACTTGCAGTGAGCCGAGATCGCGCCACTGCACTCCAGCCTGGGTGACAGAGCAAAACTCCATCTCAGAAAAAAAAAAAAAAAAAGAAAGAAACCCTCAGGGCTAAGGGTTTGAAATTAGAGAATATGAGAGATTACATACTGTAAGAACAACATTATGGTAGGTGTTTGATGTCAATGTGCCAAATGTCCATGAGTAACTCATGAGTCAATTTCAGAGAGTCACTGTTTCCCTACAGTTCCTTGATTTCTGCCTATTCTCAAGAGGAGAAATTGGTACTGAATGACTGTACTGTAGAAATTCCTCTTCCTCTTTGTGACATTCCCACCAGCAATGCATGCGGGTTTCAATTTCTCCACATCCTTGCCAACACTTGTTATTTTCTCTTTCTCTCTTTTAATAAATAGCCATACTGCCAGGCACAGTGGCTCACACCTGTAATCCCAACACTTTGGGAGGCCGAGGTACGCGGATCACTTGAGGTCAGGAGTTTGACACCAGCCTGGCCAACACGGTGAAACCTCGTCTCTACTAAAAATACTAAATTAGCTGGGCATGGTGGTGCATGCCTGTAATCCCAGCTACTCAGGAGGCTGAGGCAGGAGAATCACTTGAACCTGGGAGGCAAAGGTTGCAGTGAGCCTAGATTGCGCCACAGCACTTCAGCCTGGGCGACAGAGCAAGACTGTCTCAATAAATAAATAAATAAATAGCCATCCTAATAGATGTGAAGTGGTATCTCATTATGGTTTGAATTTCCTTAATGATTAGTGATGTTCAGCATTTTTTTCACGTACTTACTGGCCATGTGTACATCTTCCTTGAAAAATGGCCATTCAAATCCATTGCCCTTTTTTTTTTTTTTGAGGTGGAGCCTCACTCTGTCACCCAGGCTGGAGTGCAGTGGCACGATCTCGGCTCACTGCAACCTCCGCCTCCCGGGTTCAAATGATTTTCCTTCCTCAGCCTCCCGAGTAGCTGGGCCTACAGGTGTGTGCCACGATGCCCGGCTAATTTTTTGTATTTTTGGTAGAGATGGGGTTTCACCGTGTTAGCCAGGATGGTCTCGATCTCCTGACCTCGTGATCCACCCGCCTCGGCCTCCCAAAGTGCTGTGATTTATAGGCGTGAGCCACCATGCCCGGCTGGTCATTGCCCATTTTTAAATTGGGTTGTGGTCGTTTTGTTGTTCAGTTGTAGGAGTTCTTTATATATTTTGAATTTGATTTAGTTTTGAACTTGGCTAAATCCATCTGTTTGTTCATCAGAAGAGTTGTAAAAATATATGCCAGAAAATAATCTCAGCTAAATTATCTTTGGATACAAAAATAATATAATCTGATAGGGGGCTTAATGATGGTGGAGTTTAGGTCAACAGATGTTACTGTTGGACTGCTGGTTGGGCTGGCCAGATAAGTATAGTAGGTCACAAAAAAATTAAAAGTATAGAAGTCAAGCAACAAGGCCAAGACTCCTTTGAGACCTGCAGCTGTGTTTTCTGGGTACCCAGTACCCAAGCCTTGTGCTTGGTACTTGTCCTCTGTACTCCAAACCTGGGTGTCCATAAATTGGGTAGAAAATGGCAGAAACAGCTGGGCGCAGTGGCTCATGCCTGTAATCCCAGCACTTTGGGAGGCCGAGGTGGATGGATCACCTGAAGTCAGGAGTTAGAGACCAGCGTGACCAACATGGGTTTCACCATGTTGGTCACGCTGGTCTCAACTAAAAATACAAAAATTCGCTGGGTGTGGTGGCAGATGCCTGTAATCCCACCTACTCGGGAGGCTGAAATAGGAGAATCGCTTGAACCTGGGAGGCAGAGGTTGCAGTGAGCCAAGATCATGCCACTGCACTCCAGCCTGAGAGACAGAGTGAGACTCCATCTCAAGAAAAAAAAAGAAAGAGAGAGAGAGAAAAAAAGAAAGGAAGGAAGGAAGGAAGGGGAAGGTAAGGGAAAGAAGGAAGGAAGGAAGAAAGAAAATGGAAGAGACAGGTTTCACACGTGTTTTTGGTTTGTAGCAGTGGGTAGGGAGTGCTTCAGTGAATCATTCACAGATCCTCTAGGTCAAAAGATTCTGAAGAAAATAGAACACATACTTGGTGAAACTGTTGTGGGACATGTGAATGAAATTAGGAATATATGATGGGAGAGCTCATTCAGAGAACTGGGAGAATGGGGATTCAGGTATAAATATTGAGTAAGAAAATAGGAAAGTAGTTATCAGAAACAAATACTTGGGACAACGGTATTAAAATTATTATAAAACAAACCTCCTGATTATACTTTCCATCTCCAGAGCTGGTTTCGGTATCACTATTTTACAGGAATATTACACCTGGCAGAGTTAAGAGGCAATCTAAATATTTACTTTCATGCTGCAACCTTTGCCCTGTTTGCAGTCTAGTTTCCCTGAGCTTTTAGAAGATAAGATACAAGCATTTGAATTTTGAGATAGTTTCATAAATATCGCAAATAACTGAAGCACCATGCTAACAAAACCTGACCTTTTCAAAACAGCAACACAAAGATTGGTTATATCTAATGTTATAGAAAATTATTTTTATCTAGTTATCTCATTATAATAATTCAACATATATTCCGAATAAGAGGAAGGAAAACTACTTAAAATTTTACCAAAATAAATCAGTTAATAAGCCTTTTAGCTTTTTTTCTTTTTCTTTCTTTCCTTGTTTTTGTTTGTTTGTTTTTGTTTGTGGCTATTTCAACTCCAGATAAGCCCTTTAAATAAAATAATAAACACTTTCGGAGGCTGAGGTGGGAGGATCACTTGAGCCTAGAAGTTTGAGACTAGCCTGGGCAACATGGCAAGACCCATCTCTAAAAAAAAAAAAATCATTAAGGCCGGGCCTGGTGGCTCACACCTGTAATCCCAGCACTTTGGGAGGCTGAGGCGGGTGGATCACGAGGTCAGGAGATCGAGACCATCCTGGCTAACACGGTGAAACCCCATCTCTACTAAAAAAAACAAAAACAAAATTAGCCAGACGTGGTGGCGGGCGCCTGTAGTCCCAGCTCCTTGAGAGGCTGAGGTGGCAGAATGGTGTGAACCCGGGAAGTGGAGCTTGCAGTGAGCCAACATTGCACCACTGCACTCCAGCCTGGGCGACAGAGCAAGACTTCCTCTAAAAAAAAAAAAAAAAAATCATTAAAAATAAGCTGGGTGTGGTGGCGCACGCCTGTGAGCCCAGCTACTGGGGAGACTGAGGCAGGAGGACCACTTGAGCCCAGGAGGTCCAGGGTGCAGTGAGCCGTGTTCATGCCACTGTACTCCACCCTGGGTGACAGAGGGAGACCCTGTCTCAAAAAAAAAAAAACCAGAAAGAAACCAAACTTTGTTATGTTGCTTACCTTTCTTTTCTGAGGGGCTAGGGTGGTGTGCATTGGAGGAGTGGCCCACAAGTTCAAAAGACCAGGAGGGATGTTACTTCCTTTTCTTTTCTTTTTTTCTTTTTTGAGACAAAGTCTCGTTCTGTCACCCAGGCTGGAGTGCAGTGGTGCAATCACGGCTCACTGCAGCCTCAACCTCCTGGGCTCAAGTGATCCTCTCACCTTAGCCTCCCAAGTAGCTGGGACCACAGGTGCACCTCACCATGCCTGGCTAATTTTTAAAAATTTTTTGTAAAGACACCGTCTCCCTATGTCAGCCAGACTGGTCTTGAACTCCTGGGCTCAAGTAACCCCCTGCCTCTGCCTTCCAAAGTGTTGGGATTATAGGTGTGAGTCACTGTGCCTAGCCCCTTCCTTTTTTTTTTTTTTTTTTTAAACAATTTTTAAAAGCTGTGGAAAGCTAAGACCAGTGCCCAATAATAAAAGGAAGATGTGGCTTTAATCTCTTAATATAACTTTGAGGCATGACCAGAGAAGTTGGAAGTGCTAGATTCAGTCTATAATTTTTATTTATTTGTTTGTTTGTTTATTTATTTATTTATTTTTGAGACGGAGTCTCACTCTGTCGCCCAGGCTGGGGTGCAGTGGCGCGACCTCGGCTCACTGCAAGCTCCGCCTCCTGGGTTCACGCCATTCTCCTGCCTCAGCCTCTTGAGTAGGTGGGACTACAGGCGCCCACCACCACGCCCAGCTAATTTTTTGCATTTTAAGTAGAGATGGGCTTTCACCGTGTTAGCCAGGATGGTCAGTCTATTATTATTTTTAATCCCGGAAGAAGGAAGAGGGAAGAGTCCGTGGCTCTGATTTTCAGCTCTGAATTTCCAAGGACATAACCTAACAAATTCAGCCACCATGCTCTTCCTTCTGTCGTGAAATCTGTTTTATTTTCAACTGGCTTGTGGCAGCTGACTCTGCCTCCTCTCTTCCAGGCTCTGAGATGCCCCTTTTCCCGGAATGACTGTCTTAATCCCATCCAAATATTCAAAGAGGAGGGTGGAGAGGTCTCAGAGAAGCTAATTTTTCGCTTAAATTGAAAAACTGGGGTGGGGTTGGAGCTATTGTTCTTCCTGAAGCTTGCTTCTGCTAGACTTTGGAATTGTCCTCCCAGTGAAAAGGTTTTAAGTTGTAAAAGCCAGCTCAGCAGAGCCCCACCCACATGAATAAAACATTCGTGCAGAAACATAGACTCTTGGTTTCTTCGCAGTCAGAAACCTATGCATGTACTTCACTCTCCCCAGCATCCAATTCATGACCAGGTTCTTTCTTCCTAAACAGCTCTCAAACACTTACCTCCAGGATGCCTTCCATTCATTTTTTTTCAACAAATTTGTTGCCCATCTGCTATATGTCAGGCACTGTGCTAGCTATTGGGAACACAGCAGCAAGCCAAACCTAGTGAAAAAGCCAGGGGAGTTTATCATCTGGCTAACCCCTCCCCAATCAAACCAAACCAAACCAGCTGGGCCAACCCGCACAGCACTCCTCACTGCTCGCTGTTAACTCTCAGCATTTGTTGTTTTTTTTTTTTTGAGACAAGATCTTGCTCTGTCACCCAGGCTAGAGTGCAGTGGCGAAATCACAGCTCACTGCACCCTTGACTTCCTGGGCTCAAGTGATCCTCCCACGTCAGCCTCCCTGGTTGCTGGGACCACAGGCACATGCTGCCGGCCCCAATGGCTTTTTTTTTTTTGAGACAGGGTCTCACTGTGTTGTCCAGGCTGGTCTTGAACTCCTGGGCTCAAGTGATCCACCTGCCTCAGCCTCCCGAAGTGCTAGGATTACAAGCGTGAGCCACCGTGCCTGGCCTCAAATGGCTTTTAAACATAAGAAAATGTGCTCAGCCTCACTCATATAAAGTAAAATGCAAGTTAAAATTATACCAAGGCCAGGGACAGTGGCTCATGCCTATAATCCCAGCACTTTGAAAGGCTGAAGTGGGAGGATTGCTTGAGGCCAGGAGTTAGAGAGCAGCCTGGGCAACAAAGCAAGACCTTATCTCTACAAAAATTGAAAAAAATTTTTAAATTAGCCAGGCATGGTGGCATGTGCCTGTAGTCCCAACTATTCAGGAGGCTGAGGTGGGAGGATCGCTTGAGCCCAAGGAGGTCAAGGCTGCAGCTAGCTGTGATTACACCACTGCACTCCAGCCTGGGCAACAGAGCGAGACCCTGTCTCAAAAAAAAAAAAAAAAAACAAAGTCTTGCTCTGTCGCCCAGACTGGAGTGCAGTGGTGCAATCACAGCTCGCTGCAGCCTTGACCTCCTTGGGCTCAAGTGATCCTCCGGCTTTGCCCTCCCAAAGTGCTAGGATTACAGCCATGAGCCATCATGTCTATATTATATATAATGACCACGTTTTCTTTCTGGCTACATTGTATATAGAGAGCACATATTCTTCATCCTTTCATCCACCGATGGACACTTGGGTTACTTCCACTTTAGCTATTGTGAGTAATGCTGCTATGAACATGGGTGTACAAATATCTTTTGGAGTCCCTGTTTTCATATATATTTTTTTTGAGACGGAATTTCATTCTTGTTGCCCAGGCTGGAGTGCAATGGCGCAATCTCGGCTCGCTTAAGTCGTTTGGAAGTCATTCAATATCACCATATCTAGATCAATGTTGTTTTTGAAATTGTTGGATATTTCAGGGATAATTATGGTTTATATAACCAATTGCTTCCTGTTGGATATTTAAGATTTTTTTTGCTATTAACAAATAATGCTTATATCTATATTTTTGAACACTTGTACAAGTATAAATGCATGGTAAATTCCTAGAGGTAAAATTACTGAGTCAAGAGTTTTACATGTTTTGTGAATTTTGATAGATATTGTAAAGTTGTTCTTCAAAGAACTTTCATTTATTGTTTTCCCACATTTAGCCAACATTAGGTATTACGAAACTTTTTTATATTGGCCAAAACTCACAGGCAAAAGAAAAAGAAAAAAGTCTCATTGTTTTAGCTTGGTATTTATTTGCTTGTGGTTGAGGTTAAATATAGTAGAAATGAAAAACCCAGTACTATAGAAGATAGAGTTGAAGAAATATTCCAGAAAGTACAATAAAAGGAGTAAAATAAAGAGGTTCAAATAGGAGAGTAAAGATAAGAATACTGGTGGATTTATCCAGAAGGTCTAATATGAGAATGATATGAGAAAAAAAGAAAACATAGGATAAAAAAATCATCAAAGACATAGTTCAAAGAAATTTTCTATTGAAGGACAGAACTATCTAGATTGAAAGGGCCTGTTGGCTGGGAAGGGTGGCTCGTAGCTCTAATCCTTGCACTTTGGGAGGCTGAGACTGGGGGATCACTTGAGGCCAGGAGTTCCAGGCCAGCCTGGGTCACACAGCAAGACCTCATCTCTGCAACGAAGATAAAAGAAAGGGACTGCCAAGTGCCTAACGTATTGAAGGAAGGCAGACCCCATAATTGTGAAATTTCAGAATACACAATAAACCATTAACCCTAAACATTTCCAGAGAGGAAAAACTAGGTCACACACAAAGGATCTGGAATTAAAATTGTTTGGCTTCTCATTAGCAACACCGGATGCAGAGAGGGAGCAGTCACCTTCAAAGTTTGTAGTGAAAATTGTTACCAACTTAGATACCCAGCCAAACTATCAGTTAAGTGTAGGTAGAATAAAGACATTTTCAGACTTGTAAGGTCTCAAAAAGAGATTTTTCTGGGGAAGGTCTGGAAGAGGTAGGTGATTCAAAGGAACTGAGAAGGAGAATGACATGGGATCTAGTAATATGTATCTAATTCAAAACAGGCTGAAGAACGGCCTAGGATGATGGTAAGGAGAAATTCCAGAATGATACCTGTGTGTCACATATGGGGAACCGTCCAGTTTGGAGACAGTCAGGATGCTCCAGGAGAGAGATCACCAAGGGGATGAAAACTGCAGAACTCCTGATGTATTTGAACATATCGAGAGGACAGTTAGACTATTCTGGAGAAGACTGGGCCTGAATTAGTGTCAATTATATAGGAAACTAACCTTGGGAATAGCAACACAGTATTTCCAGGAAAAAAAAAAATGTTTTAAATAGGGGAAAACTTATGGCTTAGCTGAGAATATTTTTATAGGCATAGTAAACTAAACATTGATTATCGTTCTATTCAAAAGGAAGACTTAACATGTAGAAAGAATTGAGAATGACATTAGTTACATATTTATGCATTACTGGGTTCAAGATGATTGAAAGATAATTAAATTCTCTTCTTTCATAGTTGGAGGTTCATAGCCAATAACTGTGAAGAACCACGAAGTAGCACTTATTAGAATATGTGACTATCAAACAAAAGTTTTGAAAGTGCTTCTGGCTGGGCATGGTGGCTCGTGCCTGTAATCCTAACAATTTGGGAAGCCAAGATGGGAGGATTGCTTGAGCCCAGGCGTTTGAGACCAGCCTGGGCAATATAGCGAGACCCTGCCTCAATAAAAAATTAGCCAGGCATGGGGATTCATGTCTGTAGTCCCAGCTACTTAGGAGGCTGAGGCAGGAGGATCACTTGAGCCCCGGAGTTTAAGGCTGTAGTGAGCCGTGATAGCACCTCTGCACTCCAGCCTTTGAGCCAAAGCAAGACTCTGACGTGAAAAAAAAGAAAAATAAAGCATGCTCACATTTAACCTTAATGAAAATAAAAACTAATGATGATGTTGTATATACTGTGGAATTTTTTTTTTTTTTTTTTGAGACGGAGTTTCGCTCCTGTCGCTCAGTGTGGAGTGCAATGACACCATCTCGGCTCACTGCAACCTCCGTGTCCTGGGTTCAAGCAATTCTCCTGCCTCAGCCTCCCAAGTAGCTTGGATTACAGGCACCTGCCACCACACCCAACTAATTTTGTATTTTTAGTAGAGATGGGGTTTCACCATGTTGGTCAGGCTGGTCTCGAACTCCTGACCTCAGGTGATCCGCCCGCCTCAGACTCCCAAAGTGCTGGGATTACAGGTGTGAGCCACCGCGCCCATAGCCTGCTTTCACTTCTTTTGGGTACAAACCCAGAAGTGGAATTGCTGATATATGGTAATTCTATGTTTAATTTTTTGAGGAGTCAATATACTTTTTTCCACAGTGGCTACATCACTGTATATTCCTATCGGCAATGCAGGAGGGTTCCAATTTTTCCACATCCTCACCAATACTTATTTTCTGTTTTTGTTTATTTGTTTATTTAATAGCAGCTATCCTAATAGGTGTGAAATTGTATCTCATTGTGGTTTTGATCTGCATTCTCCAGTGATTAATAATGTTGAGCATCTTTTCATCCACTTACTGGCCATTGTATATCTTCTTTGGAGAAATGTCTACTCAAGTCCTTTGTCTATTTTTGAATTGGGTTGTTTGCTTTTTTGTTGAGTTGCAGGAGTTCTTTATGTATTGTGGATAAGCACTGCTTATTAGATATACAATTCACAAATATTTTCTCCCATTCTGTGGGTTGCTTTTTCACTGTTGATAGTGCCCTCTGATGCACAAAATTTTTAATTTTGATATGGTCCGAATTACCTATTTTTCCCTTTGTTGGCTGTCCTTTGGTATCATATCCATGAAATCATTGCCAAACCCAACGTCACGAAGCCTTTCTCTGTTTCCTTCTAAGAATTGTATACTTCTAGCTCTTACATTTAGGTGTTTGATCTATTTTGAGTTAATTTTTGTATATGGCGTGTGTTAGGGTTCTCCAGAGAAACAGAAGCAATAGGATATTCATAGACAAATAAGAGGGGATCTATTATGGCAGTTGGCTCATGCAAATATAGAGGTCATGAAGTCCCAGAGTGTGGTGTCTGTGGGCTGGAGCTGGAGAACCAGGAAAGCCAGTGGTATAATTCAATCTGAGTCTGAAGGCCTGAGAACCTGGAGCTTTAATGTCCAAAGGCAGGAGAAGATGGATATTCCAGTTCCAGAAAAGAGAGCAAGTTTGCCCTTCCTCTGCCTTTGTGTTCTATCCAGGTCCTCAACGACGGGAAGATGCTCATTCACACAGGTGAGGGTGATCTCTACTCAGTTTGATTCAAATGCTAATCTCTTCTAGAAACACCCTCACAGATGCATCCAGACATGATGCCAGCTATCTGGGCATCCCTATGTCCAGTCAAGTTTAACACATAAAATTAACCACCATATGGTGTAAGTAAGGTAAGGGTCCAATTTTATTTTCTTGCATGTGGATATCCAATATTCCCAACATCATTTGTTGAAAAAAAACTGTCCTTTTTCCATTGAATGGTACCCTTGTTGAAAATAGCTATATATTTCTAGCAAAACAATAAACATGTTCTCAATGTCATATCACAATATGATACCATGATGTACACTAGGGATACAATTGATAGGCTTTTACCCATAAACAAATTGGGGTGGATATGTTGCTGGATACAAAATATACAATCACTTGGTATTTACTTGATAAAAAGAATATGAGCTTGTCCACATGGTTTTATATTGTACAAAGTGCCTTATACATTTAAAAATAACCCAGTCATCGGACGGGTGCAGTGGCTCACGCCTGTAATCTCAGCACTTTGGGCGGCTAAGGCAGATGGATCACTTGAGGTCAGGAGTTCAAGACCAGCCTGGCCAACATGGTGAAACCCCGTCTCCACTAAAAATACAAAAATTAGACAGGCATGGTGGCACATGCCTGTAATGCCAGCTACTTGGGAGGCTGAGGCAGGAGAATCACTTGAACCCAGGAGGCAGAGGCTGCAGTGAACCAAGATCGCGCCACTGAATCCAGCCTGGGTGACAGAGCGAGACTCCCTCTCGAAAAATAAATAAATAAATAAAAAAGAACGCAGTCATTTCATTACACCTACCTGGCTTCCATGTTATATAAATAGCACAAATTCATGAGAAGCACATAACCAATGAAGTGTCATAGTGCAAGCATATTTTTAGGAAATTATACAAACCTCTGATTTAGCAATATGGATATAGAAGAATCCTATTAGAATATCAAACCGGCTGGGCGTGGTGGCTTACACCCGTAATCCCAACATTTTGGGAGGCCGAGGCGGGCCGACCACCTGAGGTCAGGAGTTCGAGACCAGCCTGGTGGTGGGCGCCTGTCATTCTAGCTACTCAGGAGGCTGAGGAAGGAGAATCTCTTGAACCCAGGAGGCAGAGGTTGCAGTGAGCTGAGATCACATCACTGAACTCCAGTCTGGGAGACAGAGCAAGAGTCCGTCTCAAAAAAAAAAAAAAAAAGAATAACAAACTAACACATCTTGAAGTCGAATTCCTTGAAAATTATGGCCTAGAAAGCCTACTTGGCTGGGCCTGATGCTCACGCCTATAATCCCAGCACTTTGGAAGCCGAGGCAGGTGGATCACCTGAGGTCAGGAGTTTGAGACCAGCCTGACCAACATGGAGAAACCCCATCTCTATAAAAATACAAAAATTAACTGGGCGTGGTGGCACGCACCTGTAATCCCAGCTACTCAGGAGGCTGAGGCGGGAGAATCGCTTAAACCTGGGAGGCGGAGGTTGCAGTGAGCCGAGATCATGCTATTGTACTCCAGACTGGGCAACAGAGCGAGACTCCGTGTCAAAAAAAAAATGCTCATGCAAATGAGCATCACAAAAATTATACAGTTGGCTAAAGGAAACACCAAATTGATAATAATGAAGCTAAACTAATAATTGACATTTTAAAGGAAAGACTAAGCCAAGCTAATACCTAACGAGCTGTCTGAGTCAACACATAAAGTACTGATAACATACCTATCTAACTAGAAAATTGAGGAATCCCAAGGATGTAGGTATTTGCATAGTGGGAGCTTCACATAGTTACCAGCAATTCAACTTTTCAACTTTTCTTTCCTTTTTTTGAGATGGTGTCTCACTCTGTTGCCCAGACTGGAGTGCAGTGGCATGATCTCAGCTCACTGTAACCTCCACCTCCTAGGTTCAAGCAATTCTCCTGCCTCAGCCTCCCGAGTAGCTGGGATTCCAGGCGCCCGCCACCACACCCGGCTAATTTTTGTATTTTTAGTAGAGACAGGGTTTCACCATGTTGGTCAGGCTGGTCTTGAACTTCTGACCTCAAGTGATCTGCCCACCTCGGCCTCCCAAAGTGCTAGGATTTCAGGCATGAGCCACCACACCCGGCCAGCTCAACTTTTCAGTACAATGCCAAATCAATTCCTCTGTCAACTTAAGTGCTAATACCCCAGGGTTTTAGTTTTTGTTTTTGTCTTAGAAACGGGGTCTTACTATGTTGTCCAGGCTGGTCTTGAACTCCTGGGCTCAAGTGATCTTCCCAGCTTGGCCTCCCAAAGTGCTGGGATTGCAGGCATGAGCCACCACAGCCGGCCTAATACCCTAGGTGTTGGATAGCAAAGACATGTTATCCTTAGTAACTCCTGAAGAAAGCTACTAGGAGTCCTTAGTGCAATATAAAAATTTACTTACAGAAAAGAAAAAACTGCTGCATTGGTTCATAAGAACCAAGGAAAGCACTTCCAATTTGGAATCAGTGGGCTGCCCCTTGGGAGGTGCACTCGGAGAACATAAAGCTAACCCCGAGAAGGATGAGGGAGGTGCGTCCTCCAAGATTTTGAAATCTGAGTGTACAATGTGAGGAGAGGGAGCAGAGGTTGTAAGAGGAGAGGGATGACTCCACAGATCCTTTGAGAGAGAGGAAAGTGATCTACATTTTCTCAGCAAAAGCAGAGCTATCTTCAGCCAAGTTAGAAAGACTGTGAGGACCAGGGCAGTTTGAGATTTATGAAGTGCCCTTTAAAATTTTTAATTTTTTTAAATTTTTATTTATTTATTTATTAAAATTTAAAATTAAACAATTTAAAAACTTTTAAATTTTAAAAATTTAAAAAGTATTTTTGGCTCTTGAGGAATTTTCTGCTGCATTAAAGACAAGGGAATATTTACATTTAAATAACAACTCAAGAAATACTAAGGCAGGGCACAGTGGCTCACATCTGTAATTCCTGCATTTATGGGAGGCCAAGGCAGGAGTTTCGCTTGAGCCAAGAGCTTGAGACCAGTGTGGACAACAGAGCAAGACCTGGCTCTACAAAAAATGTTTTAAAAATATTAGCCAGAGGCCGGGCGCAGTGGCTCACGCCTGTAATCCCAGCACTTTGGGAGGCTGAGGCGGGTAGATCACAAGGTCAGGAGTTCAAGACCAGCCTGACCAACATGGTGGAACCCCATCTCTACTAAAAATACAAAAATTAGCTGGGCGTGGTGGCGTGCACCTGTAATCCCAGCTACTTGGGAAGCTGAGACAGAAAAATCGCTTGAACCCGGGAGGCGGAGGTTGCAGTGAGCCGAGATGGCACCACTGCACTCCAGCCTGGGCAACAAAGCAAGACTCCATCTCAAAAATATATATATATATGAAATATATAATATATATAATATATTATATGAATATATAATATATATATTATATGAAATATATAATATATAATATATTATATGAATATATAATACATATACTATATTATATGAAATATATAATACATATACTATATTATATGAATATATAATACATATACTATATTATATGAATATATAATACATATACTATATTATATGAATATATAATACATATACTATATTATATGAATATATAATACATATACTATATTATATGAATATATAATACATATACTATATTATATGAATATATAATACATATACTATATTATATGAATATATAATACATATACTATATTATATGAATATATAATACATATACTATATTATATGAATATATAATACATATACTATATTATATGAATATATAATACATATACTATATTATATGAATATATAATACATATACTATATTATATGAATATATAATACATATACTATATTATATGAATATATAATACATATACTATATTATATGAATATATAATACATATACTATATTATATGAATATATAATACATATACTATATTATATGAATATATAATACATATACTATATTATATGAATATATAATACATATACTATAGTATATGAATATATAATACATATACTATAGTATATGAATATATAATACATATACTATAGTATATGTATTATATATTCATATAATATAGTATATATATATTCATATAATATATTATATGTATATAATACATATATTATATGTATATAATACATATATTATATGTATATAATACATATATTATATGTATATAATACATATATTATATGTATATAATACATCTAATATATTAGATGTATATATTAGCCAGATGTGGTGGAGCAAGCCTGTAGTCCCAGCTACTCTGGAGGCTGAGGCAGGAGGCAGAAGGATCACTTGAGCCCAGGAGTTCCAGGTTGCAGTGAGCCATGATCTCACCACTGCCCTCCAGCCTGGGCAACAGAGCAAGATCCTGTGAAAGAAAGAGAGAAAGAGAGAGAGAGACAGAATGAGAAAGAGAAGGAAGTACTATACTTTTACATGTATATAGTCCTTAGTCCTTATCATTTTTTTTTTTTTAAGATGGAGTCTTGCTCTGTCACCCAGGCTGGAGTGCAGTGGCACAATCTCGGCTCACTGCAACCTCCACCTCCCAGTTTCAAGTGATTCTCCTGCCTCAGCCTCCCGAGTAGCTGGGACTACAGTTGCCCACCACCATGCCTGGCTAAGTTTTTGTATTTTTAGTAGAGACGAGGTTTCACCATGTTGGTCAGGATGGTCTCGATCTCTTGACCTCGTGGTCCACCCGGCTTGGCCTCCCAAAGTGCTGGGATTACAGGCGTGAGCCACCGCTCCCGGCCCTATCCTTTCTTAAATACTTTCACATAACTCATCTCAGGATTGACAGACCTTGATAGCGCCTTAAATCCTGGAGAGAGAGAATTCTGAAGAGGCTACAATAGGATGGAATAGTCAGAACATTTTTGAAAAAAAACAGGTAAGACTGCAACCAGGCATGGTGGTTCATGCCTGTAATACCAGCATTTTGGGAGAACAAGGCGGGAGGATCACTGTAACCCAGGAGTTCAAGGCTGTGGTGAGCTATGATCACACCACGGCCCTCTAGCCTGGGTGACAGAGTCAGACTCCGTCTCTAAAAAAATAAAAATAAGGCCAAGGCGGGCGGATCATCTGAGGTCGGGAGTTCAAGACCAGCCTGACCAACATGGAGAAACCCTGTCTCTACTAAAAATACAAAATTAGCTGGGTGTGGTGACGCATGCCTGTAATCCCAGCTACTCGGGAGGCTGAGGCAGGAGAATTGCTTGAACCCGGGAGGCAGAGGTTGCGGTGAGCCGAGATCACGCCATTGCACTCCAGCTTGGGCAACAAGAGCATAACTCTGTCTCAAAAATAAATAAATATTAAAAAATAAAAATAGGCCGGGGTGCAGTGGCTCACGCCTGTAATCTCAGCACTTTGGGAGGCCAAGGTGGGTGGATCACGTGAGGTCAAGAGTTCAAGACCAGCCTTCCCAACATGGTGAAACCCTGTCTCTACTAAAAATACAAAAATTAGCCAGGTGTGGTGGCGTGCCCCTGTAATCCCAGCTACTCAGGTAGCTTAGGTGGGAGAATTGCTTGAACCCAGGAGGTGGAGGCTGCAGTGATCCGAGATCTTGCCGCTGCACTCCAGCCTGGGTGACAGAGCAAGACCCCATCAAAAAATAATAATAAATAATAATAAATAAAAATAAAGGTAAACAAATATCTCATTTAAGTTTACTCTGTTACCTAATATATTAGAAAGTCTTATCTTAAAGTTTTGTTGTCTTGAATCTTTTCTGTGGGGTCATAATTAAAATAAATCTTCCAACCCCTAAGTAAGTTCATATCTCCTATTGTTCAGGTAAGATAATTTTGAAGTCAACAGATTGTTGCTCTCTTACCTGACACAGCTGGGATCAGTAATTAGAATGTCAATTCAAAAAAGTAGATTAAAGCTAAACATCAAAAAGTGACATATGGGTGCCATAGTTTGTCTTAATTTTTTTTCATTTTTCATTTTTCATTAATTAATTTTTTTTAGAGACAGAGTCTCGCTCTGTTACCCAGGTTGGAGTGCAGTGGTGTGAACACGGCTCACTGCAGCCTTGACCTTGTGGGATTAAGTGATCCTCCCACCTCAGGATCCTGAGTAGCTAGGACCACAGGTGTGTGCCACCACGCCTGGCTAATTTTTAATTTTTTCATAGAGAGGGGGTCTTGCCATGCTGCCCAGGCTGGTCTCAAACTCCTGGGCTCACAGGATCCTCCAGCCTCAGCCTCCGAAAGTGTTGGGATTACAGGCGTGAGCCACCCTACCTAGCCAACATTTTTTTTTTCTAAAGCAACATCATTATGAGTCTTTTAACAATTAACTTGATTTTTATAGAAATACCTTTTTGTTTGTTTGTTTGTTTGTTTGGGACAGAGTCTCACTACGTCGCCCAGGCTGGAGTGCAATGGTGCGATCATAGCTCACTGTAACCTCTCCCTCCCAGGTTCAAAAGATTCTCCTGCTTCAGCTTCCTGAGTAGCTGGAATTACAGGTGCATGCCACCACACCTGACTAATTTTTGTATTTTTAGTAGAGACAGGATTTCATCATGTTGGCCTGGCTTGTCTCAAACTCCTGACCTCGTGATGCACCCACCTCCACCTCCCAAAGTGCTGGGATTACAGACATGAGCCACCGTGCCCAGCCTAGAAACACCTTTCTGTTGGGGTCATCATATTTTATTTTATGTTATTTGTGTGGTTTTTGTTTGTTTGTTTTTATGGCAGGGTCTCACTCTGTAGCCCAGGCTGGAATGCAGTGGCATTGAGAATTGAAGCCAGCTGGGCTTCTGGGTTGGGTGGGAACTTGGAGAACTTTTCTGTCTAGCTAGAGGATTGTAAACACACCAATCAGCACTCTGTGTCTAGCTAAAGGTTTGTAAACACACCAATCAGTACTCTAAATATGCACCAATCAGCGCTCTGTGTCTAGCTAAAGGTTTGTAAATGCACCAATCAACACTCTGTAAAAATGCACCAATCAGTGCTCTGTGACTAGCTAAAGGTTTGTAAACACACCAATCAGCACTCTGTAAAAATGGACCAATCAGCACTCTGTAAAATGGACCAATTAGCACTCTGTAAAATGGACCAATCAGCAGGACGTTGGCAGGGCCAAATAAGGGAATAAAAGCTGGCCACCGGAGCCAGCAGCAGCAACCAGTTCGGGTCCCCTTCCAGGCTGTGGAAGGTTTGTTCTTTTGCTCTTCACAATAAATCTTGCTGCTGCTCCCTCTGGGTCCGCACTACCTTTATGAGTTGTAACACTCACTGCGAAGGTCTGCAGCTTTGCTCCTGAAATCAGTGAGACCACGAACCCACCGGGAGGAACAAACAACGCTGGATGCGCCACATTTAAGAGCTGTAACACTCACTGCGAAGGTCTGCAGCTTCACTCCTGAAGTCAAGCTAGACCACGAGCCCACCGGAAGGAAGAAACTCTGGACATATCTGAACATCTGAAGGAACAAACTCCGGACACACTACGTGTAAGAACTGTAACACTCACCACGAGGGTCTGCAGCTTCATTCTTGAAGTTAGCGAGACCAAGAATCCACCGTAAGGAACCAATTCCGGACACAGCATGATCTCAGCTCACTGCAACCTCCACTTCCCAGGTTCAAGTGATTCTCCTGCCTCAGCCTCCTGAGTAGCTGGGTTTACAGGTGCATACGATCATGCCTGACTAATTTTTGTGTTTTTGGTAGAGACGGGGTTTCACCATGTTGGCCAGGCTGGTTTTGAACTGCTGACCTCAGGTGATCCACCCACTTTGGCCTATCCAAGTACTGGGATTATAGGCCTGAGCCACAGCAGCTGGCCCGCATCATATTTTATCATTTAAATAATATTTAATTAAATCATACACATACGTACACACATGTAGTAGCAAGTACAAGTGGGAATAACAGGTTTAGGTACAACACAACTATTGCTAACCACCCATCTCCACTATTGAGAGCAGAAGTAGTGTTCTCTAGAAACAGGCCTTCTAGGGTGCTGAGGTCATCATAAGATGCTTAAACTGAGCTTGTATGTTTCAGAATTAGCTGATATTTTTTAAATGGTCTCTTATTAAGTAAATAACTATCAAATTTCATAAGATATGAATTTGAGGACTGAAACTGTATTAGTCAGAACGGCTTTGGTTTCTAATAACAGAAACTCAAATCAGCTTATGCATACAAGGGACTCTTTTGAATTAGAGAACTGAGAAGTTTAGGAGCTGACTTGGCTTCAGGGTTCCCTTTCAGTCTGTTTCTCTCATCTTCACTGCTTCTCACAGCATATTTAGTCTCATGCTGTCATGTTTAGACTTTCTCTGTGTAACTGCGGAAGATGCCTGGTGTCAGCTCCAGTACATAAGCACGTAGTGGGTTACAGGGAAGTGGCTCTCTTCCAGCAGCTTTCTATCATGTCTCTGGAAGCGTCTGATAGGTCTTGGTTTGGGTTATGTGTCCATCTTTGAACCTATCACCACATCAGATGAGGCAGCCTGGATCTCATATCCGCTAATGTGTGGGCAGAACACAATCCCGTCAGGACCTCATGGAATGGAAGAAAGATAAGGTTTTTTTTTCTTTTTCTTTTTCTTTTTTTTTTTTTGAGATGGAGTCTCACTCTGTTGCCTAGGCTGGAGTGCAGTGGTGCGATCTTGGCTCACTGCAATCTCTGCCTCCCGGGTTCACGCCATTCTCCTGCCTCAGCCTCCAGAGTAGCTGGGACTACAGGCGCCTGGCACCACGCCTGGCTAATTTTTTTGTATTTTTAGTAGAGACGAGGTTTCACCGTGTTAGCCAGGATGGTCTTGATCTCCTGACCTCGTGATGCACCCACTTGACCTCCCAAAGTGCTGGGATTACAGGCATGAGCCACTGCGCTGGGCTGAAGAAGGGTGAGTTATAAATGAAAAGCTGCATGTGTGCTCTAATAGAAGCTAGACATGCAAAAACCACAGATGCCTCCAGCATAGACCATGCTTTTGTTACCATAATAGCAGGTATTCAGTCTAAGTCCTGCTCCTCATAGCACAGAAAACCAATCACTGAGACAATGAGTATTGCCAAGGAAGAAAGCTTTAATTGGGTGCTGCAGCTGAAGACATGGGAACTAGTCTCAAATTCATCTCCTGACTGACTATAATTAGGGGTTAATCTAGCAGGGAAGAAATGTAACTATGCATGGGAAAACAGGAACTCAACTTGAGAGGGGTAAGGAAGCAATCATGATGAATGAAGGGCCTGGTGTCTCATTGTCTGGATGCAACGATCTGGTGAGTTTCAGTTCTTTTTCTTCAGGTACTTTTTGAGAGGCTTTTGAGGGTCCTTTCCTGAGGAAGGAACTCAGATAATACAAATGTAAGGTTCAAGCTTAAGACCAGAACTGTCTATGGGACTATTGAGTTGGTTTCACCTTAGCTATTCTTTAATTCCCTCCTAAGACCAAGCCCATGGAAGCAGCTTGCCCTTAAATATTGAATGGCTCAACTGCTAGTAGCACTTTATTCTTCCAAACATTTTCACAGACTGATAAGGTTTGGATGTTTTGTCTCTTCCAAATCTTATGATGAAATGTGATCCCCACTGTTGGAGGTGGGCTAGTGTGAGGTGTTTGGGTCATGGGGGCAGATTCCTCATAAATGGGTTAGTGCTGTCCTCACAATAATAAGGGAGTTCTCGCTCTGAGAGCTCTTGAGAGCTCTGGTTGTTTAAAAAAGTGTGGCACCTCCTCCACCTCCACCACTCACTCTCACCATGTGACATGTCTGCTCCTGTTTTGCCTTCTGCTATGAGTAAAAGCTCCCTAAGGCCTCACTAGAAGCCAAGCAGATGCTGGTGCCATGTTTCCTATA
Organism: Homo sapiens; assembly: GCF_000001405.40. Classification (NCBI taxonomy): domain Eukaryota; kingdom Metazoa; phylum Chordata; class Mammalia; order Primates; family Hominidae; genus Homo; species Homo sapiens. The sequence continues at coordinate 252,368 of NW_003315917.2, forward strand.
CAGCCTGCAGAACGGTGAGCCAATTAAACCTCTTCTTTTTCCTCTCTCCTTTTTTTTTGAGACGGAGTTTCACTCTTGTCGCCCAGGCTGGAGTGCAATGGTGCAATCTCAGCTCACTGCAACCTCCGCCTCCCAGGTTCAAGCGATTCACCCGCCTCAGCCTCCCAAGTAGCTGGGATTACAGGTGCCCGCCATCACGCCCAGCTAATTTTTGTATTTGTAGTAGAAATGGGGTTTCACCATTTTGGCCAGGCTGGTCTTGAACTCCTGACCTCAGGTGATCCGCCCACCTCGGCCTCCCAAAGTGCTGGGATTACAGGCGTGAGCCACTGTGGCCGGCCACCTCTTTTCTTTGCGAATTACCCAGTCTTTTTCCAGCGGTGACGACCTACCCAGGAGAACATGCCTCTCACAAAGGATCTCCTTCATCCCTCTCCAGAATAGGGGAAGAGGAAACACAAGAAGCAGTGCCTGATGCAGAGCCCCAATTCCTACTTCATGGGTGTAAATGCCCAGGATGGTACAAAATCATCACAGTCTTTAGCCATGCACTAACAGAAATTTTGTGTGTTGGCTGCTCCACTGTCCTCTGCCAGCCTACAGAAAGAAAAGCAAGGCTTACAGAAGGATGTTCCTTCAGGAGGAAGCAGCATTAAAAAGCACTCCGAATCAAGATGAGTGGGAAATCATCTCAATAAACACTTTTTTTTTTTTGAGACTGAGTTTCACTCTTGTCGCCCAGGCTGCAGTGCAGTGGTGTGAGCTTGGCTCACTGCGACCTCCGCCTACCAGGTTCAAGCAATTCTCCTGCCTCAGCCTCCTGAGTATCTGGGATTACAGGCATGCGCCACTATGCCCGGCTTATTTTGGGGTTTCATCATGTTGGCCAGGCTGATCTTGAACTCCTGACCTCAGGTGATCTGCTCACCTCGACATCCTAAAGTGCTGAGGTTACAGGCATGAGCCACTGTGCCTGGCCTCAATAAACACATTTTGGATAAAAAATAAATAAATTACCCAGTCTCTGATATTTCTTTATAGCAATGCAAATGGACTAACACAGAGACATTATTGTGAGTGGTAAAGGCAGATTAAATGTCTTGCTTAGAATTACACAGCTGCTACTTGACTTCAAATTATACTATGAGACTACAGTAACCAAAACAGCATGGTACTGGTACCAAAACAGATACATAGACCAATGGAACAGAACAGAGGTCTCAGAAATAACACCACACATCTACAACCATCTGATCTTTGACAAACCTGACAAAAACAAGCAATGAGAAAAGGATTCCCTATTTAATAAATGGTGCTGGGAAAACTGGCTAGCCATATGGAGAAAACTGAAACTATACCCCTTCCTTATAGCTTATACAAAAACTAAGTCAAGATGGATTAAAGACTGAAACATAAGACCTAAAACCGTAAAAACCCTAGAAGAAAACCTAGGCAATACCATTCAGGACATAGGCATGGGCAAAGAGTTCATGACTAAAACACCAAAAACAATTGCAACAAAAGCCAAAATTGAGAAATGGGATCTAATCAAACTAAAGCGCTTCTGCACAGCAAAAGAAACTATCATCAGAGTGAACAGGCAATCTACAGAATGGGAGAAAATGTTTGCAATCTATCCATCTGACAAGGTCTAATATCCAGAATCTACAAGGAACTTAAACAAATTTACAAGAAAAAAACAAAGAACCCCATCAAAAAGTGGGCAAAGGATATGCACAGACACCTCTCAAAAGAAGACATTTATGCAGTCAACAAACATATGAAAAAAAGCTCATCATCACTGGTCATTAGAGAAATGCAAATCAAAACCACAATAAGATACCATCTCATGGCACATGTATACCCGTTAGAATGGTAATCATTAAAAAGTCAGGAAACAACAGATGCTGGAGAGGATGTGGAGAGAAATAGAAATGCTTTCACCCTGTTGGTATGAGTGTAAACTAGTTCAACCATTGTGGAAGATAGTGTGGCGATTCCTTAAGGATCTAGAACCAGAAATACCATTTGACCCAGCAATCCTGTTACTGGGTATACACCCAAAGGATTATAAATCATTCTATAAAGACACATGCACATGCATGTTTATTGCAGCACTATTCACTATAGCAAAGACTTAGAACCAACCCGAATTCCCATCAATGATAGACTGGATAAAGAAAATGTGGCACATATACACCATGGAATACTATGCAGCCATAAAAAAGAATGATTCACGTTGTTTGCAGGGACATGGATGAAGCTGGAAACCAACGTTCTCAGCAAACTAACACGGGAACAGAAAACCAAACACTGCATATTCTCGCTCATAAGTGGGAGTTGAACAATGAGAATACATGGACACAGGGAGGGGAACGTCACATACCAGGGCCTGTAGGGGGGTGGGGGAGAAGGGGAGGGAGAACATTAGGACAAATACCTAATGCATGCGGGTCTTAAAACCTAGATGACGGGTTGATGGGTGCAGCAAACCACCATGGCACATGTATACCTATGTAACAAACCTGCATGCTCTGCACATGTATCCCAGAACTTAAAGTATAATTTTAAAAAACTACGCAGCTGATTTCTGACAGAGCTGAGTTCATAACTGGATTTCCTTTGGATGTTTCCCTCTTTTCTTCTCTTGTGTTGCCAGAACTGATATCAAAGGGAAGGAATACAAGAGAAATATTCAATTTCACTACTTCTTTGATAGTTTGATATGTTGTCCCTAGAAGGCCATGATAATGATATGTTGTCTCTAACTTTCAGGCTAATTATAGGTACAGATAATGGGTGGTTATTTGGACTATTTTAAAAAATAGAGACAGGTTCTCACTATGTTGCCCAGGCTGGTCTCGAACTCCATGGCTCAAGTGATCCTCCCGCCTTGGCTTCCCAAAGTGCTGGGATTACAGGTGTGAGCCACCACACCCAAACTTTTTTTTTTTAATAGGTTCTCACTTTGTCACCCAGGCTGGGGTGCTGTGGTGTGATCATGGCTCACTGCAGCCTCAACCTCTTGAGCTCAAGCAATCTTCCCACCTCAGCCTACCAAGTAGTTGGGACTACAGGTGCTTGCCACCACACCCGGCTAATTTTAAAACTTTTTTCGTGGAGATAAGGTCTTGTGCTGCCCAGCTTGATCCTGGATTCCTGGGTTCCAGTGATCCTCCCACCTCGGCCTCCCCCAGTGTGGAGATTACAGGCATGAGCCATTGTACCCAGTCTATTTGTCCGATTGATTTATTGAGTTGTGGAGTTTGCTGAAGGAAACCGCACCTATGTTTTTGTTTCTAAGGCTAATATTTTCCCTTATGTTTGACAATACATTGATGTGCTAAGACTCTGCAGTGAAAATAGTTTTTTTTTTTTTTTTTTTTGAGACAGAGTTTTGCTTTTGTTGCCCAGGCTGGAGTGCAATGGTGCGATCTCGGCTCACCGCAACCTCCGCCTCCCGGGTCCAAGCCATTCTCCTGCCTCAGCCTCCCGAGTAGCTGAAATTACAGACATGCGCCACCACGCCCAGCTAATTTTGTATTTTTAGTAGAGACGGGGTTTCTCCATGTTGGTCGGGCTGATCTTGAACTCCCGACCTCAGGTGATCTGCCCACCTCAGACTCCCAAAGTGCTGAGATTACAGGTGTAAGCCACCATGCCCGGCCTGAAGATAGTTTCTTAAAGGCAGTGTGGTATATTGGACATAATGTAAGATATACAGTCAAACTGTGTTTGAATCTCAGGTCAATTACTTGTATCCTTGGGTAAGTCAGGTAAGCTCCATGAGCCTCTGTGTCCTATTAAAAAAAGGGTGATATCACCATCTAGCTACTATACATACTTCACAGGATTGTGGTGAATATAAAATGAGGTAATTGTAGGGAAAGCTTTCCGTTGGCCCTCTGAAGATTTGTTGAACAATAACTCATAGCCAGGCGTGGTGGCTCACACTTGTAATCCCAGCACTTTGGGAGGCCAAGGTGGGAGGATCACCTGAGGTCAGGAGTTTGAGACCAGCCTGGCCAACATAGTTAAACTCCTACAAAAATTAGCCAAGTGTGGTGGCACACACCTGTAGTCCCAGCCACTTGGGAGGCTGAAGCGGGAGGATTTATTGAACCCAGGAGGTGGAGGTTGCAGTGAGCTGAGATGGCGCCTCTGCCTAGGTGACAGAAAGAAAAGGAAAAAAAGAAAACTCATAAAAGGAGATTAATTGGAGAAAAGGCATATACATGTATTAATGTGCACATAGATTGATTACTTCCAAGCTCCCAATAGGGTGTGGAAGTTTATGTATCATCTTGAGGTTCCGTAAAGAATGGGGTTTGGATAGTGGCAAAACAGGTTATGGGAGAGGGAGAAGAGGAGGCCTGGCGAAACCTCACAGGTAGCAACCTTCACGGAGAATAGATGGTGAAGGTTTTTTTCAGATCTTTAAAACTGTCGGACTCTCAGTTAACTTGTTTTAGGTCAGAGAAGGGAAGGCCGTCAGAGAAAACCTAACTGTACTGATGTAGACTTTATTTTTATAGATGTAAATCTCCTCCACAACAAACAACCTTTCAGCTATTCTATTTCTAGCCCTTTTGAATAGACATGTTGAACTATGTCAAGGAAATAAATATGTTTTGGGGTGAAACATCTTGGTTTCCTTCATAATGTTTGTAAAAATACATTTGTAAAGTGTTTCGAAGGGCTCCATGAAATTTGCAAACTATAAGTTTTAAATAACTATGAGATTTTTTTTTTTTCATTTTAAGACAGGGTCTCACTCTGTCACCCAGGCTGTAGTGCAGTGTCATGATCATAGCTACCTGTAACCCCAAACTCCTGGGCTCAGGGGATCCTCCTACCTCAGCCTTTTGAGTAGCTAGGACTACAGGCATGCACCACTACACTTGGCTAAATTTTTTATTTTTATTTTTCATAGAGACTGGTTCTTGCTATGTTGCCTAGGCTGGTCTCAAACTTTTGGGCTCAAGAGATCCTCTGGCCTATGCCTCTCAAAATTCTGGCATTACAGGCGTGAGCTATCATGCTCAGTCACTATGATTTATTTCAAGAATGAGTATTAATTCAGGCATATTCTACTATGTATGACCAATTATGTGGTTTTTACTGCTGTTCACAGATGAGATAGCCGGTTTTCCTTCCCTTCCCTTCACATGGAAGACTGTGGCTGGGTGGGCCATCTGTCTAGTTCTGGCAATTTTTTGTGAATGGAAGTGATTTGCATCACATCTGAGTCAAAGCACTGAGTTTCCAGTGTGAGACCCTCCAGAGCTTTCTTCTCCTTTCAGATATAGATATATGTGTGTGTGTGTATATATATATGTGTGTGTGTGTGTATATATGTGTATATATGTATATGTATATATGTGTATATATGTTTATGTATATATGTATATTAGATGTGTGTGTGTGTGTGTGTGTGTGTGTGTGTGTGTGTGTGTGTGTATGCCTGGTAATATTTGAAATGTTTTCTCTAACAACCTGGGTCCAAGAGTGACAAAATTATGAAGCAGATACCCTAGCCAACTCTCTCTGGACATGGCCATGAGAAAGAAAGAAAGTTTTGTTGTTCTAAGACATCAAGATTTGTTGTTCTAAGACGTCAAGATTTGTTGTTCTAAGACATCAAGATTTGTTCCCTCAGCATAACCTAGCCTATCCTAATGAAACCACTGTGATTAGCTTGGCCATTTTGGACATGGATGTTTTGGTCTATGTCAGTGAAGGTATATGGAAATGTCTGTTTAGTAAAAGAGACATAAGAAGATAATCTTGGCAAGTAATAGTCTTATGACTTCCTGCGTGTTTTTCCTTAAGCAAAAGAATGTCATAGGTCAGGTGTAGTAGCTTACACCTGTAATCCCAGCACTTTGGGAACCGGGGAGGTGGAGCTTGCAGTGAGCCGAGATCATGCCACTGCCCTCCAGCCTGGGCGACAGAGCAAGACTCCGTCTCAAAAATAAAATAAAATAAAAGGACACATAAGTGGCAAATGAGTGGCAGAGATAAGGCCACTCTCTCTTCTTTTTTTTTTTTTTTGAGATGGAGTCTCGCTCTGTCACCCAGGCGTGATCTCGGCTCACTGCAACCTCCGCCTCCCGGGTTCAAACAATTCTCCTGCCTCAGCCTCTGGAGTAACTGGAATTACAGGCGCCCACCACTACGCCCAGCTAATTTTTGTACTTTTAGTAGAGACGGGATTTCACCATGTTGGCCAGGCTGGTCCCGAACTCCTGACCTCAGGTGCTCCGCCCGCCTCGGCCTCCCAAAGTGCTGGGATTACAGGCGTGAGCCACCGCACCCGGCACACTCTCTGTTCTAAGTGGAACTGCTCACCTGGCTGCCCATCTGTCCCTCCCACTCTAGTCTCTGTGACTTGCCTTTTGAGCACACTAATTCCTCTACCTGGAACATTCTCTTCCCAACTTTGCATCTGGAGGTTCATATTCTAAAATATTGCCAGTGCTTCAAGACTGAGCTGAGATACTATCTCTTTCATTTATTATTATTTTTTAAAAGCTCCTTAAGGCCGGGCGCGGTGGCTCACACCTGTAATCCCAGCATTTTGGGAGGCCGAGGCAGGCAGATCACCTGAGGTCAGGAGTTTGAGACCAGCCTGGCCAACACAGTAAAACCCCGTCTCTACTAAAAATACAAAAACTAGTCTGGTGTGGTGGCACACGTCTGTTATCCCAGCTACTCAGGAGGCTGAGGCAGGAGAATGGCTCAGACCCAGGAGGCGGATGTTGCAGTGAACCCGATATCACGCCATTGCACTCCAGCCTGGGCAACAGAGCAAGACTCCATCTCAAAAACAAACAAACAAACAAAAAAACTGGGCCAGGCCTGGTGGCTTATGCCTGTAATCCCAGCACTTTGGGAGGCCGAGGTGGGTGGATCACGAGGTCAGGAGATCGAGACCATCCTGGCTAACATGGTGAAACCCATCTCTACTAAAAATACAAAAAATTAGCTGGGCGTGGTGGCATGTGCCTGTAGTCCCAGCTACTAGGGAGGCTGAGGCAGGAGACTCACTTGAACCCAGGAGGCAGAGGTCACAGTGAGCCGAGATCACGCCACTGCACTCCAGCCTGGGTGACAGAGCAAGACTCCATCTCAAAAAAAAAAAAAAAAAAAAACTCCTTTAATTTCTCTTCTTCTCTAAGAAGTGGCTTCCCCCTATGCTGTATATACTTCAAAAACAATTTAAATCAGCCAGGTGTGGTGGCTCATGCCTGTAGTCCCAGCACTTTAGGAGGCTGAGGCTGGCAGTTCACCTGAGGTCAGGAGTTCAAGACCAGCCTGGCCAACATGGCAAAACCCCGTCTCTACTAAAAGTACAAAAAAATTAGCCGGGCATGGCCTGTAATCCCAGCTACTCGGGAGGCTGAGGCAGAAGAATTGCTTGAACCCGGGAGGCGGAGGTTGCAATGAACCAAGATTGCGCCACTCTACTCCAGCCTGGGCCACAGAGCGGGACTTCTGTCTTTAAAAATAATAATAATAATAATAACAATTTAAATATTTTGACCCCCTGAAGTTAAATCACTTTCTAACTTGTATTACTTCAATCGTGTGTGGGTCCCTCCACCTAGGTTTTATTCTCTCTGAGGGTGCCCCTCCATCTGATTCCTCTGCCCCTCCTTCTGGGACTTTGCACTTCTGTTACTTTAGCTAAGTAAATGAATAGTATTCAATGCTTCAGTACTATCCCTAAGTACTTAAGAGTTGAATTATGCTGCTAATGATATTAATGAGAAACTCACTTGCTTTCTGTGTTTATTTCTTCAAACGTGTTCCTTATAGTAGCAGTTTAACAAGGAAGTTTTCTTTACTCCTTTCCCCTAGACAAAGGGAAAAAATAACAGGAAACCAACCCACAGAAAACAATGAAGATGAATATCAAATATTTGTTCCTTTCTATATAAGAGGAGTTAGGCACAAAATTAGGTCATCATACTAACACTTGAAAGAATCAGAGTTTCTTTGAGTTTTAAGAATTTCCAGGAGAGAAATTTGGCTGTTTTTATTGAAGTGGAGTTGAAACATAGCTGCTTAACAGAAATTAGTAGATATTATTCCAAATATCCACAAGCGTCATCTAGAAGCTGCTTTCAAACTTATGATCCAGGAACTTGGTCTGATGCTGCAGGCAGTTAAGTTGCTTTCTTGTTGTGCTTACATAGACATTGTACACTGTAAAAAAATAAATAGAAGATGCCACTTATTAAGTACCGTCTATGTGTCACAAACACAGATGTTTTATACAGTTGTCACTGCAATATCTTAAATATTATCTTCATTTCATAGACAGGGAAACTAAGTTTCATAGATGTTTAAAACGTGCCCCAGGCCCGGTGCAGTGGCTCATGTCTTAATCCCAGCACTTTGGGAGGCTGAGGCAGGCAGATCATGAGGTCAGGAGTTCGAGACCAGCCTGGCCAACATGGTGAAACCCTGTCTCCACTAAAAATACAAAAATTAGACAGGCGTAGGGGCACATGCCTGTAATGCCAGCTACTCAGGAGGCTGAGGCAGGACAATCACTTGAACCTGGGAGGCGGCGGTTGCAGTAAGCCGAGACTGCGCCAGTGCACTCCAGCCTGGGCGACAGAGCAAGACTCCATCTCAAACTGGAAAAAAAAAAAAAAGTGCCCCAAAGTATACAGCTAGCAAAAAATCAGGATTCAAAAACCCATGTCTTTCTGACCCCCACACCCATGCCATCATAGACTTATTTATTTAGGTACCTGCCTCCTATGCCGAACTGTGAGGTCCTTATGTCCACATCACTTACCCTAGTGCTTGGTGCATGAGTATCGAATACTATTGAATACCTTCCAGCTTCCCTTACCCCTTTCATCTTACCTCACTAAATCCTTTTTTTTTTTTGAGACAGAGTCTCACTCTTATCGCCCAGGCTGAAGTGCAGTGGTGCAATCTTGGCTCACTACAACCTCTGCTGCCTGGGTTCAAGCAGTTCTTCTGCCTCAGCCTTCCAAATAACTGAGATTACAGGCGCCTGCCACCACGCCTGGCTAATTTTGTAGTTTTAGTAGAGATGAGGCTTCACCATCTTGGCCAGGCTGGTCTTGAACTCCTGACCTCGTGATCCACCCGCCTTGGCCTCCCAAAGTGCTGGGATTACAGACGTAAGCCACCTTGCCCAGCTACCTCACTAAATCTTACCTCACCAAATTTTATGTTTGTATTCACTCTGTACTTCCATTTATGTGAGACAATACATTGCCTTATTATTTAAACTACTTTAAACTTGTTTTTTGTAGCATTGAGCTGAAATCATCCTGATATAGGAAGCATAGGCAGCTACTAAATATCCATCGAATAATATTTATTTTGTGCCAGGAATAAGGCCATTTTACATACAACCCTTGCAAGGTGGGTATTACCATCACTTCCATTTAATTTTCATTTAAAAACTTTTTTATTGGGGGTCTCATTATATTGCTCAGGCTGGAGTGCAGTGGCTATTCACAGGCACTATACCACTACTGATGATTGGCACAGGACATACCACTACTGATGACTGGCACAGGATATACCACTACTGATTAGCATGGGAGTTTTCAGCTGGTCCGTTTCCAACCTGGGCCAGTTCACCCCTCCTTAGGCAACCTAGTGGTCCCCACTCCCAGAACATCACCATATTGATGCAGAACTTAGTGAGGACACCCAATCAGCCTAGGCTCAAGCGATCCTCCTGCCTCACTCAGCCTTCCTAGTAGATGGGACTACTGGTACCCCCACATAGGCACCACTGGGCCTGGCATCACCTCCACTTTATAAATAAGGAAATTAAGCCTCAGAAGTTTAAGTTATTTATTTAAAGTGTCATAGAGCTGGTAAATACTGAATTTGGGAATCAAAGTAGAATCTTTTGATACCCTGGCTCCCTTACCCACTATACTGATGAAGGGAAGAAGGTGAAGGTGCTCACTCTGTGCTGTGATGCTTTTTTTTTTTTTTTTTTTTTTTGAGGCAGGGTCTCACTCTGTTGCCCAGGCTCTGGAGTGCAGTGGCACCATCATGGCTTACCACAGCCTTGACCTCCCCAGGCTCAGGTTATCCTCCCACCTCAGCAGCCCTCTTGAGTAGCTGGGACCACAGGCACCCACCACCATGCCTGGCTAATTTTTTTGTAGAGACCGGGTTTTGCCACATTGCCCGGGTTGGTCTCCAACTCCTGGACTCAAGCAGTCTGCCCACTTTGGCCTCCCAAAGAGAAATTAAAGGAGTTTTTTTTTGTTTTTTTATGTGTTTTGTTGTTGTTGTTGTTGTTTTGAGAAGGAGTCTTGCTCTGTCACCCAGGCTGGAGTGCAGTGGCGTGATCTCGGCTCACTGTGACCTCTGCCTCCTGGGTTCAAGTGATTCTCCTGCCTCAGCCTCCCTAGTAGCTGGGACTATAGGTGCATGCCACCACGCCCAGCTAATTTTTTGTATTTTTAGTAGAGATGGGGTTTCACCATGTTAGCCAGCATGGTCTCGATCTCCTGACCTCCTGATCTGCCCACCTCGGTCTCCCAAAGTGCTGGGATTACAGGCATAAGCCACCAGGCCTGGCCCAGTTTTTTTGTTTGTTTGTTTGTTTTTGAGATGGAGTCTTGCTCTGTTGCCCAGGCTGGAGTGCAATGGCGTGATATCGGGTTCACTGCAACATCCGCCTCCTGGGTCTGAGCCATTCTCCTGCCTCAGCCTCCTGAGTAGCTGGGATAACAGACGTGTGCCACCACACCAGACTAGTTTTTGTATTTTTAGTAGAGACGGGGTTTTACTGTGTTGGCCAGGCTGGTCTCAAACTCCTGACCTCAGGTGATCTGCCTGCCTCGGCCTCCCAAAATGCTGGGATTACAGGTGTGAACCACCGCTCTCGGCCTAAAGGAGCTTTTAAAAAATAATAATAAATGAAAGAGATAGTATCTCAGCTCAGTCTTGAAGCACTGGCAATATTTTAGAATATGAACCTCCAGATGCAAAGTTGGGAAGAGAATGTTCCAGGTAGAGGAATTAGTGTGCTCAAAAGGCAAGTCACAGAGACTAGAGTGGGAGGGACAGATGGGCAGCCAGGTGAGCAGTTCCACTTAGAACAGAGAGTGTGCCGGGTGCGGTGGCTCACGCCTGTAATCCCAGCACTTTGGGAGGCCGAGGCGGGCGGAGCACCTGAGGTCAGGAGTTCGGGACCAGCCTGGCCAACATGGTGAAATCCCGTCTCTACTAAAAGTACAAAAATTAGCTGGGCGTAGTGGTGGGCGCCTGTAATTCCAGTTACTCCAGAGGCTGAGGCAGGAGAATTGTTTGAACCCGGGAGGCGGAGGTTGCAGTGAGCCGAGATCGCGCCTGGGTGACAGAGCGACTCCATCTCAAAAAAAAAAAAAAAAAAAAAAAGAAGAGAGAGTGGCCTTATCTCTGCCACTCATCTGCCACTTATGTGTCCTTTTATTTTATTTATTTATTTTTTTTAGATGGAGTTTCGCTCTGTCACCCAGGCTGGAGGGCAGTGGCATGATCTCGGCTCACTGCAAGCTCCACCTCCCAGGTTCACGCCATTCTCCTGCCTCAGCGTCCCGAGGAGCTGGAACTACAGGCGCTTGCCACCATGCCCGGCTAATTTTTTTGTATTTTTAGTAGAGACGGGGTTTCACCGTGTTAGCCAGGATGGTCTTGATCTCATGACCTCGAGATCTCTCCGCCTTGGCATCCCAAAGTGCTGAGATTACCAGGCGTGAGCCACCACACCCGGCCTTTTCATTTTATTTTTAATTTTTATGAGTGTATGCCTCATCTTCTAGACGAGTGGTCCCCAACCTTTTTGGCCTAGGAATCGGTTTCGTGGAAGATAATTCTTCCATGGATCAGGGCAGAGGGGGATGGTTTCAGGATGATTCCAGTGCATTACATTTATTGTGCACTTTATTCGTATTATTATTACATTTTTATATTTAGTGAAATAATTATTTAATTCACGATAATATAGAATCAGTGAGAGCCCTGAGCTTATTTTCCTACAACTAGATGGTCCCAAATGGGGGTGATGGGAGAAAGTGACATATCATCAGGCATTAGATTATCAGAAGAAGCTGCAACCTAGATCCTTTGCATCCCCAGTTCACCATAGGGTTCATGATTCTATGAGAATCTAATGCTGCTGCTGATCTCTAACACACTCGCCAGCCACTTACATCCTGCTGTATAGCCCGGTTCCTGAATTAGCTATTTCCACTGTGCCAGTCCATGGCAGGAGGTGAGAGGCTCGATTCCTAAGAGGCCATGGTCCGTGGCCTGGGAGTTGGGGACCCCTGTCCTAGACTATGTGAAGGAAGAGTGCTGTACAAAAACATATGCTTTAAGCCCGTTGTGATGGCTCACACCTGTAATCCCAGTGCTTTGGGAGACTGAGGAGAGAGGACTGCTTGAGCCCAGGAGTTTGAGACCAGCCTGGGCAACTTAGGGAGACCTCATCTCTACAAAACATTTTAAAACTTAGCTGGACATGGTGAGATGGGAGGATTGCTTGAGCTTAGGATTTCAAGGTTGCAGTGAGCTATGATTGTGGCACTGCGCTCCAGCCTGGGCAACTGAGCAAGACTCTGTCTTAAAAAACAAAAAAACAAAAAGTATGCTTTGATTTCTTCCTGTATCATCTACTGTCCTTAGTAAATAAAAAAGTAACACATCTATTATGGAGGGGAGGGCATTGGTTGACTCATTAAAGGCAAAATAGAAAGAACATATATCACAAGAAGGAAAATTATGTCATGAAAAGTCAATATTTTAATGATTTAGAGTCTGTTCCAACTTCTTTTACTCACACTTACAATTTTTTTTTTGAGACAGTCTCACTCTGTTGCCCAGGCTGGAGTGCAGGGGTGCGATCTCGGCTCACTGCAGCCTCCGCCTCCTGGGCTCAAGCGATTCTCCTGCCTCAGCCTCCTGAGTAGCTGGGACTACAGGCACGCGCCACCACGCCTGGCTAATTTTTGTATTTTTAGTAGAGACGGGGTTTCACCATGTTAGCCAGGATGGTCTCAATCTCCTGACCTCGTGATCCACCTGCCTCGGCCTCCCAAAGTGCTGGGATTACAGGCGTGAGCCACCATGCCCGGCCTACACTTAAAAATTTTTAAAAATTCCCCTGATAGTATTAAATAGTATTGATGTTAATAGTTGATAGTATTGGAAAATAACCATAATGCAACAACCAATGCAATGATGGATCAGCAATGGACACTGAAAGCTTTCATTGGATGAAAGGTTGTTGGGGAATAAGAGAGTCACACAGAATCAAAGCACGGCTCCATGGAATACTTACAAATTACAAAGAGAAAAGAGAGATCTGGAGAGTACACCCTGAACCAAGCATTCAAACTTATCATCACCCATCCTGGGACAATTTGATAGTGATAGCCTCCTGATGTAATGCTCTATGAGGTCCACAACATCACCTGTGTAGTATTTTTGCCAAAATGTTTCCTTTAAATCTAATAATGAGGAAGGAAAATACAAATCCTGGTTGTGAGACATGCAACAGGACAACTGGACCAGATTCTTTAAAAATGGCAGTGTCATGAAAGACAAAAATGGCAATGGAACTGTTCAAGATTTAAGGAGACTTACATTTTGGGAGGTTGAGGTGGGCAGATCACTTGACGTCAGGAGTTTGGGACTAGCCATGAGGTCAGGCCAACATGGTAAAACCCTGTCTCTACTAAAAATACAAAAATTAGCCGGACCTGGTGGCAGGTGCCTGTAGTCCCAGCTCCTCAGGGGGCTGAGGTGCAAGAATTGCTTGAACCGGGGAGACAGAGGTTGCAGTGAGCTGAGATTGTGCCACTGCATCCCAGCCTGGGCGACAGAGCAAGACCCAGTCTCAAAAAAAGAAAAAACAAAGGCATGATGGTGAGATGTGAGGATGATCCTTGATTGGTTCCTGGATTTTAAAAAAGAACACATATATATATGTATAGAAGATATAGAAGATATTTTTGGAACAATTAGAACAATGTAAATATAATCTATATTAATGTTTGCTTGGAGATGTGTTCATGATATGGTAGTTGTACAGAAGTATGTCTTGATTCTTAGGAGATACATGCTGAAGTATTTAGGGTAAGGTATTATTATACCTAAAAGTTAATTTTAGAAAGCTGAACAAAAAAGTATAAATGTTAGAGTATAAATGGTTGGGCAAAAAAAGTATACCATGGGCCAGGAGCGGTGGCTCACGCCTGTAATCCCAGCACTTTGTGAGGCCGAGGTGGGTAGATTGCTTGAGCCCAGGAGTTCAAGACCAGCTTGGGCAACATGGCAAAACCCTGTCTCTACCAAAAATACAAAAATTAGCCAATATCATAACCCGGTCTCAAAATAAATAATAAAAATGTAAAAAATAAAACATTATACTATGTATACTTTTTATGTATATGTGTGAGAGAAAAAACAAATGTGGGCAGTGTTAACGATTGGTGAATTTAGGTGAAGGATATAATTCATTGTACTATTTCTCAACTTTTGTTTGTTTGTTTGTTTCTTTTTGAGACATTGTCTTGCTCTGTTGCCCAGGCAGGAGTGCAGTGGCACAATTGCAGCTCACTGCTGCCTCTGTCTCGGGCGATCAAGCGATCCTCCCACCTCAGTTTTTGAGTAGCTGGGACTATAGGGATGTGACACCAGGCCCAGCTAATTTTTAAACTTCTTGTAGAGACGGGGTCTCCCTATATTGCCCAGGCTGATCTCAAATTTCTTGGCTCAAGCAATCTTCCCGTCTCGGCCTCCCAAAGTGTTGGGATTACAGGTGTGAGCCACCATGCCCAGTCAACATTTCTATGGGTTTGAAATTTTCAACACAGTATAAGTTAGGGAAAAAATTAAAATATGGCCAGGCATGATGGCTCATGCCTGTAATCCCAGCACTTTGGGAGGCTGAGGCAGGTAGGTCATTTGAGGTCAGGAGTTTGAGACCAGCCTGGCCAACATGGTGAAACCCCATCTCTACTAAAAATACAAAAAATTAGCCAGGTGTGGTGGCTGGCATTTGTAATCCCAGCTACTAGGGAGGCTGAGGCAGGAGAATCGCTTGAACCTGGGAGGTGGAGGTTGCAGTGAGCCGAGATTGTGCCACTGCACTCCAGTCTGGGCAACAGAGTGAGACCTTGTCTCAAAAATAAATAAATAAAATAAAATAAAATGTTTTTTTTCCTAATTGTTGGAAATAATAGATGCCTATTCATTGAGAAATTTTAGAAAATACAGAAAAAGCGTTTTAAAACATCATGCGATTATGGTAGAGCTTCTCCTACCATGTCTCATTCCACCCCTGGCACTGTCACCAGACCTCTCAGGCACAAAGGCCAATCTTTCTAATTAAGATACATGTAGGAAGATGAATAGGAGTCGTCTGCATTTCTCCAGATCCTATCAACTGGGTTTCAGATCACCCAGACTCTCTTTCTCAAGTTTAGTCCTTTCTATTCAGAAGCCACAAACTTTAAAGATAAAATGCTCAAGCATTACAAAACATTATTCTAAAAACAGGAAAATACTTAGGTTAACATGCAGAATTTCACAACATTCCAAACATAATTCATCACCCTTCAAAGCCTTCCTGTTGCAGTTAGAAGAAAACAGACAGTTGGCTGGGTGCGGTGGCTCATGCCTATAATCCCAGCACTTTGGGATGCGGAGGTGGGAGAATTGCTCGAGCCCAAGAGTTCAAGACCAGCCTGGGCAACAAAGTGAGACCCGTCTCTACAAAATAAATAAATAAATAAAATAAAAAGTTTGCCGGATGCGGTGGCGTGCACCTGTAGTCCCAGCTACTCAGGAGGCTGAGCAGAGGGGATCACTTGAGCCCAGGAGATTGAGGCTGCAGTGAGCCATGACTGTGCCACTGTACCGCAGCCCAGGGGAAAGTGAGACCCTGCCTCAAAACAAAGAGAAAGAAAAAGAAACCCAGACACTTTATGGCACAGCATCCAAGATCTGACCTCTGCCTTCCTTGCGTTTCATCTCCCCCATGCTCCCCTTCCTCTTCCTTCCTTTGCTTTGAATGTCCAAAGTGGTCCTAGATTCTAGCCCTAGAATGTTCTTGTCACAGATCTTTGCATGGCTGGTTCCTTCTCACTAAAAGTCTTGGCTCAAATGTCACCTCTTCAGAGCAGCCACCTGTGACCACTCTACAAGGCAGCTCTTCCTCCACCTGCCTCTCCTAGCCTTCTCTGTCCCCTTAGCTGGTTTAGTTTCTCCAAGTCATTTATCATTATCTTGTTTATTTTCAGTTTCATCATCTTTGTTGTATTTCCTCTCCTAACTATTTCCTCCCTAAACTTCCATAAAGGACCTTGTCTGTCTTGAGGCCACTGTTATTTCCAGGGCTTAGAACAGGGTCTGGTATACAGCAGGTACTGAGGTAAATATTTCTTGACTGAATAAATATTCCTTTTCACATACAATTCTCATATGTCCCACTTACGCTGTACCGTGTCAGCCAACAACAACATTTCAGGAACTGTAGTGAGTTTTTGCTTGTAGGCTCCTTGAGTTTATCCTAAAGAAACTCCAAGTAAAATCAGAAAAGCTGCCATATGGGGCCAGGTGCAGTGGCTCACGCCTGTAATCCCAGCACTTTGGGAGGCTGAGGAGGGCAGATCACTTGAGGTCAGGAGTTCAAGACCAACCTGGGTAACATGGTGAAACCCCATCTCTACTAAAAATACAACAATTAGCCAGGCGTGGTGGTGCGCGTCTGTAATCCCAGCTACTTGGGAGGCTGAGGTGGGAGAATCGCTTGAACCCAGCAGGTGGAGGTTGCAGTGAGCCGAAACTGTGCCACTGCACTCCAGCCTGGGCGACAGAGTGAGACTCCGACACTCTGTCTCAAACAAAAACAAAACAAAAACAAAAAAACAAGAAAAGCTGCTATTTGGAAACCCCTGTATCGAATAAAAGGAGTCCCGTACCTCAAAACCAAAGAATAACAAGAGAAATTTGTGATCTGCTTAAAGTGTATTGGTTTCACACTGACCCAGTTCAAGAGATTTTTCTAGGGTTAGGATTCCTTATGCTAAATTACGAGATAATTATTATTATCTTTTTCAGTTTGGGGACACAGGAGGTAAAGAGCCCCATGAAGTTAAAAGTAGGTAAGCGAAGACAATATTTGGTTAATGTTTACTTTTTCCTCTTTCCTTTTTTGAGCTTAAAAGATTCAGGAAGGCTAGTTCCTGAAAAAGCCTGCAAGGCCAGTTTTCCACTGCAATAGATGACTGATACAATTAAAAAAAATCAGTCCCAAATCTCTTTCTCTGTATTATCCTTATAATTGTGCCAATATTCTGTCCCACACCAAACCCATTTACTCTCTCTTTAGATGCTGATCTCAACTTACTCTGATCCTATGAATGTATTTTCTGCTGGTATTTGAAAAATGTTATTCACAAAACAAAAATCCTAGATGTGGATCTCCAACTATTTTCTAAGACTGTCTCTAAACCCTATTCTTAGCAAATTTTGGCCGGGTGTGGTGGCTAACACCCGTAATCCCAGCACTTTGGGAGGCCGAGATGGGAGGACTGCTTGAGCCCAAGAATTTGAGACCAGCCTGGGCAACATTGAGAGACCTCATTTCTGTTTATTTATTTGTATTTATATTTATATATTTTTTAAGACAGAGTCTCGCTCTGTCACCCAGGCTGGAGTGCAGTGGCGCTATCTCGACTCACTGCAGTTTCCACCTCCTGGTTTCAAGCGATTCTCCTGCCCTAGCCTCCGAAGTAACTGGGATTACAGGTGCTTCCACCACGCTGGGCTAATGTTTTTTGTATTTTTAGTAGAGACGGGGTTTCACCATGTTGGCCAAGCTGGTCTGGAACTCCTGACCTCAAGTGATCCACCCGCCTCCGCCTCCCAAAGTGCTGGGATTACAGGCGTGAGCCACTGCACCCGGTCTGATCTCATCTTTATTTAAAAACAAAACAAAACAAAAATCAGCCAGTTGTGGGTGCGTGCCTGTAGTCTCAGCTACCCAGGAGGCTGAGGTGGGAAGATCGCTTGAGCCCAGGAGATAGAGGCTGCAGTGAGCCATGATCATGCTACTACACTCCAGCCTGGGTGACAGAGGTGACTCAAAATAATTTTTTTAAATTATGAAATACAAAATTCCTACAAAAATGTATATAAAACATATGCACAGCTTGATAAATTGTTGTAAGGCTAACAGCCGTGTAACTTGGA
Organism: Homo sapiens; assembly: GCF_000001405.40. Lineage (NCBI taxonomy): Eukaryota > Metazoa > Chordata > Mammalia > Primates > Hominidae > Homo > Homo sapiens. The sequence goes on from NW_003315917.2 coordinate 270,629, forward strand.
CTCGGGAAGAAACAGAATATTGCCTATATTGCCTATAGACAAAAAGTAGTCCTAAAATATAGTAAAACTGTTCAGAACATTGGTTCAGGAATCAGATGACCTGTATTTGAATCCTGACTCTACAACTTAGTAGACAACTTGAGTAAATGATCAATACTTTCTGAGCTTTAGTTTTCCTATGTGTAAAATGGGGAAAATAATAGTACATCATAAAGTTCTTGTAAAGACCAAAAAAATAAAAATAAAAACCCAGCCGGGGCCGGGCGTGGTGGCTCACGCCTGTAATCCCAGCACTTTGGGAGTCTGAGGCAGGCAGATCACCTGAGGTCAGGAGTTTGAGACCAGCCTGACCAACATGGAGAAAGCCCGTCTCTACTGAAAATACAAAATTAGCTGGGCATGGTGGCTCATGCTTGTAATCCCACTTACTCGGGAAGCTGAGGCAGGAGAATCGCTCGAACCTGGGAGGTGGGGGTTGCAGTGAGCCAAGATCGCGCCATTGCACTCCAGCCTGGGCAACAAGAGTGAAACTCCATCTCAAAAACAAACAAACAAACAAACAACCCAGCCGGGCACGGTGGCTCAAGCCTGTAATCCCAGCATTTTGGAGGCTGAGGCGGGTGAATTGCTTGAGGTCAGGAGTTTGAGACCAGCCTGACCAACACAGTGAAACCCCGTGTCTACTAAAAATGCAAAAATTAACTGGGCGTGGTGGCGGGCACCTGTAATCCTAGCTACTCAGGAGGCTGAGGCAGGAGAATCGCTTGAACCTGGGAGGCAGAGGTTGCAGTGAGCTGAGATTGCGCCATTGCACTCCAGCTTGGGCAACGGAGCGAGACTCCGTCTCAAAAAAAAAAAAAAAAAAAAAAAAACCCAAAAACCAGAAAAAAATAAAAAAAAACATAAAACTGCCGGGCATGGTGGCTCACCTCTGTAATCCTAGCGCTTTGAGAGGCCAAGGCGTTAGTATCACCTGAGGTCAGGAGTTCGAGACCAGCCTGACCAACAAGGTGAAATCCCATCTCTACTGAAAATACAAAAATTAGCCAGGCGTGGTGGCAGGTGCCTGTAGTCCCAACTATTCAGGAGGCTGACATAGGAGAATCATTTGAACCCAGGAGGCGGAGGTTGCAGAGAGCTGATCACACCATTGCACTCCAGCCTGGGCTACGGAGGAGACTCTGTTTCAAAACAAACAAACAGAAAACCAAAAAAACACTTAGCATAGTACTTAGAACATGTTTTTCCCTGAGTAAATGGTGCTATTATTATTCTTCCACCTGTTGAAGTTCCTGTTCAGGTGCTGAGTCTCTTTGTTTAAATATGGATTCCTCCCAGGAGGATCTTGCTTAACACATAGGAATAGAGAAGATAAAGGTTTACTCATCTAGTGTAATCATCCTTTTAGAAATTGTCTTCCTAGTGGCTTCCCCATAAATTCTTCCATACACCTGTCCAAGGAAACTGTCCTGTGTGGACCAGAAGCCTCCCCCTCCTCATGACTGGGCAGAGAAACTAGAGGCCTTTCAGGCCAGGCCCTCAGCAACTCCAAACTGAGTTGCCTTGGACACATACCAGTCTTTGAATTCATTTACTAAGCAGGCAAGGCAGAGTGGAAACAGTGGAACTATGTTAATCTCCCGTCTTTTCTCCTCTAAACCCTAGTACTAGAGATGTAAGCCTTGAAATGCTACTAAGGAACGTGCGGGTTTCACAATAGCAGGAGGCCATCTGAGAGGAGAACAAGACTCCACAGGCATGTTGGATTTGGGAAGCAGGGCTATAGTCATTCATTCATTCATCCAACACATAGTTATGTAATTCCTATGTGACAGGAACTATTTCAGGCATATAGGATACAGCAATGGCTTGCTCAATTTATTGAGACTTGTTTCGTGGCTCAGCATATAGTCTGTCTTGGTGAATGCTCCACATTCCCACCAACAGACTTATAAAGACAGTATTGTTTATTATCATCTCAAATTTACGGTGGAAAAAAATGAACCTTACATAGTTTAATTTCCTTTAGTCCTACCCAGCTACCAAGTAGCAACACTGGAATTTGAACTGAGATTTCTGACACCATAATCTGAGCTCTTAAGTTTCTCTTTTACACATAGAAAAGGAGAAACAAATTGTCTTTTCATCTTATCCATTTGACTGCAGGTAAAGTCAACAAGTTTCTAATCATGGGGTTCTGAAAATAATATTTACATTGCTCTGAGTCACGGGGATTTTCATCAAATAATATTCAATAGTGGATACTACTCAATACTACTGTGAGTTGCCAAGAAGGAATATTTGGTAAAAAATATAGTAATTAAATTTTGCTATAATTTATGATTATGTAACATGATTAAATCGAGCATGGCATCATTTAACATCCAACAAATTTTGTTTTGGTATTGAAGAATGATGTGTTTAAGTTTTAAGGCTGGATTTTCTTTCTAGACACTTTCAACTATGAAATATACACAATATTGGACAATAGTTAACCGTTCTTTTGATGTTGTTGTTTAGAAAATTAATCTCAAGCGAATAAAATAGAATTCATACAATTAATGAATCCTATTATTCCATATGGATGAACTCAGAACTAACTAGAAAGTAAGTTTCACAGAGATTTTTGAGTTTTGTTCACTCGTGTGTGTACAGATTAGGCACTCAGAAAATAGTTGAAGGAATGAATTGGGAAAGCAAATAGAATATGAAAGCCTTCTACCCAACACAACATGTCTTTGAGTTTAGGTTTAGGGTGGGAATAAGAAAAATAACATGATATGCATAAGTTATCTTAAAATGATAAAAAGTTTAATTTAAAAACCTAATTTACCAAGAGAACCGAAAACATATGTCCACACAAAAACTTGTACACAAATGTTCATAGTAACATTATTCATAACATCCCCAAAGGAGAAACAACCCAAATGTTCATCAACAGATGAATGATTAAACGAAATGTGATACATCGATACAATGGAATATTATTCAGTTATAAAAAGGAATGAAGTACCAATACATACTACATCATGGATGAACCTTTAAAATATTATGCTAAGTGAAAGAAGACAGACACAAAGGGCACATATTGTATTATCCATTCATATAAAATGTCCAGAATAGGCAAATTAATAGAGACAGAAAGTACATTAGTGGTTGCCGAGGGATGAGGGGAGAGGGGAAATGGGGAGTGACTATTAATGGGCATGGGGTTTCTTTTGGGGGCGATTAAAATGGAATTAGATGGTGGTGATGGTTGTACAATCTGGTGAGTATACTAAAACCCATTGAATTGTACGTGCCCTTTAAAAGGGTGAATTTTATGGTATGTGAACTCTCTTTTATAAAGTGGAAAAAAACTCCTAAGATCTCTTCAGAACATGTCAAAATACATTATAAAATAATAGACATGTGTTTACAAATCTGAGAGTATTAGGAAATGTTCCCTTGTTTAATTATAAACCAAATGGAATGTTTGGAGATTTCAGTAATCTGACAGGGAACATTAAGGGGATTAACCTGACTTCCCCAGTGTTAACAATACCAATTTAAACTGCATCATTCAAAAACTACATAGTCATATTAAAGCATTTGTAGCAATGACTTCCACGAAAAAAATACCAATTAAATTAATTACCCATTAAAGCTGCCATCATCTGAAATACCTCATATTTATATAGTGCTTTTACTTCCTCAAGTATGAATTGTGCCTTAAGATCTAATGTATGGGAGAGTCACATCTCTAACCATTTAATTAAAGGTAGAGAAGTGGGTGGGATTGGATAGAAATTTATTAGCAATGCTGACATTCCAGATTGGAACACAAAGACAAGCAGGATGTAAGAAACCTAAAAGTTCGCTTTCAATGCAGATAGTTAAATGCCAAGAACTATAATTGCCACATCCTGGAGTACAATTAAAAAATATGTTGAAAAACAACCAACATACATAAAAATATACACAGTGTTAAGTGCAGACTATGAAATTTCCCTTGGAAACAGAATCCAGATCAAGAAATAGAATACAGCACCCGGAACTAAGGTGCTTTTTCGTTTTCTTAAAAAAAAAAAAAGTAAACCAAGTTTATTTTGCTTTTTAAGTAGTGTTGTTCTTAAAGCACTACAGGTTGGTAAACAACGTATAAGGTGCTTTTTCTCAGGCCAAAGAGCCATAATAGTTTAAATTTCCCGGTCCTCAAGAGCGGACCGGGTGGGCAGGAGAGGACCCTGGGGTGGTGATGTGTAAACTGTATTATGCACTTTAGCCTGCTGGATGGCAACTAACACCTACAGTAGTTCACCCTCATTTTAACCCCTCTAAGTAATTGTCTCTTATTCTGAATCTAGAGATTCAGAAACAGCGCCAATGTTTACACACGACTTTTGAAATTTTCCCAGGAGTCTTTCGTTGGAGCAATACATCTAGATGCCTTTTTCCAGCAACAGTTTAATCAAATTCTGGAAGCAGAAAAGTGTCCTGTGAGGACGTGCCTTTCCTATCAAAGTGCTGAGTGCCTGGACCCTCTTTCCGGAGGAAACAGTCCCCTCTGGACCTCGTTCGGCCTCTCTCCATCAGACACCCCAAGGTTCCATCCGAAGCAGGCGGAGCACCGAACGCACCCCGGGGTGGTCAGGGACCCCCATCCGTGCTGCCCCCTAGGAGCCCGCGCCTCTCCTCTGCGCCCCGCCTCTCGGGCCGCAACATCGCGCGGTTCCTTTAACAGCGCGCTGGCAGGGTGTGGGAAGCAGGACCGCGTCCTCCCGCCCCCTCCCATCCGAGTTTCAGGTGAATTGGTCACCGAGGGAGGAGGCCGACACACCACACCTACACTCCCGCGTCCACCTCTCCCTCCCTGCTTCCTCTGGCGGAGGCGGCAGGAACCGAGAGCCAGGTCCAGAGCGCCGAGGAGCCGGTCTAGGACGCAGCAGGTGGGACTCGCGGCGCTGGCCCGCAGGCTTCCCGCACCCCCTTCCACGTTGGTGCGCATGCCCGGGGGCAGGGCCGGTTGTAGGGAGGAGGGAAAGGAGAGGGAGAAGGGGGAGGAGACGTCCCCAGCCCAGTCCCCGGCTGAGCGCTGGCGGTCGGTGCGGCGTCAGGTGCGCCCGCCAGGTGAGCGCGCTCCCTGGCACCGTTGGCCCCCGGAGGGTCGGGCCCAGTTGCGGCGAGCGGGTGAGTGTTGGGCGCGGCGTCAGGGGCGCACGGGAGCCCGAGGGTCCCCGTGGGGGGACCGCGGCGACTATGTTAGGGGAGGTGCTGGGGGGAGGACGCTCCGCGCTGGTTTCGGTGGCAGTTTCGTCCCCGAGCTGGGACTCGTGGGAACCAGAGAGGCGCGGGTCTGCGGAGAGAGCAGCACCGGCCAACTTGGGAGGCTGCCTCCTGGGGCGAGGGGTGGCTTGGAGCCGCCGATCAAGCTTTATTCCGCGGAAACGCTGAAAGCTAGCAGTGCCTCAGCGGCGCGGGCAACTTTTCACTTTTATGGGGCACGACATTCCTGAACAGCGACGATCCTGCATCCGCTCTGGGGCTGCAGTTTGGGGGGGCGGCCTTCATGGAGAGGGATCCTGCGCCCAGCTCCTTGGGGGTCCTAAGCCTGAGGCTGCAGCGAGGCGGCTGTTCGGCGGCCCGGGCGGCTTAGATCCCGGGGGGAATTTCATTCCTTCCGCTCCCACCCCACCCCTTTGGATATCCCGGGGAGACGGGGGCTGGATTCAATCTGTGAAATATTCCAGGAGTCACGGTGTGGGCCACACTGGCTACTTCGAATCCACTTGTTGCGAGTTGTGTGAACCCGCGTCGATTTAAGCTGGGGGGCGGGGAGTTAATTTCGAGTGAGGCTGGACTTCGAGGGAAGCTGCTCACGCTTCGGATTCTCATCCGTGACCAAAAGGGCTGCCCCCAGGGGGGCGGAACTGCCTCCGGGCGGTGCCTGCCCGGCGAACGTGGGCGCGCGCTGCCTGGGAGCGCCTCGGTGCGCACGGAAGCCGGGACCCGCGCCCAGCCGGGCCACGGAGTTTGGGGACCTCCGGGACTGGGCCGGCCCCGCGCGCCAGCCATGTTGCCTGCGTCGGAGGAAGCGTGCGGGGAGCAGGGGTCGAGGGCCAAGATGGCCTCTGCGCCTAGGGGTTGGGAGCGGCGCCGAGCCCCTCGCGCTCCTCGGGAAGCCACCGGGCCCGAGGGAAAAGCCGCGGCATCCTTAGGCCGGACCCGGGGCTCGCTGGCCACACTGCCCGCTTGGGGAATTACCCTGCTCGAGGAGGAGGCGGCGGCTTTCCAGGCCAGTCAGTGTGTGGCCCTTAGGCAACAGGTGTATTATTGGGATACCTGGAAAAGAGAAACGTTTCCCATGAAGGCACTTATGGTGTTTTTTGGTGATTCTTGGTGTGATAGAAAACTAGGCGTTCCCAAGTGTAACAATAGTAACAGTAGTTCTTTTGCACTGTACATATGAGGTGCTTCTGTGTGTGTGTGTGTGTTTTTCCGAGACGGAGTCTGGCTCTGTCCCCCAGTGCAGTGGCATCATCTGGGCTCACTGCAACCTCTGCCTCCCGGGTTCAAGCGATTCTCCTGCTCAGCCTCCCGAATAGCTGGGATTACAGGCACCCACTAGTATGCACAGCTAATTTTTGTATTTTTAGTAGAGACAGGGTTTTGCCATTTGGTCAGGCTGGTCTCGAACTCCTGACCTCAGGTGATTCGCCCGCCTTGGCCTCCCAAAGTGCTGGGATTACAGGCGTAAGCCACCACACCCAGCCTTTATGAATATTTTCTTAGTGGTGCTTTAAAATAGACATCTTAAGTGTGTGTGGGAGGCAGAGATATTTCCTCAAACAAAGCAACACTTTTTTTTTGGTCGTTTTGCAATTTATTTAGTTATTAGGGGCCTCCTTTGTTAGGTGACGGAGCAGAGGATAGGGAGATCGGTAAGACATGATTCTCCACCTTTTGGCAGTTTCCAGGCCATTTCGGGAAATAGTGGGCAGCAGTGCCTCCTGCACGTGAGGCACTGTGGTAAAAGCATTCTGTATTTTCTCATTTAATTATCCCAACAACTCTAAAAGGCAGGCCTTAGTAGAACTCCATTTTAAAAGTGGGCAAATGCCGTGGGGGAAACGTTGCAGGTGGGCTTGCTTGCAAACTGCTTCAGCTAATATGGGAAGGAGTATCAGAAGCAGCGGTCCTTGATATTCCAGAACCAGATTTGGGGAATTTTTCTGGACTTTTCTACCATTGACTAGTAACTGTAGCCTGATACAAGATTTCCCGCATTTTGCTTGATATCAAGGTAAAATTCTTGTTTTCTTCTAAAGGTAGTGTTGGAATTACTACCTTTTCAAAATAGTATATTACTTTTAACCACATAAATGATCTGATGTAATATCTTTCATCTTCCTAGGAACCTCCCAGAAGGAAGTTTTCTTCAGTTGCATTTTAAGGCTTATTTGATTGGAATATTAATGGATCTTTTTCATCAAATTACTATTTATGGAAATAAGAGAGTAAACAGACCATGCAGATTTATGTTAGGCTTTTTGTTTTAACCCCTAGGCTTGCCGCTGTTCCGTAACCCAGTGATTCCAGTCTTGGCTGTGGTATGAATCACTTAGGGATCCTATTAAAACACAGATTCTGATTGGGAGGTCAGGAGTGGGGCCTGGGATTCTGCCTTTCTAACAGGCTCACAGGTGATTCTCAGACTGTTCTGTCTTCTTTTTCTCCCTTTCTCTTAGACTCTACGCACTTAATTACATTTGACAAACTGAAGTTGGAAAAAATAACGTTTATTGAGTGTTGTGTGAAGAACTTCAAGGCATTCACTGCTGGATTGAAATCCCAACTCTAATAATTGACTGTTGGTTTTATTAATTGAGTACTCATTGACAATCACTTTGTGCCAGGGCTAGTTCCAGCGACCAGGGATATAAATGATGGTCAAAATAGACATTTGATGTCTGGGATATGGGCATTCCAGATGCGGTGGAGATGATACCTATATTTTAGGTATGAGGGCAGAGGGGAGTTTGCTCTGAAAAAAAAAACAAGTTTTGTGTGATGGAGTGAGGGACAGGGAGGGCATCTCCCAGAAGGTGACGTCTGAGCTGAGACCTGAACAGCAGGTGTCTGTTGTGTAAAAGATCTGGGCTTTCTAGACAGGAAATTGCAAGATCAATGTCCTTTTTGGATTGACACCTTTATTGTAGACAGCAATTCTCAAAATATGTGATGTGTTTAAAAATCACCTGGAAGATTTATTAAAAATACAATTTCTGACACAGAGTCTATTACAAAATCTGCCTAACTTCAAATTTTTAGACAATTTACTAATGATGTGCCTGTAGTCTAAATCATTTAATATAAGGCACAACTTAAACTTTTTTTTTTTTTTTTGAGACAGAGTCTCGCTGTCTCCCAGGCTGGAGTGCAGTGGCACGATCTTGGCTTACTGCAAGCTCCGCCTCCCGGGTTCACACCATTCTCCTGCCTCGGCCTCCCGAGTAGTTGGGACTACAGGCGCCTGCCACCATGCCCAGCTAATTTTTTGTATTTTTAATAGAGGCGGGGTTTCACTGTGTTAGCGGGGATGGTCTCGATCTCCTGACCTCGTGATCCTCCCGTCTCGGCCCCCCAAAGTGCTGGGATTACAGGCGTGAGCCACCGCGCCCGGCCACAACTTAAACTTTTTAAAGGCAAATTGACAGTTACTGCATGTGCTCTAAAAGGAACAGACTTCTCTTAAATACAATAAAGTTTATTTTTCACTTATTGACAGTTTTCTTTAAAGAATAATTTGAGGCCAAAGCATTTTCAGACTATTTTTTCTTTTTTTATACTTTTTTTTTTTTTTTTTTTTTAAGATAGAGAACGGAGTCTTACTCTGTTGCCCAGCCTGATCTTGAAGTTCTGGGCTCAAACAATCCCTCTGCCTTGGCTTCCCAAAGTACTGGGATTACAAGTGTGAGCCACCTTGCCCAGCCTCAGCCTGTTTTTTTCATCTTAGCTTAGTTTTCCATTAAGACAGCTTTTGGTCAGTAAACATTGTCAAGGGGAGAACACTTTATATTTTATCATTAGCCCAAGATGCTGGTTTTCAGATTAACATATTTGACAAGGATCTATCTGCTGCTTCCCTTTTGCCCCCGACTCTAATTTAGCTGTCTGACTTCTGTCCTTGTCACTCTCCTGACATAAGTTCCTGTAGGTGATAAGTGGCCTCTTCATTCTCATTTTTTCCTTCACTCAACACATGTACAGATTGTTAATGTTGCTGTGCTGGGCATTGGTCCTCTTTCACCTTTGGCTGCTGGCCTTAAAGCACAGTCACAGATTCACTTTGAAAGAGACCTTAGAAGTCTTCCAGTCTGGTCTCCAAAAAAATATCAAATAACTTAAGCTTTGCATAAATTGCATGAGCTCAAATTGTTGTTAGTTATTTTCGGAGAGGGTGTGGGGTCAGGGTGAGGGAGAGGCTTCCTAACATTGAGATGAAATCAGCCTGTGGTTTTTGGAATTTTTTTTTTTAACCATTTCTAGGATAACAAAGACAGCTCTTCATATATTTCAGGGCTGCTAAAGCGATTCTTCTGACGTTAAGTTCTCCAGGCCAAACATTTCCTGTTTTTCCAATCATTTGTCTTAAGACATGGTTTTTCTAGATTTTTTTTTTTTTTTTTTTTTTGAGCCAGAGTCTCACTGTGTCGCCAGGCTGGAGTGCGGTGGCACAATCTTGGCTCACTGCAACCTCTGCCTCCTGGGTTCAAGCAATTCTCCTGCCTCAGCCTCCCAAGTAGCTGGGATTACAAGCACACACCACCATGCCCAACTAATTTTTGTATTTTTAGTAGAGACGAGGTTTCACCGTGTTGGCCAAGATGGTCTCGATCTCCTTGTGATCCACCCGCCTCGTCCTCCCAAAGTGCTGGGATTACAGGCGTGAGCCACGGTGCCTGGCCAGCTTTTCTAGATCTTTAATGATCTTAGTCACCCTCCTGGAGAGGCACATAGTTTAGAATGTGATGTACAAATCAGGTTTTGTTTGTTCTTTTTAATAGCATATTATTCCTAGATATGAGCACTATTTCTGTGAATAAAGTTTGGGATAGGTTGTTAGCTTTTGTTGAAATTCTTACCAAAGAAATGCACCTTTAAAAATGAACCACTTTGGGAGGCCGAGGCGGGCGGATCACGAGGTCAGGAGATCGAGACCATCCCGGCTAAAACGGTGAAACCCCGTCTCTACTAAAAATACAAAAAATTAGCCGGGCGTAGTGGCGGGCGCCTGTAGTCCCAGCTACTTGGGAGGCTGAGGCAGGAGAATGGCGTGAACCCGGGAGGCGGAGCTTGCAGTGAGCCGAGATCCCGCCACTGCACTCCAGCCTAGGCGACAGAGCGAGACTCCGTCTCAAAAAAAAAAATGAACGATTATTAAATTAGTTCTCCTCTATACTGTACTATGGAATTGACTTTTTAAAAATTCAGTTTATGGCTGGGCATGGTGGCTCATGCCTGTAATCCCAGCACTTTGGGAGGCTGAGGTGGGTGGATCACCTGAGGTCAGGAGTTTGACACCAGCTTGGTTAACATGGTGAAACCCCGTTTCTACTAAAAATGCAAAAATTAGCCTGGCCTGGTGGCATGTGCCAGTAATCTCAGCTACTCAGGAGGCTGAGGTGGGAGAATTGCTTGAACCTGGGAGGTGGAGGTTGCATTGAGCCGAGATCACGCCATTGCATTCCAGGCTGGATGACAGAGCAAGACTCCTGTCTCAAAAAAAAAAAAAATCAGTTTACATTTTAAAAATGACTCATTTATGCCACCAATATAGTCACCCTTCAGTATCTGTGAGAGGTTGCTTCCAGGACCCCCATGATACTAAAATCTGAGGATGCTGAAGTCCTTGTTATAAAATAGCTTTGTATTTGCATATGGCCTAAATGCTCTTGTATACTTTTTTTTTTAATTGTTTTTTTGAGACAGAATCTCACTCCATCATCTAGGCTGGAGTGCAGTGATGCAATTTTGGCCCACTGCAAACTCTGCCTCCTGGGCTCAAGCGATTCTCCTGCCTCAGCCTCCTGAGTAGCTGGGATTACAGGCACCCGGCACAATCCCAGTTAATTTTTGTATTTTTAGTAGAGACAGGGTTTCACCATGTTGGCCAGGCTGGTCTCGAACTCCTGACCTCAAGTGATCCGCCCGTCTTGGGCTCCCAAAGAGCTGGAATTACAGGTGTGAGCCACTGCACCCAGACCTCTTGTAGACTTTAAATAATCTCTAGTTATAATACCGTATACAATGTAAATACTATGTAGAATTGTGATATTGTAGTTTTAAAAATCTATTTTTTGTTTTATTGTTTATTATTTTTTTAGACAGGGTATTACTGTTACTCAGGCTGGAGTATAGTGGCATGATCACTCCAGCCTCAACTTCCTCTGCTCAAGAGATCCTCCCATCTCAGTCTCTTGAGTAGCTGGAACTTACAGGGATGTGCCACCATGCCTGGCTAATTTTAAGAAAAATTTTTTGTGGAGATGGGGTCTTACTATGTTGCTGTGGTCAGTCTTGGACTCCTGGGTTCAAGTGATCTTCCTGCTTCAGCTTCCTAGAGTGTTGGGATTACAGGTGTGAGCCACTGTACCTGCCCTGTAATTTTTAATTTTTTTTTCCCCTGAATATTTTCTGTCTGAGGTTGGTTGAATCAGAATTTAAAACCCATGGATGTGGAGGGTCAGCTGTATTTGAAAATGGATACAATATACCTAAGTGCCTAAGCACTGAAATTTCTTACTTTCAGGATAACCACCTTATGATGAATGCAGTTGCCCATTTTCTTGAAGACTTTTTCTTGTGGTTTTTTTCTTTCTTTTTTTTTTGAGCCGGAGTCTCGCTCCGTCGCCAGGCTGGAGTGCAGTGGCGTGACCTCAGCTCACTGCAACCTCCTCCTCCTGGATTCAAGCGATTCTCCTGCCTCAGCCTCCTGAGTAGCTGGGGCTACAGGCGCGCGCCACCAAGCCCAGCTAATTTTTGTATTTTTTTAGTAGAGACAGGGTTTCACTATGTTGACCAGGATGGTCTTGATCTCTTGACCTCGTGATCCACCCGCCTCGGCCTCCCAAAGTGCTGGGATCACAGGCGTGAACCACTGCGCCCAGCTCTTTAAGACTTTTTCTTATCCCAGTGCAGAGGTCAGGATTATTCCCGCATTTGAGTGCACTTAGAGGAGATAAGGAATTTGTCTCAGATTGCGAGCCAGTAAATGGGGGCTGTTAAAACCACTAGGTTGTTTCAAACTCATCATTCTGACATTACAGAGATCTTGCTTAGTGTTGATGGCCCTAGCCAATGGGTTAGTTATCCTTTCCAGTGTGTTTGGTCAGCTGCAAATCTGGATAAGCGTGTCTCCTCCACTTTGTCTGTGTTTACCAGTGGAGACCTCCCACCAGGTGGACATAAATGGTTCATTCTTTTGTGCTAATTGGGTGCCGTAATCCAGCCCCTTGGGAATCTGCCCACCCACACAAGGATGTGCTCAAGATTTTCAGGATTCTTTCTCTCTGCATTCCCTGAAGAGGAAATAATAAAGGAGAAAATAAAATCCACCAGTTTGGTAACCTTCCCAGAAAAGGAAATGAAGTTGGTGTGGCATGACTTGTTCTTAACGAGCTTTCTTTTCTTTTTTTTTTTTTTTTGAGACGGAGTTTTGCTCTTTTTGCCCAGGCTGGAGTGCAATGGCGCAATACTGGCTCACTGCGAACTCCGCCTCCCAGGTTCAAGCAATTCTGCTACCTCAGCCTCCCAAGTAGCTGGGTTTACAGGCATGCACCACCACGCCCCTCTAATTTTTTGTATTTTTAGTAGAGATAGGGTTTCACCACATTGGTCAGCTGGTCTTGAACTCCAGACCTCATGTGATCCACCTGCCTCGGCCTCCCAAAGTGCTGGGATTACAGGCATGAGCCACATGATTTGGTTCACAATTTAAAATCCGTGCTTTTGGGGAGACGTGACAACTCTGAATCCTGGAAATAGCAGTTTGAAAAGGGATCTTGTTTGAATTTTTGACAACTTAAGACTGAGTCTGGATTAATTTAGAGTTTCCAAAACTACCACTGAACCTAGAATTTGGGGATATTTGACATTCAGCTTCAGAACTAGGATCCCACATTTAATAGTGCTTAACTTCAGATTTTCTGTTTTACTTTTTTTTTTTAAAGGAGTCTTGCTCTGTCACCCACGCTGGAGTGCAGTGGCACAATCTTGGCTCACTGCAACCTCCACCTCGGGCTCAAGCGATTCTCATGCCTCAGTTTCTCAAGTAGCTGGGATTACAGGCACGTGCCACCATGCCCAGCTAATTTTTGTATTTTTAGTAGAGACGGGGTTTTGCCATGATGGCCAGGCTGGTCTCGAACTCCTGACCTAGGGTGATCCACCTGTCTCCACCTCCCAAGTGCTGGAATTACAGGTGTGAGCCACCTCACCTGGCCTAAATTCAGTATTCCTTAATGTTCTTTTTCTGAAGACAATCTGGACTTTTGCCTTTTTATAGTACCATAACATTTTCGCCTAAATTGCTCATTTGTATGTGTGTTTCACCATTACTAGAATATAGAGAAATTGGCCAGGTGTATTGGCTCATGCCTGTAATCCCAGTACTTTGGGAGGCCAAGGCAGGTGGATAGCTTGAGCTCAGGGGTTTGAGACCAGCCTGGGCAACATGGTGAAACCTTATCTCTACTAAAAATACAAAAATTAGCCAGGCGTGGTGGCATGTGCCTGTAGTCCAGCTACTTGTGAGGCTGAGGCAGGAGGATTGCTTGAGCCTGGGAGGCAGGTTGTAGTGAGCTGAGATGATGGCACTGCATTTCATCCTGGGCAACAGAATGAGACCTTGTCTCAAAAGAAAAAAAAAAAAGTATAGAGAAATTGACTTGAGTGCTAGTTACAGGGCTGTGTACACTTATGATTTGTGCACTTTTCTCTATGGTATACTTTAAAAGTGGCTTTTAAAAATGTAGAAAAGTCATCTTCCTTCATGTCTTTGGAAAATTATGCTAATTGTGTTGGTGTTATTAACATTCTATATATTTCCATCTTTGAGGATTTATCTAATACATAGTTGGGCAGGGTTTAATTCTGAGAGATTTGAAATACACTGTCCTAAAGGGTATAGAAGAGAGTTGCCAGGTGGGGCGTGGTGGCTCATGCCTGTAATCCCAGCACTTTGGGAGGCCAAGGAGGGCAGATTGCCTGAGCTCAGGAGTTTGACACCAGACTGTGCAACATGGTGAAACCCCATCTTTACTAAAAATACAAACAATTAGCCGGGCGTGGCAGCGTGCGCCTGTAGTCCCAGCTACTCGGGAGGCTGAGGCAGGAGAATCGCTTGAAGCCGGGAGGCGGAGATTGCAGTGAGCTGAGATCATGCCATTGCATTCCATCCTGGTGACAGAGCGAGACTCGGCTCAAAAAAAAAAAAAAGAGTTGCCATTAATTTAAAAAAAAGTTTTAAGAGTCTGAATTGATGTACTGTTGTTAATATATTAATGTATGATTGTACAGACCGTATTAGAAAAGGAAAAAAATATCAGATACTTTAATGTACTCATTATAGATGTTACTCAAGTGTCATTCAGGGATCATACCTTTTAAAGTTACTCTGATACTTTTCCGTTACCTTCAACTTGAAAGCACAAGAGGTTTTGCAGGCAGAGATATCCATGGTCCAATCTGGTTCCTGTAAACATTCAACAAATTATCTGGACGTCTACTATGTGCCAGGCATTGATTTAATCAGTGAACAAAACATGCAAAAATTCCTGCTCACATGGAATTTACCTTCCAGTAGATCTCAAAGTTCCCTACTCTACTAATCACTGGTATAACCTGGAAAGAATTTATTGTTGGTTCAACATAGCTAAGGAGTGGCATGAAGTTCTGTAGCTGATGTGGGAAGTACCTTGCCAGTGTCTCCAGCACTGGGTTTTCTAGAATAATCCTCAAGCTTTATAGGTTAGGGGGTTGTGTGTTTACCACATCTTGCTGAGACTTGTCTTTTTCCTGGAGAGCTCTCAGTGCCCATGGATCCACCTACGGACGTAGGCAGATGACCTCCATCTTCACTTCCTCATGGATGCTAACACCAGATGTGCACTCCCCACAAAAACTGGTGTTTCCCAAATGGAACTCATTGTTTCAAACTAGCATAGTGAAAAGCACATGAAATCATCTGGGTTCAAGTTACATCTGAGTGACTCACTGACATCCATATAACCTTGAGCATATTACTTCACATCTCTTTCTGACCCTCTTTGCATCTGTAAAGTGACTAATCAACCATGGAGGGTCGTTTTGAGGATGAAAGGAGGTTTTATGTAAAGCACCCAGCACGTCGGTAGGTGTCTGATGAATGTTAGTTTCCTTCCTATCTTCTGTCTCCTAAGCTAGTCCTTCATTGTTGCCTCACACCTAGGTTTGCTGCTGCTGACTGTAGGTGCTCCTTTTTACTGTTGACTTTGTCTTTCAAATCTGGTTCAAATCAAACTTACACCTCCCTTGCCGAGAATCACGAACTGGCTCCCTGTTTCCTACCTGAAGGAAGTGAGACACTCCCACTAGACTTTCAAAGCCCTCCCTTTTCTTACTCATCCTCCATCCACTATATTCTTACTGTAACCTTATTTTAAAAGATGACACCATTCCACCATGCTCCCACTTCACTGTTCCATAAGCTAGCCACCTGTGTTATCAGCACCACACCAGCCTGGAAGAGCCAGGACCCCAGCGCTGGCTGTCATACGTCACTCCCACAGGCTCTCCTGGTCTAGTGTAGGCACTTAATAAATGCTTGTTGAGTGAAATTTCTCCTCAGATGTTTAGGAACTTGTGCTGAAGAATTTTAGGACAAAATTTCAGAAAATGACCAATTAATACCATGCATATTGTTTTTTCTCCCCTTGTATAAAAATTGTGCTCAGTTTCGAAGACTTGGAAAAGGAGATAAGGGAAAAATATCTACAATTCCACCATTTATAGATGCATTTTATTATCATTTTTAATGATAAAGGCATTTAACCCATTAGATGGTTACTTTGCATTGAGGAGCTAGTATGTGCTAGTGCGGCTATATGTGCACTTTCTTATACATTCTCATTTAATATGAACTTTCAAAAGTAATATGAAATTATATATATTTCAAATTTTTGTACAAAAAATACAGGAATTAGCCAGGCATGGTGGTGCAGGTCTGTAGTCCTAGCTACTTGGGAGGCTGAGGTAGGAGGAGTACTTGAGCCTGGTAGATCAAGGCTGCAGTGAGCTGTGATTGGACCACTGCACTCCAGCCTGGGTGACAGGGTGAGACCCTGTCTCGGGGTGGGGGTGGGATGAAGAAAAGAAAGAAACTGTGAGCTTAGTAGTAATGCCATAACTCTACTTTTGTTGCTTAGATTGGTTTATCTTGGAAGCTAAAGGGCATTGCTCATCCTGAAGATCAGCTGACCATTGACAATCAGCCATGTCATCCAGGCCTCTTGAAAGTCCACCTCCTTACAGGCCTGATGAATTGTAAGTAAATAATTCTTTAGTTATTCTCTTTTAAAAAGTCTATCACATGTAAACAATAAGTATGGTTGAAACTTTAAGTGTTTGCTTTTAAAAATAAAACGATATGTGTACTTGTAAATTTAAATTGTATCAAAGGGTCTGCACTGAAAACTGAATTTCTCTCAACTTTCAGAATGACAGTTTGTCTCTGCTAGGACAACTGCTGTCACCTATTCCTAATGTTTGTTTCAAGAGATTGCCAAGGTTTATATTTGTATGTTCCTTTTTGTTTTGTACAAATGATAATGAAGCTTCCATTTAAATGCCTCATTTAGGTGGCCATTGGGAACATATTGTCAGTTTTTAAAAATAACAGCTTTAGGCCGGGTGCGGTGGCTCACGCCTGTAATCCCAGCACCTTGGGAGGCCGAGGCTGGCGGATCACAAGGTCAAGAGATCGAGACCATCCTGGCCAACATGGTGAACTCCCGTCTCTACTAAAAATACAAAAATTAGCTGGCTGTGGTGGCGCGCACCTCTAATCCCAGCTACTTGCCTGTAATCCCAGCTACTTGGGAGGCTGAGGCAGGAGATTCACTTGAACCCAGGAGGTGGAGGTTGCAGTGAGCCGAGATCACGCCACTGCACTCCAGCCTAGAGACAGAGCGAGACTCCGTCTGAAAAAAAGAAAAAAGGCCAGGCCTGGTGGCTCATGCCTGTAATCCCAGCACTTTGGGAGGCCGAGGCGGGTGGATCACCTGAGGTCGGGAGTTTAAGACCATCCTGACCAACGTGGAGAAACCCCCATCTCTACTGAAAATACAAAATTAGCCGGGCATGGTGATGCATGCCTATAATTGCAGCTATTTGGGAGGCTGAGACAGGAGAATCGCTTGAACCCAGGAGGCGGAGGTTGAGGTGAGCTGAGATGGCGCCATTGCACTCTAGACTGGGTGACAAGAGCAAAACTCCGTCTCAAAAAATAAATAAATAAATAAAAATAACAGCTTTATTGAGATATAATTAACATACTTTACAATTTACCCATTTAGAATGGATAGTTTAATGGTTTTTAGTATATTCACAGAGTTGTAGAACCATCACCACAATTAATTTTAGAACATTTCATTACTCTCCAAAGAAACCTATCCATTGGCAGTCACCTCCCAGTTCCATCAGCCCTAAGCAACTATTGGTCTACTTTCTGTCTCTATAGATTTGTCTATTCTGCATATTTTGTATAAATGGAGAAATCACGTAATATGTGGCCTTTTGTAACTGGCTTCTTTCACTTAGCATAATACTTTCCATACTGTCAGTTTTAAGAGTGATTCCTGCCATGATCTAAAACAAGCAGTGTTGAGGGGTTTTGGGCTCCTTGGTCATGTGAAGACTTATCAGTGAATTTTTGAATTCCAAATTTGCTATCAAACATTGATAGGGATTTCCTCCTCTAAGTAGTTTGCAGCTTTAACCATGATAAGTGTAGTGGAGTGTGATATAGGCAAAAACAAACAGTTTCTCCTGCTGTTCTGTCACAACACATCTGTGACCTCTGATCACCAGAATTTGTGGGGATATTTCCCCACCAGCAACCAAGTAATCAGTTCTACAGTGGACAATAGCTGTGTGTCCTCTAATTATCAGTTCAATTCTGACACTGTCAGAGATAGCATCAGATCACAGGTTCAGGGCTCATTCCCACAAGACTGCCCCCACTTCACGTAGCAGCCACAAGCTCAGGTTGTGGCCTGTGTTTCTGACCCACCTACAGTAAATCAGGATTCCCACAGTTGTCTCCTTGGGTGCAATTAATTTGCTAAAGTGGCTTGCAGAACTCAGGGAAACAGTACTTACCATTACTGGTTTATTATAAAGGGTATTACAAAAGCCAGGTGTGGTGGTGCATGCCTGTTATCCCAGCTACTCAGAAGGCTGAGGCAGGAGGATTGCTTGAGCCCAGGAGTTTGAGGCCAGCCTGGGCAACATAGGGAAACCCTGTCTTTTAAGAATGAATGAATGAATGAACAAACAAATGATATTACAATGGATGCCAACAAACACCAGATGAAGAGGTGGACAGGGCGAGGTATGTGGGAAGCAGCCCTCCCTGGTTGTGCCACCCTCCAGGAACTTGCACATGTTCAGCTGTCCAGAAGTTCTGTGAATTCGGTCCTTTTGGGTTTTTATGGAAGCTTTATGACATAGGCATGATTGACTAAATCATTGGCCATTGGTGAGCAGTTTAAGCTTCAGCCCCTCTTTTCTGTCCAGAGAGGGTTGGGGCTGAAAAGTTCCAACCCTCTAATCCTAGCTCCCATCCTGAAGCTTCCTAGGGCTGCCAGGAACCTATCATCTCATTAGCATATAAGGGATACTTATCACTTTGGAGAGTCCAAAGATTTTAGGAGTTGTATGCCAGAAAATGGAGATGAAGACTAAATACATATTTTACAATATCACGTGAAGGTTGTGTTCCAGTTCTTTAACCTCCTTACTAGTGCCTAAAACATGGTGGGGACACAAGTTGTTTATGACAATACAGTTTTTAAAACATACTAGAGAATATAGTAATTGAGTAATGCACCACTAATCTGACACTTATTTTGTGTTGCTTTTGTAAATAATGGTGAACTGCAACATACATAAAGAAAAGGACACAGAACATATGTAGGAGATCATGAGGAAAGACCAAGCAAACATACATACTCATCACCCAGGTCAAGAAACAGAACACTTCAAAGTCCTTCCCTGTGTCCTCTCCTTTTCTCTGGAGACCACTGTCCTGACGTATGATCATTACCTGCTTTTATCATTTTATCATCTTGTATATCCTAAACATTTCAGTTTAGTTTTACCTGTTTTATTTATTTATTTTTGAGACAGACTCTCACTTTGTTGCCCAGGCTGGAGTGCAGTGGCACAATCTTGGCTCACTGCAACCTCCACTTCCTGGATTCAAGCAATTCTCCTGCCTCAGCCTCCCAAGTAGATGGGATTACAGGTAACCACCACAATGCACAACCAATTTTTATGCTTTTAGTAGAGACGGGGTTTCGCCATGTTGGCCAGGCTGGTCTCAAATTCCTGACCTCAGGTGACCCGCCCACCTCCTAAAGTGCTGGGATTATAGGTGTGAGCCACCACATCTGGCCAGTTTTACCTGTTTTAAAACTTTATGTAAATATAATAATGCGATATGTATTTTTTCATTTTTTTCAGCATTACCTGTAACTGCATGTATTCATAGTTCATCAGTTTTGGCTTCATAGCACTGTAGAAATATAACATGAGCCATATATGTAATTTTATACTTTCATTAAAAATAAAAAGATAATTTTTTTTTTTTAAGACAGAGTTTTGCTCTTTTTGCCCAGGCTGGAGTGCAATGGCACGGTCTCGGCTTACTGCAACCTCCACCTCCTGGGTTCAAGTGATTCTCCTGCCTCAGCCTCCCAAGTAGCTGGGATTACAAGCACACACCACCACGCCCAACTAGTTTTTGTATTTTCAGTAGAGATGGGGTTTCACCAGGATAGCCAGGCCGGTCTCGAACTCCTGACCTCAGGTGATCCACCCGCCTCGGCCTCCCAGAGTGCTGGGATTACAGGCGTGAGCCACCGTGCCTGGCCAAAAGAAGAAATTAATTTTAATATATTTCACTTAATCTTGTATATCTAAAACATTACTTCATCACGTGATTGATGTAAAAAATGAATGATTCAGGAAATATTTTACATTCTTTCTTCATATTATATCTTTGAAATCCATTGTGCATTTTTAAATTTTTTTGCCCTGTCACCCAGGCTGGAGTGCAGTGGGTGTGATCGCAGCTCACTGCAACCTCTGCCTCCTGGGTTCAAGGGATTCTTGATTTTCGTGCCTCAGCCTCCCAAGTAAGTGGGATTACAGGCATGTGTCACCATGCCTGGCTAATTTTTGTATTTTTAGTAGAGATAGGGTTTTACCATGTTCTCCAGGCTGGTCTCAAACTCCTGGCCTCAAGTGATCTGCCCACCTCAGACTCTCCACTGTGCATTTTAACAGCGTATCTCAGTTTGGACTAGCCACATTTCTTTTTTTTTGAGACGGAGTCTTGCTCTGTCACTCAGGGTAGAGTGCAATGGCACGATCTCGGCTCACTGCAACCTCCACCTCCCGGGTTCAAGCAATTCTCGTGCCTCAGCCTCCTGAGTAGCTGGGATTACAGGCGCATGCCACCACGTCTGGCTAATTTTTGTATTTTTAGTAGAGATGGGGTTTCACCATGTTGGCCAGGCTGGTCTTGAACCCCTGACCTCAAGTGATCCACCCGCCTTGGCCTCCCAAAGTGCTGGGATTACAGACATGAGCCACCGTGCCCAGCCGGACTAGATACATTTCAAGTGTATGATAGACCCAAGTGGCTAGTGGCTGCCACATTGGACAGTATAGCTATGGAGTATTCCATTGTATGGATATATTACAGTTACCCATTCCACTGTAGGTAATTGGTACAATCACTTTGGAAAACAGTTTGATACTGTCTAGTGAAGTTGAAGATATAAAAATATGTGATCCAGAAATTCTCCTGGTTATATACCCTAGAAAAATAAGTACTGTTCCGTACCAGAATACACATTCAAGGATGTTTATAGTTAAACTGTTTACAATACCCCCAAACAGAGATAACCCAAATGTCTGAGCAGAATGGGTTGTGGCTAGAGGCCAATAATCTTATGTTTTAACAAGCCCTCCAGGTGATTCCTGTGCACAGATAAGCTTTAGTTTCATTTACCCAATGGTTTAAATTATTCCAAATAAGTTGTGTTCTTTCTGCTTACTACCAAAAAATGCTAACTTGAAATTATTTTCATGTTCATTTCAGCAAACCGAATCATTATGCACCAAGCAATGACATATATGGTGGAGAGATGCATGTTCGACCAATGCTCTCTCAGCCAGCCTACTCTTTTTACCCAGAAGATGAAATTCTTCACTTCTACAAATGGACCTCTCCTCCAGGAGTGATTCGGATCCTGTCTATGCTCATTATTGTGATGTGCATTGCCATCTTTGCCTGTGTGGCCTCCACGCTTGCCTGGGACAGAGGCTATGGAACTTCCCTTTTAGGAGGTAGTGTAGGCTACCCTTATGGAGGAAGTGGCTTTGGTAGCTACGGAAGTGGCTATGGCTATGGCTATGGTTATGGCTATGGCTACGGAGGCTATACAGACCCAAGAGCAGCAAAGGGCTTCATGTTGGCCATGGCTGCCTTTTGTTTCATTGCCGCGTTGGTGATCTTTGTTACCAGTGTTATAAGATCTGAAATGTCCAGAACAAGAAGATACTACTTAAGTGTGATAATAGTGAGTGCTATCCTGGGCATCATGGTGTTTATTGCCACAATTGTCTATATAATGGGAGTGAACCCAACTGCTCAGTCTTCTGGATCTCTATATGGTTCACAAATATATGCCCTCTGCAACCAATTTTATACACCTGCAGCTACTGGACTCTACGTGGATCAGTATTTGTATCACTACTGTGTTGTGGATCCCCAGGAGGTATGAGTGGTGTTTTGGGTTTTTTCTCCATCTCCTTAGCAGAGGCCTTCAACTTGAGATATGTGATAGAATCACTCTGGAAACTCTTAAAAAATATTGATGACAAGGCTCCACTTCTAATTAAATCTGGGGGAGGGGCTGAGTCTCATTAAGATATGATTAACATACCATGTAATTTGATTACTTAAATAACAGTTCAGTGGTTTTTAATATATTCACAGAATTGTGCCACCATCACCACAATCAATTTTAGAACATTTTCACTATCCTAAAAAGAAACTTGTACCCGTTAGCGGTCACTCCTCATTTCCCTAACCATTCTTAGCCCTAGGCAACCACTAATCCTACATCTATAAATTTGTCTATTCTCTAGGTATTTCATATAAATGGAATCACACAATGTGGTCTTTGTGATGGGCTTCTTTTACGTAGCATAATGTTTTTAAGGTTTACCCATGTCATAGCTTGTGCCATTCTCTCATTCCTTTTTATTGCTAATATTCCAGTGTGTGGATAAACCACATTTTATTTATCAGTTGATAGACATTTGTGTCTACATTGGCTATTAAGAATCATGCTAGACTGGGCACGGTGGCTCATGCTTGTAATCCCAGCACTTTGGGAGGCTGAGGCGGGCGGATCATGAGGTCAGGAGATTGTGACCATCCTCGCTAATAAGGTGAAACCCCGTCTCTACTAAAAATACAAAAAAAATTAGCTGGGCATGGTGGCAGGCACCTGTAGTCCCAGCTACTCGGGAGGCTCAGGCAGAAGAAATGGCGTGAACCCGGGAGGCGGAGCTTGCAGTGAGCTGAGATTGCGCCACTGCACTCCAGCCTGAGCGACAGAGCAAGACTCCATCTCAAAAAAAAAGAATCATGCTATAGACATTCTTGTATACGTTTTTGTGTGAACCTATGTTTTAATGATTTCTTGAGTTGGGTTATACCTAGGGGTGGAATTGCTGGGTCATATGGTGACTCTTTAATCTTTTGGGGAGCTACCAGAGTTTTTCCAAAGAGTTTGCATCATTTTACATTCACATCAGAAATGTATGAAAGTTCCAATTTCTCCACATCCTCACCAACACTTGTTATTGTCTGATTCTAGCCATGCTGATGGGTGAGAAGTGAAGTGGTGCTTTATTGTGATTTTGATTCGTATTTTCTTTATAGCTAATGTTATTAGCTATATAGTCATGTACTTATTGGCCATTTCTCTCTTATCTTTGGAGAAATGGCTGTTTAGACTTGTCCATTTTTTTTTTCTTTTTGAGACGGAGTCTTGCTCTATCGCCCAGGCTGGAGTGCAGTGGTGTAATCTTTGCTCACTGTGAGCTACGCCTCCTGGGTTCACACCATTCTCCTGCCTCAGCCTCCTGAATAGCTGGGACTACAGGCACCGGCCACCACGCCCAGCTAATTTTTTTTTTTTTTTTGTATTTTTAGTAGAGATGGGGTTTCACCGTGTTAGCCACGATGGTCTCTATCTTCTGACCTCGTGATCCGCCCGCCTCGGCCTCCAAAGTGCTGGGATTACAGGTGTGAGCCACTGCGCCCGGCCTAGACTTGCCCATGTTTTAATTGGGCTATTTTTGTTGTTGTTTTGTTTTTGAGACAGAGTCTCACTGTCACCCAGGCTGGGGTGCAGTGGTGCAGTCACAGCTCACTGCATCCTTGACCTCCTGGGCTCAAGTGACCCTCCTACCTCAGTCTCCTGAGTAGCTAGGACCACAGGGGCATGCCACCACACCCGGATAATTTTTTAAAAATTTTTTTGTAGAGACAGGGTCTCACTTTGTTGCCCGGTCTGGGCTGGAACTCCTGGGCTCAAGTGATCCTGCCTTGGCCTTCCAAACCGCTGGGATTATAGGCATCTTTTCACTTTCTTGATGGTGTCCTTTGCATAAAAGCTTTTAGTTTTGGGCCGGGCATGGTAGCTCACGCCTGTAATCCCAGCACTTTGGAAGGCCAAGGTGGGCGGATCACCTGAGGTCAGGAGTTCGAGACCAGCCTGGCCAACATGGTGAAACTCCATCTCTACTAAAAATAGAAAAATTACCTGGACACGGTGGCGTGCCTGTAATCCCAGCTACTCAGTAGGCTGAGGCAGGAGAATCACTTGAACCCAGGAGGTGGAGGTTGCAGTGAGCTGAAATTGTGCCACTGCACTCCAGCCTAGACAACAAGAGCAAAACTCTGTCTCAAAAAAAAAAAAAAGAAAAAAAAATTTTTAGTTTTGATGATGTCCAGTTTATTTAATTTTTCTTCTGTTGCTTGTATTTTTGGTGTCATATCTAATGCTTTGCCTAATTCAGGGTCACAAGGATTTACTCCTATGTTTTCTATTATTTAATTTTTCTATAGTTTCATAATTTTAGCTTTTACAGTTAGGTCTGTGATTCATGTTGTGTTAATTTTGGGCATGATGGAAGCAAGGGTTCTGAAAGCTTTCGCATGTTTATATGCAGTTGTCTCAGTGTTACTTGTTGAAAGGACTGTTCCTCCACTAAGTTTTCTTCATGCCTTTGTCAAAAATGAATTGATCATAAATGTGGACATTTATTTCTGGGCTCTCAGTTCAGCTGCATTAATCATATGTCCTAATGCCAGTACCATACTGTCTTGATTACTGTAACTTTATAGTAAGTTTTGAAATTGTGGAGTGGGAGTTCTCCAACTTTGTTCTTCAAGACTGTTTTGGCTAGATTCTGGATTCCTTGCATTTCCATATGGATTTTAAGATCAGCATGTCAATTTTGGAAAAAAATGCCAGCTAGGATTTTGAAGGGTTATATTGAATCTGTAGGTCAATTTTGGATGTATTGTCATCTTTACAATTACAAGTCTTCTGATTCGTGAACGTAAGATTCTTTTGATTTATGTAGGT
Organism: Homo sapiens; assembly: GCF_000001405.40. NCBI lineage: Eukaryota > Metazoa > Chordata > Mammalia > Primates > Hominidae > Homo > Homo sapiens. Next base: position 295,606 of record NW_003315917.2, read on the forward strand.
CTTGTTAAACTTCTTTTAATAGTGTTTTATAGTTTTCAGAGTGTAAGTTAGTATGTTTAAAAGCTAAGCAAGTGATTCAAATGTGCAGGTTGGAGTTGAGAAACCTACTTTAGTAACCATGAGTCATACTGATTATATTAATATCTGAAATGTTTCTGAGTTACTGATCTTTTTTCCCTTGTTTTTCCTTTTTTCTTACACTAACTCAGGAGTTCCCATTCCTGAATGAGTCACTCCTTTGGAGTTAGACCTCTAGTATCTGTCTACCATTATTTAGAAGACTGAAGGTTTTCCCTGCAGACGTAGGTTTTCACAGTGCTCGTTGTTGCCATTTAGACATGTCCATGGTAGATAGGGACTGAGGGTTGGTACTCCTATCCTACCACACCCCTATCCCTCTTAGTTCTCTTACTACTTACTCTTTGAAAAATGATGTCACTGTCAAGACAGCTGGAAGGAGAGCCTCTTGTTCCCATTAGCAGACATCCAGGGTAGAGGCCTGATATTTCCCTCAACTTCAAGTGCCTCCCAGGCCAATATACCATTTAATATCCTATCACCACTGGGAGAACTGTTAAGAGTAGGAAGTTTCTTTGTTACAGGGCCCTTTCTAGTAGTATGCAAGACTCCTGAAACAGAGAAACCTGCCAGACCAAATCAATCATTAGTCAATTTGCTATTTATAGCTTGATTAGATCCATGTCTTCATCATTTTTGGTAAGATAGAGATCTATGGACAGAAATTTACATTCAGTGTAAAAAGGCTTGCCAAGCATATGTTTTGAACAAGATTACAAGCATGATTGGCTATTTCAAAGCTGTGAATACTTTTGAGAGTAGCATTTTTCAGGCCCTTTAGAAGTATACCAATGATTGAGTTACTTTACTGGCCATTCTCGTAGGTGCACAAAGCTTGGCCCGTAGGTGTACAAGCTTTGGAACTAGTTTTTTACAGCTCTGAAATGAGGGTGATGATTGATAGTTCCTAACATTAGGCATTTTCTGAGGATTGAGTCAAGCAGTATGTACGTGTGTGTACATTTGCTGGCCTTAGCCCAGTTAGTGTGGGTTAGGTTTTATGATATGTCTGAAATGTAACTATTTGCTTCAGTTTTCTATCAATTAAACCACATGGATTTAGTAGGGCCTTAGGGTAGATAAGGGTTTTAATAATATGTAGAGGGTGAATTGTGATTAAGCAATTAAAATCTAATTATGCCAATATTTTCCACTCCTTTTTAGGCCATTGCCATTGTACTGGGGTTCATGATTATTGTGGCTTTTGCTTTAATAATTTTCTTTGCTGTGAAAACTCGAAGAAAGATGGACAGGTATGACAAGTCCAATATTTTGTGGGACAAGGAACACATTTATGATGAGCAGCCCCCCAATGTCGAGGAGTGGGTAAGTGTTAAAAAATAACTTTACATCTTTTATTAAAGCCCCAAATTTGTGTCTGAATTTTTAGTGCTTTGTTAAACTTTATTCTTAGAATTAATGTTTGTATATGTTGCAAAGGTTGTTGCATTGGTTTTTACTCAGAATTTTAAGAGGATGGGCTAAGTGGAAATGGTTTTACTAAAAGGTGAAAATCAGATTTCCATTTTCAAGGAGTGAATCTTGGTTTTGAAAAGAAATGGCTTCTAAAAAAATCATGCAGAAAGAACTTGGCCTTTGCAAAACAAAAACTACTTCTTCCCTCTACTCCCTTTTATTTTTCTGCTTATCATTTTGGAGATAAACAGAAACCATTGCCAAAGGTGCTCTCGTGGGTCAAGATTGGCAAGAGTGTTTTTGGAATAGCAGGTGGCAGGCCTTTTAAACTTTTTTTTTTTTTTATTGATCATTCTTGGGTGTTTCTCACAGAGGGGGATTTGGCAGGGTCATAGGACAATAGTGGAGGGAGGGTCAGCAGATAAACAAGTGAACAAAGGTCTCTGGTTTTCCTATGCAGAGGACCCTGCGGCCTTCTGCAGTGTTTGTGTCCCTGGGTACTTGAGATTAGGGAGTGGTGATGACTCTTAACGAGCATACTGCCTTCAAGCATCTGTTTAACAAAGCACATCTTGCACCACTCTTAATCCATTTAACCCTGAGTGGACACAGCACATGTTTCAGAGAGCACAGGGTTGGGGGTAGGGTCACCGATCAACAGGATCACAAGGCAGAAGAATTTTTCTTAGTACAGAACAAAATGAAAAGTCTCCCGTGTCTACCACTTTCTACACAGACATGGCAACCATCCGATTTCTCAATCCTTTCCCCGCCTTTCCCCCCTTTCTATTCCACAAAACCGCCATTGTCATCATGGCCCTTTCTCAATGAGCTGTTGGGTACACCTCCCAGACGGGGTGGTGGCTGGGCAGAGGGGCTCCTCACTTCCCAGTAGGGGCGGCCGGGCAGAGGCGCCCCTCACCTCCTGGACCGGGCGGCTGGCCGGGCGGGGGGCTGACCCCCCCACCTCCCTCCCGGACGGGGCGGCTGGCCGGGCAGAGGGGCTCCTCACTTCCCAGTAGGGGCGGCCGGGCAGAGGCGCCCCTAACCTCCCGGATGGGGCGGCTGGCCGGGCGGGGGGCTGACCCCCCCACCTCCTTCCCGGATGGGGCGGCTGGCCGGGCAGAGGGGCTCCTCACTTCCCAGTAGGGGCGGCCGGGCAGAGGGGCCCCTCACCTCCCAGACAGGGCGGCTGGCCGGGCAGGGGGCTGACCCCCCTACCTCCCTCCCAGACGGGGCGGCTGGCCGGGCAGAGGGGCTCCTCACTTCCCAGTAGGGGCGGCCGGGCAGAGGCGCCCCTCACCTCCCGGACGGGGCGGCTGGCCGGGCGGGGGGCTGACCCCCCCCCACCTCCCTCCCGGACGGGGCGGCTGGCCGGGCGGGGGGCTGACCCCCCCACCTCCCTCCCGGACGGGGCGGCTGGCCGGGCGGGGGGCTGACCCCCCCACCTCCCTCCCGGATGGGGTAGCTGCCGGGCAGAGACGCTCCTCACTTCCCAGACAGAGTGGCTGCCGGGCGGAGGGGCTCCTCACTTCTCATATGGGGCGGTTGCCAGGCGGAGGGTCTCCTCACTTCTCAGACGGGGCGGCTGGGCAGAGACGCTCCTCACCTCCCAGACGGGGTCGCGGCTGGGTAGAGGCGCTCCTCACATCCCAGACGGGGTGGCGGGGCAGAGGCGCTCCCCACATCTTAGACGATGGGCGGCCGGGCAGAGACGCTCCTCACTTCCTAGATGGCATGGGGGCCGGGAAGAGGCGCTCCTCACTTCCTAGATGGGATGGCGGCCGGGCAGAGACGCTCCTCACTTTCCAGACTGGGTAGCCAGGCAGAGGGGCTCCTCACGTCCCAGACGATGGGCGGCCAGGCAGAGACGCTCCTCACTTCCCAGACGGGGTGGCGGCCGGGCAGAGGCTGCAATCTTGGCACTTTGGGAGGCCAAGGCAGGCGGCTGGGAGGTGGAGGTTGTAGCGAGCCGAGATCACGCCACTGCACTCCAGCCTGGGCACCATTGAGCACTGAGTGAACCAGACTCCGTCTGCAATCCCGGCACCTTGGGAGGCCGAGGCTGGCGGATCAGTCGCAGTTCGGAGCTGGAGACCAGCCCGGCCAACACAGCGAAACCCCGTCTCCACCAAAAAAATAAGAAAACCAGTCAGGCGTGGTGGCGCGCGCCTGCAATCGCAGGCACTCGGCAGGCTGAGGCAGGAGAATCAGGCAGGGAGGCTGCAGTGAGCCGAGATGGCAGCAGTACAGTCCAGCTTCGGCTCGGCATCAGTGGGAGACCGTGGAAAGAGAGGGAGAGGGAGACCGTGGGGAGAGGGAGAGGGGGGAGAGGGAGAGGGCAAAACTTTTGACATAGATAACAGCATGACAAACCACAGTGACTAATTCTGAGTTAACATTATGAAATACTTCAGTGAGGCAAAGACAGATTAGAAAAATTTCCTTTTAAAAATATATACTATTAATCTTACCAAGCTTCCTATATGATGTGATTTGCTGAAAGCCTGGAAAGTTCCTCTTTAAAGATGCCTCCCAAATGAGTGTTAGTAAACTGTTTTTAGAGCTTTTTAGAGGCCAGGTGTGGTGGCTCACACTTGGAATCCCAGCACTTAGGGAGGCCAAGGTGGAAGGATCACTTGAGTCCAGGAGTTTGAGAACAACCTAGGCAACATAATGGGACCCTGTCTCTACAAAAAATAAAAAAAAAATTAGCTGGGCATGATGATGTATGCCTGTAGTCCCAGCTACTCAGGAGGCTGAGGTGATAGAATCACTGGAGCATGGGAGGTTGAAGCTGCAGTGAGCTGTTATTCTGCCACTGGCACTCTTGCCTGGATGGCAGAGTGAGACCCTGTCTCGGAAAAAAATAAAAATGAAAAGATGTTTGGAGTGAAACTTTTTCTAAGAAATCCTGTTAGGGTCCTGTTAGAAGCTACCTCAGAAACTGACATCACAGGGTTCTTTGAGCAGATTGATTTATTGTCATGAAGGTATGGCCACAGGTTCCCAGGAAGGTTTATTTTGGCCACTGGGAGTGGGGTGGCTAAAGATGGATGCTGGCTGCTGCTAGTCAGGTCTGGGGTAAAGACATTAATATATATATATATATATATTTTTTTTTTTTGAGACGGCTTCTGGCTCTGTCGTTCAGGCTGGAGTACAGTGGTGCAATATTGGCTCACTGCAACCTCCGCCTCCCGGGTTCAAGAGATTCTCCTGCCTTGGCCTCCCGAGTAGCTAGGACTATAGGTGCATACCACCATGCCTGACTAATTTTTTTGTATTTTTAGGAGAGATGGGGTTTCACCACGTTGGCCAGGCTGGTCTCGAACTCCTGACCTCAAGTGATCTGCCTGCCTTGGCCTCCCAAAGTGCTGGGATTATAGGCAAGACAATATCTTGAAGGCTTAGCTCTAACATTCTGTAAGTCTGATTTTTAAGGAAATCTAGGAAGATAGATGAAATTTTTTTCTGGTTAATTAAGGAGCAAAAATGAAGCAGTCTTAGGAAAGCCAGGAAGGCTGTGGTATGTATTCACCACTGAGACGATAGTTCTTATGTCCCTGCCCTTGACTTGAAGCCCTGTTTTTTTTTCCCCTCACTTTAAAGTGTGAAGGTGTTAGGAAGTGTTTTCTTTCGACATTTACCTCCAGGCAAGGCCACTTGTAGCTGGAATAGGACAGGTCTATATTATGAGCTATGAAGTAAATGTTTCGCTGAGAGTTTCTGGGTGTGTTAGTTTTCGTTGGCAGTTAGATTTGTTTACTTAAGGTTTCAAGAGGCTTAAAAACAACAAACCCGACTCAAGGGAGACCAATGCCAGTAATATTAGAGTCCCAGTGAACTTTGGCCTCTCATCTGATTTTACTGTCATGAAGGTTTAATCAGTTCTAGTTGCTTTTGATAATTTGGCAAAAGATAGCTGTTGTAACTTATGGAGGTGATGATGATTAAGGTGAAAGAACTACTTAGCTTTTAAGAAGGTATTATTTTAATAAAATTCCTCCTTGAACCTCTGGAAATTTGATAGCCTGTGGGTTGTTGCATGTGGACTTCATTGTTTCTCTCTAGTAACAAGTATTTTCATTGTATGTAAAAGAATTGTCTGTTGAATAGCAGATATATGATTTTGCCCAAACTAATGTTTTATGTGATTCTTAACCAGAGGCAAATTCCTCATTTCTTTTCCTCTGCCCTTCAGTTTTTTGAACTGAAATGCCTCAGAAAGCCTATTTAAAATAAATTATTTGGAGGTGGTTTAACCACAGATATTTTGCCTTTCTTTCTATTCTCCCCTCACCTGCCCAAGTTCATGTCGCGGAATTCAATACCACGTTCTCATTATTTCCTTAATTGATGGAACAGGCAGATGTAGCCTGTTACTCTCATTTCTGCCTGATTAGTTTCACCCTGATAATGTGGCCATCGCTGTGGAATTGTGTCATCCTGCATCTAAACTGTTCACAGTGGAGTAGATTAGGGAGTTTTCTTCCTTTTGGTCATGAGAAATTAATATCAAAACAATCTCTACTTAAAATAGTGGATGAGAATCTAGAATTAACTACTTGCACTAAAGGAGAATTAAAATTTGGGTTTGATTGATTGCAAAGAGCTGAGACAGGTTACTCCCCATATAGCTAATAATGGCTGATTCGGGGGGAAAAGAAAAACTCATGTCTGTAATCCCAGTACTTGCGAGGCCAAGGAGGATCACTTGAGCCCAGGAGTTTAAGACCATCTGGGGCAACAAGGCAAGACCCTATCTCTACAAAAAATTTAAAAAATTAGCCGGACGTGGGCACAGGTGCCTGTAGTCCCAGCTGCTTGGGAAGCTGAAGTGGGAGGATTGCTGGAGCCTGGGAGGTCAAGGCTGCAGTGAGGCATGATCTCGCCACTGCACTCCAGCCTGGGTGACAGAGTGAGACCCTGTCTCAAAAAAGCAAAACAAAAAAGTACTACAGTAACAATTAGCTACTCAATATTAGTTTAATCCCTCCCTACAGATTGGGGTCGGTCTAGAATTTTATTATGTTACTAAATCTTACTGACTTCCTTCTTGGATTTTTAGCATCTTCAGGATTATAACACGCCTCCTGCCCTCCCACCTCTCAGAGCAGAGGGTAGTCAAAAGCTGTGCCTTCAGTGTTTAAAACAAGTTTTATCCCTTTTGTATAATCTGTGAGAAAATTTAGAGTTTTATAATTCCCTGTCCCTGTTGGCTCAACACAGTGGTTTCTCTGCCCTTCTTAGGGCTTTTTTTCCCCCTTCCTTTTTCTGGATATCTTGTTCCTTGTAAAATAAACAGCTCATGTTTGCACGCTGCTTGGTTTTTAACCTGGTCTTTTATAGTCACTCAGATGGATACCAGTTTGTATTTTAAATGTTTTAAGATTTGTTTAATTAAACTTTGCAGGTCTTTGTTTTGTTCTGCCCTCAAATTTCAGATCTGATTTTTTTAATTAAATATTTTATTTGGTTAAGTATGGATGATTTGGAAAATACAGTGAAGTGCAGTCATTCCTTGGTATACTCAGGTGGTTGGTTCCGGGACCCCCATGTATACCCAAATCCATGCATATTCAAGTCCTGTAGTCGGTGGAACCCATGTGTATGAAAAATTGGCCCTCTGGATACCTGGGTTTTGCATTCCGCCAATACTGTTTTCCATCTATGTTTAGTTGAAAAAAATCCACGTATATGTGGACCCATGCAGTTCAAACCTGGTTGTTCAAGGGCCAACTGTATAAAGTAATTTTTGTTTGTTTGTTTGTTTTTGAGACAGTCTCGCTCTGTTGCCAGGCTGGAGTGCGATGGCACGATCTCAGCTCATTGCAGCCTCCCGCTTCCAGGTTCAAGTGATTCTCCTGCCTCAGCCTTCCGAGTATCTGGGATTACAGGTGCCTGCCACCATGTGCAGCTACTTTTTGTATGTTTAGTAGAGATGGGGTTTTGTCATGTTGGCCAGGCTGGTCTCAAACTTCTGACCTCAGGTGATCTGCCTGCCTCGGCCTCCCAAAGTGCTAGGATTATAGGCGTCAGCCACCATGCCTGGCCTGTATAAAGAAAATTATGTCAACTTAAGTTACCACTATGGGGTACTTTTTTTTTTTTTTTGAGATGGAGTCTTGCTCTGTTGCCCAGGCTGGAGCGCAGTGGCACTATCTCGGCTCACTGCAACCTCTGTCTCCTGGGTTCAAGCGATTCTCCTGCCTCAGCCTCCCAAGTAGCTGGGATTACAGGCGCCTGCCACTGTGCCCGGCTAATTTTTGTATTTTTAGTAGAGACGGGGTTTCACCATCTTGGCCAGGCTGGCCTCAAACTTCTGACTACGTGATCCTCTGCCTCCCAAAGTGCTGGGATTACAGGCGTGAGCCACCATGCCTGGCCTGGGGTACTTTCTTTAATCATCTTTTTCCTTTCCTATTTCTTATTCTAAATTGGAAGTATGCTCATACTCCCTTAAATTTTTTTTTTTACTTTTGTTATTATTTATTTAGAGACAGGGTGTAGCTCTGTCACCCGTGTTGGAGTGCAGTGGTACAGTCATAGCTCACTGCAGCCTCAAACTTGTTAATATTTGTAAAATACTTAGTATAATACCTTGCACATGGTAAATAATGTAATGTTGTTACTTTTAATAATTTGGTGGGATTTTTGTTTTGAGATGGAGTCTCGCTCTGTCACCCAGGCTGGAGTGCAATGGCGCAATCTCAGCTCACTACAATCTCCACTTCCTGGATTCAAGTGATTCTCCTGCCTCAGCCTCCTGAGTAGCTGGGATTACAGGCACATGCCACCACGTCTAGCTAATTTTTGTACTTTTAGTAGAGATGGGGTTTCACCACGTTGGTCGAACTCCTGACCTCAGGCGATCCACCCGCGTCGGCCTCCCAAAGTGCTGGGATTACAGGCATGAGCCACCGTGCCTAGCCAATTTATTTTAAACCCAAAAATTGGTGTTATTTTAAAACCAAAAATAGGATCATAATGTACACGTTGTATGCAGTTTGCTTTTTTAAAAACTTTGTTTTGTGAACATCTTTCCAAGTCTGTCAGCACATAGACCTAATTGCTCTTGGCAGCTGGGTGGTATTTCATAGTATGAGTATACGATGATTCATTCTCCTATTTATGGACATTTTAATTGTGTTCAGTTGTTTACTATTACAGATAACGCTGCAGTGAACATTCTCTCACATGTCTTTATGCACTCTTGCTAGTGTTTGTGTAAGATAAATTTCTAGAACTAGTCATTGAGTGTGCACACTTAAAATTTTACTAGGTTAGCTGGGCATGGTAGCTCGACTCTAGTCCCAGCTACTCGGGAGGATGAGACAGAAGGATCTCTTGAGCTCAAGAGTTGAGGCTGCAGTGAGCTATGGTTGTGTCACTGTACTCCAGCTTAGGCAATAGAGCAAGACCCCTATCTCTTGAAAAAAAGCATTTTACAAGGGATTACCAAGTTGCATTGTTTTTGAAAGCTCTGCAGATTCTACTAACCCTGATGGTATATGAAATTGCTCAGTTCCCAACATTTTTTTCTGTTCTGGTTATTATCTGTCATTAATTTTTGTTAATCCAGTAAGTAAAAATAAAGTTTCATTTTCAAAATTTGGTGATTAAGCATATGCTTATTTCCTATTCTTCATCACTTGACATCTTCATAGCATGGCTTAGTTTTCCGTGATTGTTCGTTCTTTCCTGACTAGAGTTTTTTATATTATGGATATTAATATTTTGTCTTATTGATGATAACTTCTCCCACATTATTGTGGTCTTTCATCTTTGTCTACAGTGTTTTTTTGTTTGTTTTAAGAGAGAGGGTCTCACTATGTTACCCAGGCTCGTTTTGAACTCCTGGCCTCAAGTGATCCTTGTGCCTTGGCCTCCCAAAGTGTTGGGATTGTAGGCATTTGCCACCATGCCCAGACTTCTTATTTTTTTATGTACTTATATTTCCTGTCTCTTTATGGCCTCTACATATCTTTGTTCCTAGAGAGTTTTACACCCCCTTCAAGGTTTAAATAATACCCTCCTGTAGTTTCGTTGGTATTTTAAAGTTTTATTTTTTTTACCCCATGTGTACTAAATGTGTGCAGAGGGTTGAGTTAAACATATGTCAGTCCTTGGTACATTTTAACATCCTTGATTGGTGTAATGTTCCTCTCTCATATTTCTTGTTTTTATTTTCGCCCAACCTAGACCTTTAAGATCACCAGAAGCTTTAGACCACCAGAAACATATTTTTTTAAACAGCTTTATTGAGGTACAATTTATATACCATACATTGTCATCACCCATTAAAAATTTACAGTGATTTTTAGCAAACTTAGAAGTGTCGTGCACCCAATCCAGTTTTTGTGTTTTTGTTTTTGTTTTTAACATCCAGGATATACACTGGACCACCCCCCTTGTTTTTTAAGATAAATGTTTCATTTTAGAATAGTTTTATTAATAGATTTACAGAAAAGTTGCAATTATAGTATGATGGATTTCTGTATACCACGGCACTCAGTTTTCCCTTTTATTTTTTTTTTTCTTGAGGCAAGGTCTCACTCTGTTGCCCAGGCTGGAGTGCAATGGCGCAATCATAGCTTACTACAGCCTTGACTGCTGGGCTCAAGCAGTCCTCCCACCTCAGCCTCCCAAGTAGCTGGGACTACAGACATGTGCCGCTATGCCTGGCTGACTTTTTTTTTTTTTTTTTTTTTTTTTAAAGTAGAGACAGAGTTCGCTATGTCGCCCAGGCTATTCTTGAACTCCTGAACTCATGCAGTTCTCCTGCCTTGGCCTCCCAAACTGCTGGGATTACAGGTGTGAGCCACTACCCACAGTGCAGCTAGTTGTCCCTATTGTTAACATCCTACATTAGTGTGGTGCATTTGTCACCACTAATGGACCAATATTGATATTTACTATTTACCAAATGTCATAACTTTATTCATATTGAGATGCTTGTTTTTTATTATAGTATGAGATAAACACTAACTTAATTTTGTTCCCAAATGGTCAACTTGAATAATACTGAAATTGTGTTTTCTGAAATTTTACAATTTTTGGTGAAAGTTGAGTCTTTTGATTATTCTTCCTTTTTTGAACACATTTTGGCCAGCATAATTGTGTAAAAGGGGGCTATTAAGCCATTTTCTAACAGTATATGATAATATTTTTAGAGAATAGACAAAATTGATGTTTACGTTAAATTTGGTTTTATATTAACAGAAAGCATTTTCATCCACATGCCTGGGGTCACATATGGGTGACAAAGCCAGGATTAGAACCCTAACTGAGCATTTCCATGCCAGTAGATTCTTAGGAAAAACCTTAATGATTACCTTTTTTTTTTTTTTTAATTATTTTTTGAGATGAAGTCTTGCTCTGTCACACAGGCTAGAGTGCAGTGGCATGATCTCGGCTCACTGCAACCTCCACCTCCCGGGTTCAAGCGATTCTCCTGCCTCAGCCTCCTAAGTAGCTGGGATTACAGGCATGTGTCACCACACCCAGCTAATTTTTGTATTTTTAGTAGACATGGGGTTTTGCCACGTTGGCCAGGCTGGTCTCAAACTCCTGACCTCAGGTGATCCACCCGCCTCAGCCTCCCAAAGTGCTGGGGTTACAGGTGTAAGCCACCGTGCCCGGCCAATGATTACCTTTTTAAAAACTGGACTTTAAGGCTGAGCACAGTGGCTGACACTTGTAATCCCAGCACTTTGGGAGACCAAGGTGCGTAGATCAGTTGAGGTCAGGAGTTTGAGACCATCCTGGCCAACATGGTGAAACCCTGTCTCTACTGAAAATACAAAAATTAGCTGGGCCTGGTGGCGCATGCCTGTAGTCCCAGCTACTCTGGAGGCTGAGGTGGGAAATCACCTGAACCTGGGAGGTGGAGGTTGCAGTGAGCCGAGATGTGCCATTGCACTTCAGGCTGGGTGACAAAGTGAGACTCTGTCTCTAAAAACAAAAACTGGACTTCAGGTGCACAGAAATAGATTAATTCAATTCTTAGTTTATGACATTATCACCTTTAGTCCATGCATAGCATTCCTGGTACATTTATTGTTTCATAATGAACACCTGCAGATCTACCATCCCACCTAATAATTACAATACATTACTAAGTTACATTATACATTTTTTACTCTCTCATCTACTTGCTTCTACCTGCCCCCAGAGGTAGCCTATCTAGAATTTTGAGTTTATTATAATTTGCTTTTTAAGTTTTTACCTGCATACATGTATAACTTAGCAACATGATTTTGTTTTGGGTGTTTTTTAACTTTGTAGAAGGTGTACCTGCATGTAGTGTCTTGGCATTTGCCTTTTTACTCAGAGTTAGGTTATAGATTAATACATGTTGATGGAGTTGAAGTCCATCTGATGTCGCCATTGTCTGGTCCTCTATTTTATCACATTTCACAGCAGTTTATCCAGTTTCCTTTTAATGGGGTTTTGGATTATTAAGACCATTACAACTGCCATGAACATTTTTATTTTTTATTTATTTATTTTTAAGATAGTGTCTTGCTCTGTTGCCTGGGCTGGAATGTAGTGGCATGATCTTGGCTCACTGTAACCTCCGCCTCCCGGGTTCAAGCAATTTTCCCACTTCAGCCTCCCAAGTAGCTGGGATTATAGGCGTATGCCACCACACCTGGCTAATTTTTGTATTTTTAGTAGAGACAGGGTTTTGCCATGTTGGCCAGGCTGGTCTCAAACTCCTGACCTCAAGTGATCCACCTGCCTTGGCCTCCCAAAGTTCTGGGATTACAGGTGTGAGTGTAATCCCGTGAATCCCGCCTGGCCCCATGAACATTTTTAAATCACCTATACTTGTGAACATTTCTCTTGGCTATGTACCTAAGAGTGGAACTTCTGGGATGCAGCGTTTGTGAGTGTACATTTCTTTCTTTTCTTTTCTTTTTTTTTTTGAGACAGGGTCTCGCTCTGTCACCCAGGCTGGAGTGCAGTGGTGCGATCTCGGCTCACTGCGAGCTCCACCTCCCGGGTTGACGCCATTCTCCTGCCTCAGCCTCCTGAGTAGCTGGGACTACAGGTGCCCGCCACCACACCCAGCTAATTTTTTGTATTTTTAGTCTAGACGGGGTTTCGCCATGTTAGCCAGGATGGTCTCGATCTCCTGACCTCATGATCCGCCCGCCTCAGCCTCCCAAAGTGCTGGGATTACAGGCGTGAGCCACCGTGCCTGGCCTGTGAGTGTACATTTCTATAAGACAATGTCAAATTATTTTTCATATATAATCTAAACCAGCAACTCTTGGTGGTGTTAGACTTTATAATATTTTCCAGTCAAACGTGTAAAAGTGTATCAGTGTTGTCTTGGTTTATATTTCTTCTGAACATGTCATGTTTATTGGCCTAATGTGTTTTCTCTTCTACTTTTTACCTTTTGGCAATTGCTGAGGTGGCAAAACTCAACCAGTTTCTCTGATACTCTTGATTTTTATAAGAGTTTTTATGGGGTAAAGGTCAACTTTTTATGAGGCATAGTCCTGAGGAAGTATAGTCTATTGCGTGATCATTAGTGTCCTTTTCACAAATGACTAACCCTTTATAGATATGACAAGCCAAAGTGCCTTCTCTCCTTTAGGGAAAGATGTGTTCCTTCCCTTTTCCATTGTGTTGATGGTATGATAGAGGTCCTTCTCAGGGCTGAGAATCAACTAATGTTTCCACTGTGATAAAAGTAGGTACCCTCAGCTGTTCTCATGCCGAGTGAACCTTCTCACCGTTTTTCTAGGTTATTTTATGACACCTGGACCAGAAAACCAGGCACTGTCAGGTTTGAGCATCACTGTAGGCAAAAGAGACCCTTAACTTGTAGGTCTTTACGAGGTACAGTGGTCTGCAACATAGAAGAGAATTGTGTCTACGTCAGTAGTTCTCAAACTTTTGCAGGCAACAGAATCACCTGGAGGGCTCATTGAAACAGCCCACTCACTCCCACCCTGGAGTTTATGATGTGTGCGCTAGGCCTGGCTGGGGCCTAGGTCGGTAATATTAATGTAGCTGGTCTGGAGACCATATTTCGAGAACCACTATTTTATAGATTCAAGCTGCAACCATTAAACTGTAAGCAAGTTATCATTACATCATGGCATACTTGGAAAATGGTGACTTAGTACAAAATACTGGAGTAAACTGAGGGGGATCTGGAACTGCAGATGATTGGCTCACAGGCTGGGCGACCAAAGACATCCTGGCACACCTGTTGAAAAACTCTGGCATGAGGTACAGGTATATTTAACAGTCTTCACAGGGATTTTTGTTTAAGTAAGGGGCCTTGAATGAGATCATTGGTAAGCCTCACTGAGTACAAGGTTTTTCTACCTCATCCCCTTCCAGAGCTCTAATAACTTATTCAGAGCTCTAATAACTTATTGACTCTCAGGGAATTTCAGAATTTACCTTTGGTGGTGTCAACCTAAAGATTGACACAATTATAAATTTAGAAAGGATCTCCAGCTGTGAAAGAAAAAAGTAGAAAGGAGACTATTTATTATAAAGGGTTACAACCTGTAAGGTGGCCATCCTTGACAGTCTTGGAAGCGTAGCTTCTGGCAGACACTGAAAGGCACTTAGAAGGAGATGGAGTTGGGACAAGAGCTTAATGCTGAACAGGTTGGCCATACATTCCTATTCAACAGGTTATAGGAGGAGCTATGAATATCCGTGAATCGGGTCCTGATGCATGCGTAATGAACAAACATTCGTGTTACATACATCCCATGTTCACTTTGGGGTGGAGACTTAACATTTAAATGTATTACAATTAGGCCCTGTACATCAAAAGGTGAAGCAGGGGCCAGGCGCGGTGGCTCACACCTGTAATCCTAGCACTTTGGGAGGCCGAGGCGGGCGGATCACCTGAGGTCAGGAGTTCGAGACAAGCTGGCCAACATGGTGAAACTCCTTCTCTTCTAAAAATATAAAAATTAGCTGGGTGTGGTGGTGGGCGCCTGCAATCCCAGCTACTCAGGAGGCTGAGGCAGGGGAATTGCTTGAACCCAGGAGACGGTGGTTGCAGTGAGCCGACACAGTGCCACTGCACTCCAGCCTGGGTAACAGAGTGAGACTTCGTCTCAAAAAAAAAAAAAAGGTGAAGCAGGAACACAAGGCACTCACGTGCAGCCTCTGCAAGCTGGCCAGAACCATTCCACGGCTGCTAGTCTCTGATCAGGAGAAAGTTACTGAAATCAGTTTCTTGTCCAGTCAAAGCTGTATGGCTTGTGGAACAGGGGTCAGTCAGTATCTGTTGGTGGATGAGCTGCAGTTGTTTTCTTTTTGTATTTTTTTGTAAGTTTTTATTTTTAATTTTTGTGGGTACATAGTAGGCTTACGCAATTGCTTTAATCTTGCTTATCTTGAGGCCAGTGCTTGTTTGGCTGCTGGAGAAAAAGAGCAACCTTATGGTGGTTAGAACATAGTGTATGGTTAGGACAAATGTAGGGGTGTGGGATTTAACCCTTGTCTGGCATGGCCTTAGGTCTTATTTATAATTTGGTGTTTTATTGCCACAAAGAGTCTATTTCTATCAGTCTTGATGATCTCTATGTTAACATGAATGCTGGTCAGCTGTGTCTGAACCGCAGAAGGGAGGGAGTAAATGAGTTGTGTCTGACCTCCCATTCTGTCATGGCCAGGAACTCAGTTAAGATTTCTCTGGGGCACTCTTGGCCAAAAGGGGGTCTTCTCGGTTGGGGGCTTAGGATTTTATTTATAGTTCTCATTGGTCTATATTATTACTGTTTCTTTGGACAGCGTGCAGTTGGGTAGGGGCAATTTGTTTTCTAAATCCTAAATGCCATCTGAGCAAGGTAAAATAACCAGACATGTTCAAACCTGGTCCACGATCTCATTATTTGTGGGATTAGTAGATGTGGGACCGTCTGCCTTCAAGTGACCAAAGGTGGAGAAAAGTCTAAGAGAACTTTCCAGTCGATTTTGAAGCTTTTATTTGGGGGAGTATCTGAGGGTGTAAAATATCAAAAAACAGGAAAAACGAGTTAGACCACTTACTGTTGAGAACCTGTAGTACAAGGGCATAGGGCTGAGGAGGGTGGAATGGGCAGGTTGTAAACCTGGAGATGATCCTTAAGATTAAGATGCTCCTCCCTCTGATGCCTGAGGTATATCTCCACTTTAATCACCAAGCTGGGAAAATCCTACTCTTTCCTTTTTGAGAGAGGTGTTCCTAAACGCTGACCTAAACAAAGGCACATGGTGACTGAAACATACTCATAATAATTTTGCATCAATAGCTGCTCTTACAAAGTTAAACTAATAGGCAAATAAAGCTCTTCAAAATGGGGAGGAGTTTAAGACAATGAGAATGGTCTCCTTTGTTACAAAGACCAGTCAAAATACCCATCCAAGATGGGTACTTCAAGCCATGTTTGAATTCTTGAGGTGGCAGTTTTTTATGCCAGAAAGAGCTGAGCTTTGGAGCTAGATGGACCAGGGTTCAAATCTCCCCTCTGCTACTTTACCTTCTCTGTGACTTTGAGCAAGTTAATTTAACTGTAGAAACTCAATTTCCTCATCTGAAAATAGAGATAATTGTATCTCCTTGGGTGGCGGTGAGAATAAACGAAGTCGGGTTTGCCTGGCACATGCTGAATACTCAACAGGTGAACTTCCCTTTCCTTCTTAGAGGTAGATGGCTTTTGCACATTGCTAGACCACATGGGTGCAGGTCTAGCCTGACTCTCTCCCATGTGTGAACTAGGGATGAAATTAGGGCGAGGAGAAAAATGAGGATTAGCTATAATTGCATATAATTTGCATATATTTTGCTTTTACTAACTCCAAATGAAATATGAAATTGATCTAAGTGGGGATAAGTGTTTTCCCCGATCTTTGTTTTGGAGGAGAGAAGATTTTCTTTCAAAGTGACCTAGAACATTCCTTCTTGACCTTTTTATTCCTTCTCTGACTTCAGGGAGTCAGGGTGGGGAAGGTGGGACCAACATGATGGTGTAGACCCATCTTACTCTCAGGTGAGGAAGAATCACGGTAGGTATTTGGAGAAGAGCACCTGAGCTGCTCTAAAGGAGAGCTGCCCTGTTTGTTTTCCTGTTGGCATCCCACAGGGGTTTAGGATGTTTTCATTAACTCTCCAAGGAGTGTTAGATGTTGTTTGTCACAAAGAATTTTTTCACAAGTGACATAATCAGAACACTTCTAATGAGTACAATTAAGCTTTGAATAAAAATTTATCCTCATAATTACCTCTTGTGAAGATCTTTTAAAATAATATTTCATTTTGCTATTTCGGAAATAAATTCTTTCTTGATTGGAATAAGAATCTTAATAAAATTTCCCTGCATATTCCCTAAATTAATAATTCATACTCCTTAAGCATGTTCAGTGTGAGTGCTTGTCCTTTTTGAATGTAATTTCAAGAGTAAGTCTGAGTTACTTTGTTGTTTTTTTCTTTTTTTTGAGATGGAATCTGTCACCCAGGCTGGAGTACAGTGGTGCAATCTCGGCACACTGCAACCTCCATCTCCCGGGTTCAAGTGATTCTTCTGCCTCAGCCACCAAGTAGCTGGGATTACGGGCGTGCGTCACCATGCCTGGCTAATTTTTGTATTTTTAGTAGAGATGGGGTTTCACCTTGTTTGCCAGGCTGGTCTCGAACTCCCGACTTCAGGTGATCCCTCCTGCCTCAGCCTCCCAAAGTGCTGGGATTACAGGCATGAGCTACCGCACCTGGCCTAGAGAAATCTTTGATTTGTGTTTTCATCCTGCTTTCTTCTGTCCTTAATTTCTTAGAGATATCCTCAAGTTACTTAAGGGAAAATTGTTACAAAGACACTTTGCTGTTTAGAATTATGCCTAGCTGGTTTTCTCAAGTACTCATTCTTTAAAAGTGAGATGTAGTGGTGTGACCCTGTAGTCCCAGCTACTCGGGAGGCTAGGGTAGGAGGATTGCATGAGTCCAGGAGTTCAAGTCCAGCTTGGGCAACATAGCAAGGCCTCATCTCTTAAGAAAAAAAAATCTTACTGTGAAAATTAAAATATTTTTCTTTTCCTTTTTAAGAGAACTTTAACTACATCATTGAGTTTTATGAGCTGACTGGGGCATTCTGTCAGTAATAACAGTGAAATTCAGAAGTCATTTCTCTCATAATAGGAAATACAGGTTGGGGACTCCTTGTAGAAATGAGCACCTGTTCACTTTGTATTGCCCCCTCCAACCCCCTTCTACTTTCCTACTGTCCTTCAAAAGCCGCAGATACTGGGTTTATACTTACTTGGCATTGGTACCATTAAGTGGGTTAGAGGAAAAAATATTTTAGCCTTTTTTCAGGAAAATTGCAGTGTAAAGAGGAAAAAAAATGATCGTACTCCTTGTTTTTCAAATATATTTTGCCTTTGCCTCTAGACTGTTGGAGTCTGGCATCAGCTGGCTCAGGATTTAAAAAAAAAAATGGAATGTTTCATGAATTTGGGTGCTGTTCTTGCCCAAAGGCCATGCTAATCTTTCCTGTATTGTTCAACTTTATATATGTGCTGCTGAAGGGAGCACTGCCTTGGAATTTATTATGCATGTGTATAGAAAAGGTTTAATCAGAGATCTTTGCTGAAGGGTGGAGTCAGTGGTCAAGCTAGTCCAGTTCTGCTGATGCTAAGAGAGAAAGGTCAGCTCAGTGTGCCTCATTGATAAAATACTTGGGTATACAGTGTAGAAATAGAACAGTTATCAATGAGGTAAACTTTATGCAGCAAACTTGGGGCTCCCGATTTGTGCCAGACACTGTGTGGTCCTTTGGAGACTCGAAGAGGAAAGCAGGAAACTGCCCGCCCTTGCATTTTCTACATCTAGGTTCTTGGGAAAGTTGTCTAACTGCCTGAGCCACAGCTTCCTCATTTCTGGAAAAGGAACGATATTTGCCTGTAAATCCATGCCTACAAAATGATCTGTCACTTCAATATTTGGCTAATTGTAAGCAGTCAGATAGTGGTGGCTTAAGCCCAGTCCGCTGCCTACTGAAGTGAGATAGGTGAGCAAGCCATTGTTCGGCAGTGCATAAGCGATTTGGTGGGAGGTTTGTATGCACAGGTGTAGGGAGATAGCACAGGTTGGTGCCTCATCCAGGAGGGGCTTGTATGAGGAGGAGGTGGTGGCACATGAGCCAAGAATTGAAACCCAATTAAGGAATAGCTGGCAAAAGGGGAAGGGCATTTTAGCCAGTAAGAAATCTCTGAAAAGATACACAGACTCTGCTAAAGCTCACGCTGTGAGGAGGAGGTGGGACCTAGAGAAGTATAAAATGGGTTTTTAAGCAAAGGAAGGATTTTTAAATTCTGATAAGGTATTGGATTAAGAATAGGCTTTGGTTTGGTGAAGCATTTGCCTGTGAAGCTTGGCAACTTCTGTTGTAAACTTTTGTTGTAAGGAATTCTGTGGGAACCAAGAGTGCTTCCCTCCCTTCCCTCCTGTGGTGGGGTCTGAGCACACTCCGTGGCAACCCACCCACTGGTTTCGCAGTTGCTGCCAAATTCCACTTTCAGAGGGAAATGATTCTATTCCTTTCTGTCTCTGAATGTTAAACAATCAAGAATACCCCTATGTACTTTGAGGGGTAGGTAAATATCTTTCTGTATGTGATACTGCCTGGATACGTCAGGAGAGTGCATCTCATGTTTTAATGTAATGCTACTAAGAATGGGAAACTTAAGATGTAAGGAATATGTATTGCAGAAGATACACTGCATTGAAGCTGAACCTAATTGTAAGGCTTTATAATAGCAAAATAATCCAAATAAAGGTCTTCTGCCACCTCCAAATTCTTGTAAAAATTATTTGATCAGATCAAGTGGCCTTAATTCCAAAATCCAGCATCTTTTGAATTTTTACTGTGTTTAAAGGCACTGTAGTAAATGTGATACCTTGTCACCTCATTTAATCATCAAAATAACTTTATGTACTAGGTAGTTTTCTCCTTTTTTTTTTCTTTTTTTCTTTTTCAGATGAAAACTAAGGCTTTATAGAATTTGTGGTTGGCAGACCTGGGGTGAGCCCAGATAATCTGATGCTATTGGTTGTGTTTGTATGTATTTGAGACAGGGTCTCATTCTGACACCCAGGCTGGAGTGCAGTGGCACAATCAGAGCTCACTGCAGCCTCCACCTCTCAGTCTCAAGAGGTCTTCCCATCTCAGCCTCCCGAGTAGCTGGCACTACAAGCACACGTACCAAACCCTAAAATGCCATTGATCCTATCACAAAGCTAGAGCGGTTCTACCCTTTTGAATAGCAGCTCTTTTTCACAGAAATATCTGTAGATTTATTTTGATTTTTTTCCCACACTTTATTTCTATTCCTTTGCCTTAAAACAACTAAATGATTCATCTAGGATTAGCACTTGTTTGAGGTCTTTGGTTTTTTTCCAATTTTTTTTCTCAATTACAGAGTGATATGTAATAATTTAAAGGCTATTAGGTAAAATGTCAAGAGTGTTGGAGCTGTTACATAAAACATAAAATCTAACAGTGGCCGGGCGTGGTGGCTCACGCCTGTAATCCCAGCACTTTGGGAGGCCGAGGTGGGTGGATCATTTAAGGTCAGGAGTTCGAGACCAGCTTGGCCAACATGGTTAGACCCCATCTCTACTAAAAATACAAAAATTAGCCGGGCATGTTGGTGGGTGCCCGTAATCCCAGCTACTCGGGAGGCTGAGGCAGGAGAATCACTTGAACCCAGGAGGCGGAGGTTACAGTGAGCCGAGATCGCACCACTGCACTCCAGCCTGGGTGACAGGGTGAGACTCTGTCTCAAAAAAAAAATATATATATATGTATGCATGTATGTGTGTGTGTGTGTGTGTGTGTGTGTGTATACACACACACATATATATATACACATATATACATATATATATACACACACATATATATATATACACACACACACACACACATATATATATATACACACACACACACACATATATATACATACAGTGTTGGGAGTCTAGTTGGCTGTGCTTTTTATGTTTAAATTTTTTATCCCAAAGGTTCTGTGGTAAGCCTTCCATGTTAATATTGACCTAGGGGAAGAAGCTGAGGCAAAATTAATATAGAAAATTTATTTGGGCCAAGGTTGAGAACAGCTGCCTGGGACATGCTTCCAAGCTGCCTTGGGGAGTGCGCCATGCAACCTTTTTTATAAGCAAGTTTTTAAAGGCAAAAACGGGGCACAAGGAGTGGATAGAAACAAAGTTGTTCATCAGGAATTCTCACTGGTTTACAGAAATAACGTTGTTACATCGTCGAGCTATAGCAGGGTTATGGTGCCCAGTGTGTAGCATTGTTAGATTACGCGGTTTCTGGAGATAACTACATAGCTCAAGGGGGAAGTAGGACTTGATTGCTGTTTCATTTTAATGCCTCTCCGGGCCTGATAACTTTTAAGAAAGGGCTTACATTCCTCAGATAAGAAGAACCTGTATATGTATTTCACATTAAGGCATAATTTCTTTTTTTTTGACACAGTCTCGCTGTTGGCCAGGCTAGAGTGCAATGGCACTATCTCTGCTCACTGCAACCTCCGCCTCTCTGGTTCAAGTGATTCTCTTGCCTCAGCCTCCCGAGTAGCTGGGACTACAGGTGCATGCCACCACGCCCAGCTAATTTTTTTTGTGTGTGTATTTTTAGTAGAAACGGGGTTTCGCTGTGTCAGCCAGGATGGTCTCGATCTCCTGACCTCATGATCCACCCGCCTCAGCCTCCCCAAGTGCTGGGATTACAGGCGTGAGCCACCGCGCCCGGCCTATTAAGGCATAATTTCTAATGCATGTTACTTTTGTAGGATGAATTCACTTACACATCAGAATGAAATAAGGAAAGTGAAAAGGGAAGGCACTGATGTTGTGTGATATATTGTGTAGGTTATTAGTAATAGAGCCATAGAGAACGTACATTAAGGGAGAATAAACAAATCTCTTATTAAAAGAGTAGAAGTCAGCTTGAACTTCTTAATTTCTTCTGTGGTTTTAACATTCCACGTTGAGAGGTGAATGGTTTAAGAACTACCAGTGTGCTTTGTTCTAGATTAGTGCTTTTCCAAGTGTGGTGCACAGACAGCAACATAGCATTACCTGAGAGCTTGTTAGAAATGAAAATTCTCCTAACCGAGACCTGGCTTAGGTTAAATGAGAGTGGTCTTTCTAATGTGGGCGTGAGATAATGAGACCAGTCTTCCTAATATGGAGGTGGAAAATTGCCATAGATAATTATGAAACCTAATCACATTAGGATGAGAACTAGGTGATCAGATTTTTCTTCTTGGTAATATACTTGTTTAAACTAGCAGTAGCACTGTTTATATGTCTATTACAATGTGGATTTAACTATTAACCTGTAATGATTGCCTTTTTATTATTAGTGTTAATAGTATTTAATGGGCCACATAAATATTAGATAATGTATATAAGATAATTTTCTTCAGTGTCTTCCCCCTTTTCATTACAAGATAAATAATAACTATCTCTTGGGGTTTTTTAAGGTTAAAAATGTGTCTGCAGGCACACAGGACGTGCCTTCACCCCCATCTGACTATGTGGAAAGAGTTGACAGTCCCATGGCATACTCTTCCAATGGCAAAGTGAATGACAAGCGGTTTTATCCAGAGTCTTCCTATAAATCCACGCCGTAAGTAGCATCTCTCTTAGTTTGATAGACTGAGTGTAAAAATGAGTATTTGCATATAATTGGTTTTTGTGCCTTTCTGCTTAAAAAAAATATCCAGCAGTGCACACAAAAGCTGGATCTGGATCTTGGTATTACAACAATCTTTGCTTTGTTGGTACAGAGGCCTACGGCTACTTGGAAGACCAGGATGAGGAGGGTGGGGTTCTATTTCCCTTCTAAGTTGAAAATGCTTCTTTTCACTTACTTGTTTAATTGAAAGGTTGGGTTGGGTTCTTTCACTCTAGGAATGTGGTTCTGCTATTTCTGGTTTTGAAGTTTAGGTGAGGGTGAGAGGAAGTTACTGAGCAGAGGTCAGTGCTGTGCTCAGCCTCTCCTTTTGCCTATAATTGTTGGATCTCATAAACAGAAGGGAGGACATTTCACATTAATCAACCCTGCCCACATACATTTCTGTTAAACTAGAAGACTTCATTTGAATCCAGGAATTGTGGTATTTCATTTGCTGTGCTAGGTCCTCAGTATTGCTGGGAGATGTGAAACCTCAGTGAACGTCTGGCCTAGGGTAGGTGTCATATGATAATTGAAATGGTATCTCTGTGGTGGAAACACTTACCCTAAAGCTCAATTCTAATTCCACCTAATGACTAGTGAGAGAAGACTATTGGAGATAATTGGTATGGACGGGGATGTAATTTTTGCCTAAGGATGATGAAGTCGTTATTTTTACATATATAGTCATGCATTGTTTAACGATGGGAATACTGAGAAGTGTGTCTTTAGGCAATTTCATCCTTGAGTGAACATCACAGTGTACTTAACACAAACCTAGATGGATAGCCTGCTACGAGCCTAGGCTATGTGGTATAGCTTCTTGCTTTTACGCTACAAATGCAGACAGCATGTTAATATACCAAATACTCTAGGCAGCGGTAATACAGTGGTATTTGTATATCTAAACACAAAAAAGGTACAGTAAATATAAAAGATAAAAAATGGTACATCTTGGCGGGGGCGGTGGCTCACGCCTATAATCCCAGCACTTTGGGAGGCCGAGGCAGGTGGATCACCTGAGGTCAGGAGTTCAAGACCGGCCTGACCAACATGGAGAAACCCCATCTCTACTAAAAATAGCCAGGCGTGGTGGCGCATGCCTGTAATCCCAGCTACTTGGGAAGGCTGAGGCAGGAGAGTCGGTTTAACCCGGGAGGCGGAGGTTGTTGTAAGTGGAGATTGTGCCATTGCACTCCAGCCTGGGCAACAAGAGCGAAGCTCCATCTAAATAAATAAATAAATAAATAAATAAATGGTACATCTTGTAAGGCACTTACCATGAATGAAGCTTGTAGGACTGGAAGTTGCTCTGGGTGAGTCAGGGAGTAAGTGGTGAGTGAATGTGAAGGCCTAGGACATTACTGTACACTTTATAAACACTATACTTAGGCTACACTAAATTTACTAAACATTTTTCTTTCTTCTATAATAAATCTTAGCTTTCTATAACTTTAATTTTTTTGACTCTTTTGTAATAACACTTAAAACACAATCACATGGCTGGGTGCAGTGGCTCACGCCTGTAATCCCCACACTTTGGGAGGCCCAGGTGGACGGATCACCTGAGGTCAGGAGTTCGAGACCAGCCTGGCCAAAATGGCAAAACCCTGTCTCTACTAAAAATACAAAAATTAGCCAGGCATGGTGGCTCACACCTGTAATCTCAGCTACTCGGAAAGCTGAGGCAGGAGAATCACTTGAACCTGGGAGGCGGCGGTTACAGTGAGCTGAGATCACACCAGTGCACTCCAGCCTGCGTGACAAAGTGAAACTCTGTCTCAAAAAAAAAAACAAAAGGCCGGACGCGGTGGCTCACCCCTGTAATCCCAGCACTTTGGGAGGCTGAGGCAGGTGGATCACGAGGTCAGGAAATTGAGACCATCCTGGCTAACAGGGTGAAACCCCGTGTCTACTAAAAGTACGAAAAATTAGCCGGGCATGGTGGCGGGTGCCTGTAGTCCCAGCTACTCGGGAGGCTGAGGCAGGAGAATGGCGTGAACCCGGGAGGTGGAGCTCCCAGTGAGCCGAGATCGCGCCACTGCACTCTAGCCTGGGCGACAAAGTGAGACTCCGTCTCAAAAACAAACAAACAAAAGAACAACAACAAAAAACACAATCACAAACCCTGGCACAGTGGTGCACACCAGCAGTCCCAGCTAATTGGGAGGCTGAGGTGGGAGGGATCATACTTGAGCCCGGGAGCTCAAATCCAGCCAAAAATAAAAGAAAAGCCAAAAATCCCATACCTACATTGTATAGATATATAGATATAGAGAAGTATTTTCCTTATTCTATAAGCTTTTTTTTTTTTTTTTTTTTTTTGGTAGAGACATGGTCTCAATCTGTCACCCAGCCTGGGGTGCAGTGGTGTGGTCACAGCTCACTGTAGCCTTGACCTCCCAGGCTCAAGCGATCTTCCCACTTTAGTCACCTAAGTAGCTGAGACTACTTAGTCACCTCAGTAGCTGGGACTACACATGTGCTCCACCATGCCCAGCTATTTTTTTCTATTTTTTTTTGTAGAGACAGGGTCTTGCTATGTTGTCCAGGCTGGTCTCAAACTCCTGGGCTCAAGCGATCTGCCTGCCTCGGCTTCACAAAGTACTGGGATTACAGGCATGAGCCACCATGCCCTGCCACCAGGCTGTTCTTAGACTCCTGACCTCAAGTGATCCTCCCACTTTGGCCTCCCAAAGTGCTGTTTTCTATTTTTACCATGTAAATTTTATTTTAGTTTCTACACTTTATTGTTAAAAACTAAGATACAGACTGGGTGCAGTGGCTTATGCCTGTAATCCCACCACTTTGGGAGGCTGCAGTGAGCTGCGATTGCACCACTGCCCTCCAGCCTGGGCAACAGAGACCCTATCTCAAAAAAAATAAAAATAAACACACACACACACACACACAAACCCAAAACTAAGATACAAACATACACATTTGCCTAGGCCTACATCAATATCACTGTCTTCCATTTCCACATCTCGTTGCACTGGAAGGTCATCAGGGCCAATAACACACCCAGAGCTGTCATCTTCCATGGTGACAGTGCCTTCTTCTGGAATACCTCCTGAAGCACCTGCCTGAGGCTCTTTTAACTTTTTTTTCCTGTTTCAACTCTTTTTTTTTTTAATAAGTTGAAGGAATCTAATAAAAAATATAGTGTAAATACATAAACCAGTAGCATAGTCGTTTATTGTCAAGTATTATATACTGTACATAATTGCATTTGCCGTATACTTTTATTAGTCCCTTATTGACTGAAATGTCTTTATGACTTTGTGACTGTAATTCTAGAACTCTAAGTTCCTTTGGAGACTGAAAAAGCCCAAAAAATTTCCTTTCAGCTAGTTTGAATGTCTATGTTAAAGGTGTATCTACTGGAAATAACTTTTTTGTTACTTCGAAGTGTTTTTTTGTTTGTTTTGTTTTTGAGACGGAGTCTCACTCCGTTACCCAGGCTGGAGTGCAGTAGTGCGATCTCAGTTCACTGCAACCTCCGTCTCCTGGGTTCAAGTGATTCTCCTGCCTCAGCCTCCTCCTAGTAGCTGGGATTACAGGTGCGCGCCACCATGCCTGGCTAATTTTTGTATTTTTAGTAGAGACGGGGTTTCATGATGTTGGCCAGGTTGGTCTCGAACTCCTGACCTCAGGTGATCTACCTGTCTTGGCCTCCCAAAGTGCGGGCATTACAGGCGTGAGCCACCGCGCCTGGCCTGCTTTGAAGTTTTATCCCCAATGCCCGACTCCTGATTAGTGGGCCATGATATATGAGATTTACTCTGAGTGCATAGTTGTTTTGGTATTCAGACTTGATCTTGCTGTTGATTTCAATTGTGAATGATTTGGAGAAAGCACATTTTCTCTGTTCTTCTCTTTGGATTTTGACAAAAACTAAAGCACTTGAGAGTGTTAGGGACAAGGGTACGCAAGAGAGATGCAATCCTTCTAAGTTTTTTTTTTTCATCATTTGTTTGAGATGCTGTTTCACTCTGTCGCCCAGACCTATAGTGCAGTGGTGTGATCATAGCTCACTGTGACCTTGAACTCCTGGGCTCAAGCAGTCCTCTTGCTTCATAGCTCACTTTAGCCAGGACCACAGGTATGTGCCACTATGGCTGGCTAATTTTTTATTTTTATTTTTGTAGAGAAGGGGTCTTGCTTTGTTGCCCAGGATAGTCTTGAACTCCTGGCCTTAAGTGATCCTCCTGCCTCAGCCTCTAAAATTTTTAAGCTATGATTTGCAGAACTTTTTTTTTCTCCTTTTTCATGTCAGATGGGTAATGTGCCAATATTGTAACAAGATTTGAGGGTGGGACATTTCACACATGCGTGTGAACACCCAATCATCATGCTCATCAACTATAAAAGGACCAATTTGCAGAACTTTCATACATACAAAATGTATATCTATACTGCATCTTGGCACCAGCTGTTCCTCTAAATTGTAAGGCCTGCGTGGTTACACAGCATTCCCTGGTGTTGTCCCTTTTCACAAAAACCAGGATAGTTTCACAAATTCATTTGAAATTAATTTGAAAGTCTTATTCCTTAAGTATTAATCTTTCTTATTCTTGAATACTTTATGTAGTGGAAAATTTAAAAGGGACAAAAGGTACCAGCTAGCTAGTTCCTCTCCCCAGAGGCAACTAATGTCATCACTTTCTATTTCTCCACAGATTTTAAAACATAAAGATACTGGCCAAAGTACATTGATTCCCCCACCCCCCCTTAAAATACTAGCATACCAGAGCTGGGCACAGTGGCTCATGCCTGTAATTCCAGCACTTCGGGAGGCTGAGGTGGGTGGATTGCTTGAGCCTAGGAGTTCGAGAACACCCTGGGCATTATTGCTAAACCCCCTCTCTACAAAAAATATAAAGATTTGCCAGGTATGGTGGCACATGCCTCTAGTCCTAGCTACTTGGGAGGCTGAGGTGGGAGGATTGATTGAGCCCAGGAGGTCAAGCCTGCAGTGAGCCAAGACCGTGCCACTCCACTTCAGTCTGGGTGACAGAGTGAGACCCTGTTTCAAAAAAAAGAAAAAGAAAATATTAGCATACCAAATGTATCATTAGCAATATATTTTATCTTGGATATTGTCCATATCACTATGCAATGAGTTGCCTGATTCTGTTTTATTTTTTTAATTATAATCAAGAAGAAGCACTATTGTGTTTTATAGCTGTATAATATTCTACCAAATAGGTATACTTTATTTATTTTATTATTATTATTTTTTGAGGCAGAGTCTCGCTCCGTTGCCCAGGCTGGAGTACAGTGGCGCGATCTCGGCTCACTGCAACCTCTGCCTCCCAGGTTCAAGTGCCTCCCGAGTAGCCTGCCTTAGCCTCCTGAGTAGCTGGGATTACAGGCACCCACCACCACGCCTGGCTAATTTTTAGTAGAGATGGGGTTTTGTCATGTTGGCCAGGCTGGTCTTGAACTCCTGACCTCAACTGATCTGCCTGCTTTAGCCTCCCAAAGTGTTGGGATTACAGGCATGAGCCACCGCACCTGGCTGGTATACTTAATGTATTAATCCTATATGATGCACACTTTCCCCCAATGTTTTGTTATTACAGACCACAAATGTATAAGGAATAACCTTATACATTTATCACTTTATACATATGTGAATGTATCTGGAGGCAGAATTGCTGAGCTAAAATAAATGTGCATTTTTTCATTTTGATAGATGTAGTAAAAGTTTTATTTCTTAAGGATTGTACTAGTTTCTACTCCAAACTTATGCCCCAGAATTTTTTTTGAAGGTCTGGAAAGTGCAAACACGATGCTTCATTTTAGAACCCAGATGAATGGGTGAATGGGAGTGGTACTAAGAGATACTAATGCACAATATCTCCCCCAGAGCATGGTAATGATGGAAGGATTTTACAGCCTCTGGGGGGCAATAGAAATTGTAAAGTGTTGTTCATAGTAGAGTACTGAGTGCTATAGAGGATTCAGAGGACACCCACTTGAATGGGAATAAGAACACATAAGTCATAGCCTGTCTTTCCTAAGGCATTCTTGCAAGTGCTTAGTAACCCATGAGCACCTCTCTTCCTCACCATGCTAGTGGATAGAGAAGGAATTAGATGGAGAACATTGTGTCCATCCACCCATCCGTGCCAAGGATGAGGTAAATCAGTATTAAGATGTTTTTTTCTCCCAACGCGTAATGTACATTCCATAAAAAGAGCACTAATCTTGAGTATACAGCTTGATGAGTTTTCCCATCTATGACCACTTAACTCCCACCACCAAGATACATTTTGAGCCCTACATAAGGTCCCCATGTGCCCTTTCTCCATCAATACCCACCCACACCCACCCCAAGGTAACAGCTATTTTGATGTCTGTCACCATCTGTTAGTGAACGTGTTATTATTGGACTTTAAATAAAATGGAATAATGCAGTTTACTCTCATATCTGGTTCCTTTTGCTTATAATGTCCCATACCTTAGAATTTTAAGGCAGTCAGCTCTGAGAATTAATCCTGCATCAGGGGACACCAGAATTTAGCTGAAGATGGTTGCCTCTCCAAACCTACTAAACGAACTTGGGAGAGCCCTATTAGGTACACTCTCCACTATCCTGTCCACACCCAGGTTGAATTACCCTTCATAAATCAAGGAAGTTGAATGTTGCTGCAATGCAAAGCTTTCAAAGAAGGCTGACTCCTTGCATTGCTAAATGAGACCATTGTTTGGTAGTAATAGGCTGGTAGGATGATGTTAGGACTTTTATGCAAGTTAGAGGAGTTATAGAAGCCCAGTTTAAACTAGTTTAAGATGGGGCATGGTGGTTCAGGCTGATAATCCCAGCACTTTGGGAGGCCAATGAGGTGGGAAGATTGCTTGAGGCCAGGAGTTTGAGACCTGCCTGGGCAACATAGGGAGACCCTGTCTCAATTAAAAAAAAAAAAATCATGAAAAAAAATAGCTTAAGTGAAAGGAGGAATTATCTGAGTCACGTGAGGCCCAAGGACGTCTGTAGCTTCAGTCATGGCATAATCGAAGGATTCAGAAGATAGCAGGGCTGTTATGTGCTCTCTTTCATCTGTCGGTATGTTGGCTTTCTTCTCAGTTCAGCTTCTGTTGTGACAGGATAGCCATCTACATTTATTTATTTATTTATTTTTACTTTTTAGAGATAGGGTCTCACTGTTTCACACAGGCTGGAGTCCAGTGGTGTGATCATAGCTCACTGAATCCTCAAATTCCTGCACTCAAGTGATCCTTCTGCCTCAGCCTCCTGAGTAGCTAGTACTACAGGTGCATGCAACCATGCCTGGGTTTTTTTTGTTGTTTTTGGTTTTTTTGAAATGGAGTCTTGCTCTGTCATCCAGGCTGGAATGTGTTGGTGCAATCTTGGCTCATTGCAACCTCTACCTCCCAGGTTCAAGCGATCCTCCCACCTCAGCCTCCTGAGTAGCTGGGATCACAGGCTTGCACCACCATGCTCAGCTAATTTTTGTATTTTTAGTAGAGACAGGGGTTTCAACATGTTGGCCAGATCGGTCTCAAACTCCTAACCTCAAGTGATCCCCCTGCCTCAGCCTCCCAAAGTGCTGGGATTATACAAGTGTGAGCTACCGCACCTGGCCGGCTTGTTCTTTTTATTCTTCAGTCATTTGTTTTATTCTCTCTCACACTCCTTCACGCTGCCTTTATTGCTCCTACCTTGCCCTGACTCTCAGCAGAATTGTTGTGCACTTTCCTCCACCCCTGTTTTGCAGCCTCCGTGAGAACATGGACCTGGTCTTCCCAGGGTCACCTGGCTCAGTACTCTATGCATGTCAGGTGTTCAGGACAATTACTGAATTGAAAACACATGCATAAGAATCCTTCTTTTCTGATTACACACAGCATCAGTGAAGGCAGAGAAACAACCCATGATCAACAATGCCATGACTATTAGAATGACGTTTGTTGTACACACTGTATTTTAGAGCTGCTACCATTATTGGGAGGCATATCTAAGTCTTGCTAATCAGAGAACATTCTCCTGGCTTCAAGGATGACAGTGACCCAAAAAGGGCCAATCAGAATCTTTTTGCTATGTAAGCTTTGGGAAAGAAAACTTCATGCTGGGCTGGAAAGATCAACGCAGCTTGGGAAATGTGGAAGGCTCAGCCTGGGCAACAGAGTGAGACCCTGTCTCTACAAAAAAATTAAAAATTAGCCCAGTGTGGTGTTGCTCACACCTGTAGTGAATACTTTTCTTGTGAAACATTTTGCTTTTAGCTTTCATGCTAGATCAAGTATGTTAATATTTTAAAGGGGTGTAGGAGGAGGGGAGGAAAACTTCGAAGTTAAAGATATATCAATATCTAATATCATAAAAATTCTGGCAGGAGGCCTACTTTGATGTTTTACTTTTTGTTTTTATGTTTTTTTCTAATTTCTTTTGCCCTTTAGTTCCCTCCCTCTTTGGCCCCACCCCTAAAATGAATCCACTGCATTCTAAAGGTTTTGTTTTTCTACCTCAAAGAAGAGGCATAGTACCTGGCAGTTTTGGCAGAGTGTCTAGGAACTTGTTAATCATTGACTCATGGAGAAAGTCACATTTTCTCTCCATTAGAAGTAACATTAGCATAGCACACAAAGCCATATTACCTGAATAATTTTTTTTTTTTTTAGACAGAATCTCATTCTGTTACCCAGGGTGGAGTGCAGTGGTGCGATCTCAGCTCACTGCATTCTCTGCCTCCTGGGTTCAAGCAATTCTTCTGCCTCAGCCTCCCGAGTAGCTGGGATTACAGATGCCTGCCACAGTGCACTAATTTTTGTATTTTTTGTAGAGATGGGGTTTCACCATGTTGGCCAGGCCGATCTTGAACTCCTGGCCTCAAGTGATTCGCCCACCTCGGCCTCCCAAAGTGCTGAGATTACAGGTGTGAGCCACCGCCTCCGGCCATAAATCTTGAAAGAAGAAATAAATACTACCCCCACCTGCATCTACACACACATACCCCAAAGTTTAGAGTCTGCAAGAAATTGTGTGCTTAGAAATCTAAGACTCTGACAACAGTTACAGCAAAGCACATGTGGATCACCTAGAAAAGGGACTAAACCTGGAAGAGCTCAGTATGATAGTTTATGTAAATTGGCAGCAAAAAGAAACGCTTCAGACATTTTAAATAGTTGATTGGAATGGCAAGGCTGATGCTTGGAAAGTCTTAGGCCCATTCTTTGGTGTTTTCATTTCTGTTCTTGCCCTTTTCTACAAGAAAATGAAACTTCGTATTTCTTTTACTCAGAAGTAGTTCCCACTTTCAACTTTGGTATTTTATTCCTCAGTTAGGGTTATTTTCATGTTTGTGTCCGAAACATGCAATTGTGATGCAACTTTAAATAATTGTATTAGAAGAAAATAGTAAGTGTGTAATGGTAACCCTTCTATTCATTCTACGTGGCTTCAGGATTAACAGCAATTTTAAAAAGAATCCTAAAGGAACTCTTTAATTTATTGCAATGTAAAGCTTTTTACTTTTTTAGTTTAGATATTTAGTTTATTTTGCAAGATTTTATCTTAATATGATAATTGATATATGGTAGTATAAGATCAATATTACAAAGAGCATGTGTGCATTCTTCCCCATGCAGCATTCCAGGGAACTAGAAGAGCCTGTAGAAAAGAATGATCACTGTTTTCCTGACAGCCTTTGTAGAGTAAGTCCCTGGCACAGGTCAAGTAAACACCTCTTATAGATCAGCCTGAACTTTTTAAAATGAAATCTGAGATCCATTGTACTTAGAAGGTATAAAAATGGCTACTCCCCTTTAAATTGGAACCTACTACTTGTGTGTATTAGAGGACTCTGAACTGCTGTCAAATTGAATGCAGAAAACGAGGCATCTGCTCAGTGTTGAACATCTGAAGTCCTCGCGTGAGTGCACCTGCGTGCAGATGTCTGCTGGTGTTTATTATGGCTGTGCTCTGTGATTACAGTGCACTGGCAAAGGGCTGTAGTGTACTGAACAATGATGCCTGTTTTTATTAGGGTTCCTGAAGTGGTTCAGGAGCTTCCATTAACTTCGCCTGTGGATGACTTCAGGCAGCCTCGTTACAGCAGCGGTGGTAACTTTGAGACACCTTCAAAAAGAGCACCTGCAAAGGGAAGAGCAGGAAGGTCAAAGAGAACAGAGCAAGATCACTATGAGACAGACTACACAACTGGCGGCGAGTCCTGTGATGAGCTGGAGGAGGACTGGATCAGGTACCGACTCAGCTCTCCTTTCCTGGCCCACGTGCTCCTTCTGATAATTAAAGGAGACCAACCAGGTGTTGGAGTTATTGCCTCCCAAATTGAGGTCACTGGTGTAATTTCATTCTTTGCCAACCAGGACTGGAGACAGTTTTTTGTGTGGTGTTGGCTGGTTTTTTCCTTAGCACCCTTTTGTGACAAAGTTTGAAGTGGAGAGAATGTTTGGCAGTAACCATGTCTTTGAACTTTGGCAGTAACCACTTTGAACTTTCCACAGTGTGGCTGGTGAACTTCACCAGTGCTCTTTCTTATACCAATAGTCACGGAAGAAAGATGTCCTAGCACTTTGGGAGGCTAAGGCTAAGAGTTCAAGACCAGCCAGGCATAGTGGTGTGGGCCTGTAGTTCCAGCTACTCGGAAGGCTGAGGCTGAGGCAGGAGGATTGCTTAAGCCCAGGAGTTCAAGGCTGCAGTGAGCTATAATTGCATCATTGCACCCCAGGCTGGGTGATAGAGCTAGACCCTATCTCAAAAAACAACCAAAGGCCTTTCAAATAAATAAAATCCAGGTATAGAAGAACTTTGTTTTACTAATTATAAAATTCCCAAACCAGTGCTATGGTTTTCCTTTGGCATTACTTTTTTTTTTTGAGACGGAGTCTTGCTCTGTCGCCCAGGCTGGAGTGCAATGGCACGATCTCGGCTCGGTGCAACCTCTGCCTTCCGGGTTCAAGCAATTCCTGCCTCAGCCTACCAAGTAGCTGGGATTACAGGCGCCCACCACCATGCCCGGCTAATTATTGTATTTTTAGTAGAGACGGGTTTCACCATGTTGGCCAGGCTGATCTTGAAAATCCTGACCTCAGATGATCTCCCTGCCTCGGCCTCCCAAAGTGCTGGGATTACAGGAGTGAGCCACCGCGCCTGGCCGGCAATTATTTTTTAAATTAAGCTTAAAATGATAAGACGAGAGTTTCTTTTAAAGTTTAATCCAAAGAGTTCCGTAAACAATTGAGGTAACAATTTAGTGTTCAGCCACAGTTGTGGTTAAGTTTCTTTGTGTTTTGGTGGTTTTGTTACAATCCATCCACCATCACCAAATGTATTTGTGTATGATGTGTAGCCTTCCTATGCCCAAGTATTCTGAGGACTAAGACGCACATCAGAAACATTTGCAATGTGAATGGTAATCAAAACATCGCTTCTCAGAGAGTGAGGAATGATAGGCGGGGCATGGGTAGCTTGAGATCCCCTATTCACTGATGATTCTGATACTTTATCTTCCCCTCTCCCCTCAAGAGTTTTTGGCCTGGCTTAGCCATCTATCTGTAAAATATTCACCTAACTTGTATCACGGAAGATTTAACTGAAAACTTTATATATTTTTTTGAGATAGAGTCTCACTCTGTTGCCCAGGCTGGAGTGCAGTGGCACGATCTTGGCTCACTGCAACCTCCGCCTCCCAGGTTCAAGCAATCCTCCTGCCTCAGCCTCCCGAAGAGCTGGGATTACAGGCATGCGCCACCACACCCGGCTAATTTTTGTAGTTTTAATAGAGACAGGGTTTCACCATGTTGGCTGGGCTGGTCTCAAACTCCTGACCTCAGGTGATCCACCCACCTCGGCCTCCCAAAGTGCTGGGATTACAGGGGTGAGCTACCATGCCCAGCCTGAAAATTTTCAAAATCTGAAATTCTTGTTTCCCTTTTGATCAAATCATTTAAATTTCTCCCCTCTGTAAAATGAAGATGTTAGATTGTTAGATCTAAAATTTGAAATTCCACATCATTGTGAAACTCCAGTCCTGTGAAAGGATTCAGAGTATTTTCTCTATGGATTATGGGTTAATGGCATCGTCTTCCTATGTAAGGAGTGGCTGGTATATTGAGAAATAGGTGTGATACAAAATTTCAGTTTTTCTTCTTTATACTTTAATGAATTGCCAGATTATTTTAACAGTGAGCACATGTTTTTATACATGTACATTTTTAATGTCTATTTTTATTGTGAAAGAAGTAGATAAGCTATTTCCACTTCGGAAAAACAAGAGCAAAAAATAAATAAACCAGTCTGAAAACTATGGGTGGTAGCAGGAAACAGCCACTTCCAGTCAGCTGTGCTGCCACTGTGGTGATCAAAGCGGACTTTGTGTTCCAGAATTCCAGTTTTAAGACTTTAAACAGGCCAGGCATGGTGGCTCACTCCTGTAATCCCAGCACTTTGGGAGGCTGAGGCAGGTGGATCACCTGAGGTCAGGAGTTTGAGACTAGCCTGGCCAACATGGTGAAACCCTGTCTCTACTAAAATACAAAAATTAGCCGGGCGTGGTGGCGGGCACCTGTAATCCCAGCTACTGTGGAGACTGAGGCACGAAAATCGCTTGAACCCGGGAGGTGGAGGTTGCAGTGAGCCGAGATTGTGCCACTGCACTCCATCCTGGGTGACAGAGCAGGCTTTGTCTCAAAAAAAAAAAAAAAGAAAAGAAAAACTTTATAAACATAAGTAGTCCATTATTGATATTGTGTATGGGAAATAAGTGAGTTCCTATGACTTGTACCTTCAATTTTGTAAATGATTTTCAAAATTATTTCTGCAAATTACGTAGGCATAGTTTTTATTTTTTAAAAAATGAGCAGTAATATATAGTCACTCTTAATAGAACTTATTTGTATTCTCTCTCTCTTTCCCCGTAAGAAACAAAAACGAAACAAGAAAATGTCATTCTCCATACCCAACCAGCTTTATTATCTTTGAGGAAGGAGCATTGAATTTTATGTCTGCTAAGGATACATATGTAGTCATTTTCTCTCTCACCTTTTAGGGAATATCCACCTATCACTTCAGATCAACAAAGACAACTGTACAAGAGGAATTTTGACACTGGCCTACAGGAATACAAGAGCTTACAATCAGAACTTGATGAGATCAATAAAGAACTCTCCCGTTTGGATAAAGAATTGGATGACTATAGAGAAGAAAGTGAAGAGTACATGGTAAATTCAACCTGATATTTATATATTAAACAGAATTTGAATCTAATCTGTGGAGGTACAGCATCCTTTATATTAATGTTGATAAAAATGTGCTAGTAGTTATCAAACTGCAGTTTCATTGAAGAATAGTTGAGATTGGGTTTTGGATGAAATTCTTTCCTAATAGAAGATTGTACTAATGTATAATAGTTAATAATTACAAAGCACTATTCTGTTTTTTTTTTTTTTTTTTGAGGTGGAGTCTCGTTCTGTTGCCCAGGCTGGAGTGCAGTGGCGTGATCTCAGCTAACTGCAAGCTCTGCCTCCCGGGTTCACGCCATTCTCCTGACTCAGCCTCCCAAGTAGCTGGGATTACAGGTGTCCGCCACCACGCCCGGCTAATTTTTTGTATTTTTTTTTTTTTTAGTAGAGACGGGGTTTCACCATGTTAGCCAGGATGGTCTCGATCTCCTGACCTCGTGATCTGCCCGTCTTAGCCTCCCAAAGTGCTGGGATTACAGGCGTGAGCCACCGCGCCCAGCCCCTACAAAGCACTATTCTATGTACATCTATCCTTTCCTATTTAAAATAAAATAGCCAGGCTGGGCATGGTGGCTCATGGCTATAATCCCCACACTTTGAGAGGCCAAGGCAAGTGGATCACCTGAGGTCAGGAGTTAGAGAATAGCGTGCCTAACATGGTGAAACCCCATCTCTACTAAAAATACAAAAAATAGCAGGGCATGGTGGCAGACACCTGTAATCCCAGCTACTCGGGGAGGCTGAGACAGGAGAATTGCTTGAACCCGGGATGGGGGAGGTTGCAGTGAGCCAAGATTGCGCCATTGCACTCCAGCCTGGGCGACAGAGTGAGACTCCATCTCAAAAATTAATAATAATAATAATAAAATAGCCTTATTATCTTTCCTATTTATAAAGCCATTCATTCTTTCTGTAGAAAAGAACTTAAGCGGCCGGGCACGGTGGCTAATGCCTGTAATCCCAGCACTTTGGGAGGCCGAGGTGGGTGGATCATGAGGTCAGGAGATCGAGACCATCCTGGCTAACACAGTGAAACCCCGTCTCTACTAAAAAAAAAAAAAAAATACAAAAAATTAGCCAGGTATGGTGGCGGGTACTTGTAGTCCCAGCTACTTGGGAGGCTGAGGCAGGAGAATGGTGTGAATCCAGGAGGCGGAGCTTGCAGTGAGCCAAGATCGCGCCACTGCACTCCAGCCTGAGTGACAGAGTGAGACTCCATCTCAAAAAAAAAAAAAAAAAAAAAAAGAACTTAACACAGAACTGTATACAGAAAAAGAAATCATCTTAAATCCTACCATCAAGAAATCCTTATCACCAAAATATTAGTTAAAACAATCTCTCCAAGCAGGAGTCACCAAGGCACATACACCTTTCTTTAAGGAAACATCATCTTCCATGTTTCACTTATTTTCTTCCTGTCTTTTAAATCAACAGTTTATGGGTTTTTTTTTTCCCTCCCTTGATCACCTGGCTGAGATAGAATTTGTCCATGTAAAGTTACTGGATTTTTTTTTCAATCCATCCTTTTCATACTGTATTTTGTATACATACTGAAATTAATGTAGTTACACCACCTTTTAGAGGGAGATTAATCTCTTCTTGTTAATTTGTTCCTTTATTGATCAGTCAATCACTTACGTAAGTATGGACTTTACAGATACCTGTTTTATACTGTGAATTATAATCCAAGGCTGCTTTATTTTGTAGCTCTAATTGTTCTCGCTTTGACCGTTGGGAACTTTCAGTTGCTTCCCGTGTCCCTTTGACATACTCTTATTGTGGGGTTTTATCTTTAAAAAAAAAAACAAACAAAAAAACTTCCTTGCACTGCTTATTTCTGTCTTTTCTTAACAGCAAGTTTTTTTTTTTATATCAATAATAAAGACCTACTTACTTTTAAGTTTTTTATGTGTAAAATTAGGTAAACAACTTTCAAATTTATGGTTGTATCATAATTTAAGAGTCATTTTCTATGGATAGACATTTAAGTATGTCTCCCCCTACTCCAGTAGTACCAGTATATACTGGTGAACCTCTCTGTTTTTGCACTCTTGTCTACTTATCTAATTTTTTTTTTTTTTTTTTTTTTTGAGACGGAGTCTTGCTCTGTCGCCCAGGCTGGAGTGCAGTGGCGCTATCTTGGCTCACTGCAACCTTCGCCTCCTAGGTTCAAGTGATTCTCCCGCCTCAGCCTCCCGAGTAGCTGGGATTACAGGCATGTGGCACCACACCTGACTAATTTTTGTATTTTTAGTAGAGACGGGGTTTTGCCATGTTGGTCAGGCTAGCCTCGAACTCCTGACCTCAGGTGATCTGCCTGCCTCGGCCTCCCAAAGTGCTGGAATTACGTGTGTGAGCCACAGCGCCCAGCCTGCTTATCTAACTAAAACTAATTCCAGAATGTGAAATTGCTGAGAGTCAGAGGGTACGTACCTTTGCAAAGTTGCAAAATTGCCCTCCAGAGAGACTGCACCAACTGTGTCTCCCTCTTGATACAATACAGGACTCATTTGATGCACATCTCATTAAATATTCTGCCATTTTTCAGTTGAGGTGATCTACTTTTTAGTTTTGACGTATTCACATCTTTATATAGTTAGATTTATGTATTTCTTTTATGGTTTCTATAGGGTGTTATAGATCTTTCTTAATTTAGTGAACATTTATTGATCACTTATTTTTCTTTGATGATGTGGAAATGCTGGAGCTAGAGACATAAAATCTTGTCCCCACCCTAAAAGAGCTTATATTTTAAGAAAAAAAACCTGACATCTAAACAATTTAGACAGTATGATTAATGCTGTATTTGCATCATGTGTAGAAAGCACTATAACTAACTGCTCATAGAAGAAATAAAGTCTTTGGAGGCTTCACAGTGAGGGAATCGTTAAGAGCTTTCCAGACAGAAGGGTGCGGGGAGGTGCATGATTACAGCCATAAGGAAAACATGATTGAAATCCTGAAGCATTTAACATGTCTCAGTTTTTAAAGGAGTTGCTGATGATGGGTACTGAGACTGGAAAGGTAGGAAACTGGATGAGGGGAGAAGTTAATGGGAAGCTCAGACCAGTTGTGTAGTGGGATATTACCTGATCAGCGAGCGCTCTGTGTTATAAAAGATCTTCCTGGTGTCAGTGTAGCATGGGGACTGGCATGAGGAGAGATGAGAAGTAGCAGAACAGATAGTTACCTGCCTATGTGAGTGAAATGTGAAAGATACAGTATCATAAATGTCTCTTCACTGAATTCCTTCAGACCTTCCTGCTGATCATGAGTTTTAAGAGCTTTACGACTTCATTCTTTTAATTGCTTATATTTTTGTCATAAGCTGTCATTTTTAGCTCCAAAGTATAACATCAGGAATGTTACTTTTAAAAGAGAAAATGCCCCAGTAAACATATTCCTTTGTGTCTGTCGTTAATAGGCTGCTGCTGATGAATACAATAGACTGAAGCAAGTGAAGGGAGTAAGTATCCGAGATTGTTCTTTTAGGAAGAACTTTCTTTCTTCTTCTTTTTATTTTAATTCCCATACCTACTCATCTGGAGGAAGAGCTTTTCTATTACATGTTTTTCATTTTTTATTTTATATATTTTTTAAAAGTTGAAGTATACATACAGAAAAGTGTATAAATCAAAGTGTATAACATGGTGAATTTTCACAATGTGACCACATACCTGCGTATGCAGATCAAGAAATATATTTCCCAGTACCTCCCCACCCCCAGCACCCCCACCCTCACTTGTACTACTTTCCAGTGTTTACACTCTCTCCAGAGGGGTCCATCATGCTCACTTCTAACATCATAGAGTTTTGTCTATCTTGCACATTACATAAATGGAACCACACAGTATGTATTTTGTGTGTGATTTCTTTTGCTCAGTATAGTGTTTGTAAGGGTCCATTTGTAGTTCATTACTATTATTTTTTTTAGACGGAGTCTTGCTCTGTTGCCCAGGATGGAGTGCAGTGGCGCAGTCTCAGCTCACTGCAACTTCCGCCTCCCAGGTTCAAGCAATTCTCCTGCCTCAGCCTAGCTGGGATTGCAAGCACGCACCACCATGCCTGGCTAATTTTTGTATTTTTAGTAAAGACATGGTTTCACCACATTGGCCAGGCTGGTCTTGAACTCCCAACCTCAGGTGATCCCCCTGCCTTGGCCTCACAAAGTGCTGGGATTACATGCATGAGCCACCATGCCCGGCCATGGTTCATTAATTTTTTTTTTTTTCCTGAGACAGTGTCTCGCTCTGTCGCCCAGGCTGGAGTGCAGTGGCACAATCTCGGCTCACTGCAACCTCTGCCTCCTGGGTTCAAGCAATTCTCCTGCCTCAGCCTCCCGAGCCACTGGGATTACAGGCAAGCACCACCACACCTGGCTAATTTTCCTATTTTTAGTAGAGATGGGGTTTTACCATGTTGGCCAGGCAGGTCTCAAATTCCTGGCCTCAAGTGATCCACCTGCCTCGGCCTCCGAAAGTGCTGGGATTACAGGCGTGAGCCACCACGCCTGGCCGGTTGATTAATTTTTATTGCTTTGTAGTGTTGTATATAAAATGCAACTTTATTCATCCATTCTATTGTCAATGAACGTTTGGGTTGTTCCCAATTTTTGGCATTTAAAAATATTGCAGCTTCATACATATTTGTAAATGTTTGAGCGTAGAAGTGATGGGCATTTGTCTATCCAGCCTTAGTAGATACTGTCAAATGGCCTTCCAAAGTA
The DNA here is from genome assembly GCF_000001405.40 of Homo sapiens. Taxonomy (NCBI): domain Eukaryota; kingdom Metazoa; phylum Chordata; class Mammalia; order Primates; family Hominidae; genus Homo; species Homo sapiens. The sequence goes on from NW_003315917.2 coordinate 335,791, forward strand.
CTTGTACCAGTTTACATTCCCACCAACCACTACAGACTCCTGTTGCCCTATATCCTTGCTAACACTTGGCATGACAGTCATTATTGACTTAAAACATTAAAAAAAAATTATATTAAAATTTTTGTAAATTACTTATCCAGGTGCTGTGGTTACATGCCTGTAGTCCTAGCTACTAGGGAGACTGAGGCAAAAGGATCCCTTGAACCCAGGAGTTCAAAGCTGCAGGGAGCTATAATTGTACCACTTCACTCCAGCCTGGGCAATAGGATGAGACCCTTTCTAAAATAAGAAAAAAAAATTATAAATTACAGGCATCATGATTTGAAATAAGAGTTTAAAGGGTATACAGTAAAATTTCCCATCTCTCTTATCCCCTATTCAGCTTCCCTTTCCCCAGTCAAATGAGATCACCAGTCTCTTGTTTTACTTACAGTTTTAGATGATGTGTTAGCAAAAAGGCTGGTAAGTTTTCTTGGTCATTTTACAGATTTTTAGAAATGAGGGTATCCTTTGGAAAAACCCAGGTTAGAAGACAGAACTGAGCAAATAGAATCAGCTGCCTGTGTGGTTAGTGATACTGCCAGGCACCTTGCGTATTTTACTTCAATTAACACTCCCAGCAATTCTCTTGACTAAATATTCCATTTCTGTGTTCAATTCTGCCTTCCCAGCAGACCTGTTTTCATTTTGTTGAATTTATGTGATTCATTTTCTCCCTTTTTAGTCTGCAGATTACAAAAGTAAGAAGAATCATTGCAAGCAGTTAAACAGCAAATTGTCACACATCAAGAAGATGGTTGGAGACTATGATAGACAGAAAACATAGAAGGCTGATGCCAAGTTGTTTGAGAAATTAAGTATCTGACATCTCTGCAATCTTCTCAGAAGGCAAATGACTTTGGACCATAACCCCGGAAGCCAAACCTCTGTGAGCATCACAGTTTTGGTTGCTTTAATATCATCAGTATTGAAGCATTTTATAAATCGCTTTTGATAATCAACTGGGCTGAACACTCCAATTAAGGATTTTATGCTTTAAACATTGGTTCTTGTATTAAGAATGAAATACTGTTTGAGGTTTTTAAGCCTTAAAGGAAGGTTCTGGTGTGAACTAAACTTTCACACCCCAGACGATGTCTTCATACCTACATGTATTTGTTTGCATAGGTGATCTCATTTAATCCTCTCAACCACCTTTCAGATAACTGTTATTTATAATCACTTTTTTCCACATAAGGAAACTGGGTTCCTGCAATGAAGTCTCTGAAGTGAAACTGCTTGTTTCCTAGCACACACTTTTGGTTAAGTCTGTTTTATGACTTCATTAATAATAAATTCCCTGGCCTTTCATATTTTAGCTACTATATATGTGATGATCTACCAGCCTCCCTATTTTTTTTCTGTTATATAAATGGTTAAAAGAGGTTTTTCTTAAATAATAAAGATCATGTAAAAGTAACAAATGTGTGAAATTTAAAGATTGTAAATATATATTTACTTTTTTAAGATCAAAGTTTAAACCCGGTGGTTAGAATTTTGTGTGTTTTTAAATACTTTTTATCTTTTTGCATGCCTTTTTTTAAAAACCAACTAGAACTTTTCATTATATCAGAATATCTGATTACATTTATAATTCAATTGTGACTTGAACTGTATCTTACAGGAATGTTCAATTTCTATACATATTTTATAAGGTATTAAACCTGGTGTTTTCTTTCCATAATAACCTGTTTGATGTTATTAGTGCTGTTAACACACAGCAATGGAAAACCACACTCAGGAGTTGTATCTGTTGTTGTTTATACTCCTTTGGATGCTGTGCTGGTTAGTCGTTTCCCATTCCTTTGGCTGTAAGAATGCTGATATGTCTGGGAATAGAATGCTATACCACGAAATACCAAATAATTTCAAATGGTGCCCTTAAATTGTATCACTTTTTTAAAAATTCAGATTCTTATTAGTAAAATTACTTGATAGCACTGTGCTGACCAAGTTGATTGTGATCATCCCAGCTTAGACTTTTCTAAAAACTTTTTTTTAGAATAATCTATAAACTGAACTTTAGTATGCATTTCAGATATTTAGGTATATAATTTTTTTTTTTTTTTGAGACAGAGTCTCACTCTCACCCAGGCTGGAATGCAGTGGCGCTATCTTGGCTCACTGCAACCTCCACCTCCCGGGTTCAAGCAATTCTCCTGCCTCAGCCTCTCGAGTAGTTGAGACTACAGGTACCCATCACCATGCCTGGCTAATTTTTGTATTTTTAATAGAGACGGGGTTTTACCATATTGGCCAGGTTGGTCTTGAACTCCTGACCTTGTGGTCTGCCTGCCTCGGCCTCCCAAAGTGCTGGGATTACAGGCGTGAGCCACCATGCCTGGCCTAAGTGTGTGTGTGTGTGTGTGTGTGTATTTTTTTTTTTTTTTTTTTTTTTTGAGATGGAGTTTTGCTCTTGTTGAACAGGCTGGAGTGCAATGTCGCGATCTCAGCTCACCACAACCTCCGCCTCCCAGGTTCAAACAATTCTCCTGCCTCGGCCTCCCGAGTAGCTGGGATTACAGGCATGCGCCACCACACCTGGCTAATTTTTTTTTGTATTTTTAGTAGAGATGGGGTTTCTCCACGTTGGTCAGGCTGGTCTCGAACTCCTGACCTCAGGTGATCCATCCACCTCGGCCTCCCAAAGTGCTGGGATTAGAGGCGTGAGCCACTGCGCCCGGCCTATAATTTTTGATAGATGATTTTGGATTATTTTCCAGAGATAAAATTTTAAATGTTTCCATTATATCACTGATTTATTTCTGCAAATTGAATAAATTCTTAATTTTCTGCATGCACATAATACAAAAGGTATTTTCATAGTTTTGGATTTATACCAAATGAAAAGGACTCTCTTGATGAGCACCTTTAACTGATTTTTCTGTTAAAGTTTTAACAATTTGTTCTTGGAAGTCAGTTCGTGAAGGCAAGTTTGTCAGTATTTTCACAAAACTATTCAGCTGAATCCAGAAAGTGAAACAGCAAGAATTTGCATTGTAAAATTGTGTTATAAAATTGGACTTTGAAATTTCAAAAATAAGAAAAATTTTCATGTGTATTTATACTAAATACCGTTTTAGGAAACTAGGATCAGGGTGTTTCTGTTGGCGTTGGCATTAACTAGCTGGATGTAAATTTGAAAAGCCACTCAAGCAGCTTCCTAGTCTAGAAAGTCAGAGGTTTAGATTAGATTTCCGACATCCCTTCCATTTCTGACCTGTAGTTCTTGTCTGGAATTCTGCTTTGTTATAAACTATTGTTCTAAGGAGTTTGTTGTGATAGCACATAGTTCATTTTGTAAAGATTCCCTGCGTATAAAGTGATGCCCTACATATGTGATTTTGTATTAAAAGTATATAGGATCATTATTTTATTTTGAAAAATTTAAATACAGAAAAGTATAAAATATAAGTACCATCCGCCCAGAAATAACATGTGTTAATGTTTTGTCATATGTGCTTTATATTTTTTGAAATAAAGTGAAGTCAACTAGTATTTATAGTAAATAAGTTACATACACATAAGTACATATATGATATTTAATCCTCACAACGATCTTTTGACATGTGACCATTTCTTATTCTTCTTTTATAGACAAGGAACTAATGATATGATAGATTAACTGGCTGTTGTCACACTAGCAAGTGGCAAAACAAGGGATTAGGATCTTAGTCTCTTCAACTGTTAGATTCTATACTTCCATCCTGTGTTGACTTTGTTAATGGATTGGATAATGTGAGATCACTCTGATGTAAATAAAGTATCCTATATTAATTTCGAGTGCATTTTAAGTACTTGTAACATAAATGCTTCCTGTGAAATATCTGTAAAGACCTGAATGGGTACATGTGTGTAAAGAAGAATCAGGGCAGAAAAGTGCTTTTATCATGGCTCCGGGGACCTTAGCTTCAGTTGGTGTTGTGAGAATTCCTCACACAAGGACATTCTCCTTGCTTCAGCATCAGGATGGAAGTGTTTCTCATCTGGACTTTTTCAAAGACTCAGCTGGAGGAATCAGAATTCATAATTTCCTGGCAGCTCATGATTCTGCTACACTACACCATGCCATCTCTTGTGTGAAAGGACAGATTTGATGGAGGACTATGTCATCCCTCATGCGTTTCTTATTGTCTACATTTATTCTAATGGGAAGAAGTGAGCAAAAACACCACAATAATTTGGGTAGTTTTTAGAAAACCTTGTTAGTAAATTAGAATAGTGCCACTTTGGCATTATGAGAAAGAAGCATGGATACATAACTAGGGTTTTGTGTATGACTACAACGAAATGCAGAATGGTGTCTCCAAAAGGTTTCCAGTTGCTGCCACAAGAACTGCTTGGTATTGCCTACATGTGTTGTCCTATTTTTGCTTTGCCCTTCTGCAGTTACTTGCTGTGGGACCTTGGAGAAATTAACTTAGCCTCTCTGTACTTCAGTTTTTTGTATTTGTAAAAATATATTTGTAATAATCTCATAGTTAAGAAGGTAGTTAATGTGTGACTCAGTCCTTGTCTAAAAGTAAATATGCCTAGCTACCCCCATCTTCCAAAGCCAGAAGGTGAAACTTTAACAAGTTTTCTAAAAGCAAATTGTGTTTTTTAAAAGTGCATGTGTCATCCAATCCCATATGATTGATCTGTGCTGGGTGCAGCCTTAGAATGTAAATTCTTTTGAATTCTAGGCAGAGAATGCAGGATTGGCATTCTAAATATTTGTACATGATAAACAAATGCTTCTTTAGGTTACAGCAAATAGTTTACTTATCAAGATCACGATTGTTAGATACTGTTGTCAATTACAGAGGTTTTAGATGAGGCTTTCTGGAATGATTTAGTTTCCCTGTAAGGGAGCCTGTCTATTGGAATAGACAGGTTCACTTCTCCCAGTCTTTCAAGTTGCATGCTTTTTATATCTGATTCCACTGGCTGAGCTGATTGTGAATGTCCTAACCCTGTTGATTGTGTCTGGCCACTCATGGGCAAAGAACAGATTATCCATTCTTTATAGTTGTCTTTTAGTTTTACAAGTTGAAAAAACATCTGAGTAGGTTAGATAATTTATTCTACCACTTTGTAAATGATTAGAATATGTCAGTCATAATCATGCCAAGAGATTATGGATTTATGCATATTTTGTTTTGCTGTAGTACCATTCCTAGTTGAATCTTAACATCCATGTCTAAAATCTATACAGAACAAATATTACAGTTGGGAAAACTGTTTCAGTCTCCTCTCTTCGCAAATATGCTTTATATTTATTGGGGAGTCCTCTATCTTTTTCCTGGTTTTCCTTAAAGCCTTCCCAGGCTGATGGATAACAAACATATGCAAGAAACTTGGGGCTTGGGATTCCTCTAGGCTGTTTGTCCTAGAGGAATGCATCCCGTCTTGCAAATAGGATGGTCAATTAAGATGGAAGGAAGCAAAAGTGTGGATAGGAAGGAAGGGCACAAAAGGAAAAGTGTGGAATTTGTGTGTGAGTCCTCTAATGAGGTCAAAGGTGGGAGGGAGGCAAGCATGGAAGCTTCCTGGCACTGCGATACTAATTTCCCCTCCTCTCCCTTTTAAAATCCTGTCTTCTGGGAGGAAATGAGACTGATTATGGAGTTCCCACTAAGCCCTGCAGGGTTGGTGGAGACAACCCCATTTTACACATTAGTTCATAGACTTGGGTTGTGACTTGCTTGAGGTCACCCAGCCAGTGTGTCAGAGCCTGATTTTAAATCCAGGGCTGTTCTTTCCACTGCTATGCAAGATACCTTCTGTTTATATTTTTGAGGGAGACAACAGAGATGGGAAAAATTTTTAACAATAAAATAAAGGCAATGGAGGGGATGAGTATGCTGATGGGGAAGGAAAGAGGCCCTAGCTTCTGCAGTTCCTTTGTGTTATTCCTAACCCTTTTCTCATCTGGGGGTGCACTGCCTCTCCATTTCTCAAGTATGGGAAATGCCAGTAATTCCACTTGTGTTAATTGGCAGTCAGACAACTTGTCCAAAACTGAATTGATCTTACCCACCCCGCCAACATTTTAATAATTGCAACCCCAACCTTTCAGTTGCTCAGCTAAAGACTATGGAGGTATCCTTGATTCTTTTCTCATAACACACATCCAGTGTATTGGTAAGATTTAGAATTCAGTCACTTCTCACCAGCTGCTGGTCCAAGCCATCACAATTCCCCCAAAGTTCTTAACAGTGCTCACAGCCTCTCCTCCCCACCTTACCCTTCTGATTGCAGCTGCCACCACTCATCCCCTGCTCACTCCTGCAGTCGTCAAAGACCCCAATGCACTTCTACCTCAGGGCCTTTGCACTTGCAGCTCTCTTTGTCTGAAGAGCTTTTCCCCTAGGTATCAGTAGGGTTAACACCCTTCCTCATTCAGGTCATGGCTTAACTGTCTTCCCAGCGAGGACTCCTCTGGCCACCCTATTTTATTTTTTGAGATGAAGTCTCTGTCACCCAGGCTGGAGTGCAAGGTTGGCTCACTGCAACCTGTGCCTCCTGGATTCAAGCGATTCTCCTGCCTCAGCCTCCCGAGTAGCTGGGATTACAGGCGCCTGCCAGCACGCCCGGCTAATGTTTTTGTATTTTTAGTAGAGACGGAATTCACTATGTTGGCCAGGCTGGTCTCGAACTCCTGCCCTCCGATGATCCACCCCCGCTCGGCCTCCCAAATCACCATGCCTGGGATTACAGGTGTGAACCATCGCACCCGGCCTGGCCACCCTATTTTAAACTGCAAACTTTTCCCCTTCAGTGCTTAGTTTTTCTCCACAGCATTATCACCATTTCATATAGTATATGTTTTTCTTCATACTGACTCCCCTTGGAGAAGGAAAACTCCACGAGAGCAAGGATTTTTGACAGTTTTTCATTGTTATTTCTTCAGTGCTTAGACATGCATCAGGCTCAAAGTAGATGCTCAATGTTTGTTGAATGAACAGCAAGAGCAATGGAGGAGTCCTGAAATACACAGCAAGAAGCAAGGATAATTCTGGCTTTACTTCTGTGGCCAGGGTCCTTCATCCCAACCTTTTAGAAGTAGAAAAACCAGATCGAGCTCCTCAGAACCCAGGTCGATGGCTGCAGAGCCTTCGACCTTCCGAGAGCGAATGGCGATCACTCTTTCCGGTTCTCCGTGAATTCCAGCTGGAACACCGTCCCTTTCCGCGCCCCAACTCAGCGGAGGCCATGCCCTGCACCTGAGCGCCCCGCTCCGGCAGCTGCACTCTGCAGCATCCGGAACGTTTCGGCGTGGCCGCAGGGCGCGGCGGAATGACTTCCGGGGCGCCCCTAAAGCGGCGGAGAGGAGTGTCGGGCGGAGTTTCCGGCTGAGAGTCCTTCTAGCGGCGCCGGTGAGTCCGCGTGTGGAAGTCTGTGAGGCGCAGAGGTGGGGCAGGCCGTCTGGCTAGCTAGGCGGCTGGGAGCGTTTTCGTGGCGGGGAACGGAGGTTGAATTGCCCTGCCTGGGCTCATAGGGAAGGAGGATGTGAAGGAGCTTGTGAAGGCAGAGGAAGGTAACTTTCGTCTGGGGAGCCGCAGAGTAGGGAGGGAAGCTGCAGGCCGTCTCTCCCTAAGTAAAAGCGCGACTTTTAGAAATGATGGTTCAGGGTTCGAGTTTGTGACCCGCTTGAGAAAGTGACCAACCTCTGAGCCTGAATCCCATACCTGAAAAACAAGGACAGTAATCACCCTTGCCAGTTTCACATAGCTTGGTAAGGTGTGAAGAAAAGCTTCTTAAATTGGGATGTTTGGTGCTCTCATTTGTTGGCAGATAGCATTCCGAGCTCATGTAACGGGAATCACACCAGTAGGCTTATGCTGAGGAACGTGGATTGTTTGGGGTTGGATTCCAGGAAACAGATCACTTAAAATTTTTTTTTTTTTCTTCGAGACGGAGTCTCGCCCTGTCGCCAGGCTGGAGCGCAGCGGCGCGATCTCGGCTCACTGCAACCTCCACCTCCCGGGTTCAAGCGATTCTCCTTCCTCAGCCTCCCGAGTAGCTGGAACTACAGGCGCGTGCCACCACGCCCAGCTAATTTTTGTATTTTCAGTAGAGACGGGGTTTCACCATGTTGGCTAGGATGGTCTTGATTTCTTGACCCCGTGATCCTCCCGCCTCGGCCTCCCACAGTGCTGGGATTACAGGTGTGAGCCACCCACCTGGCCTCGCTGATATTTTTAAGAAGAAAATGGACTGACGGGAAGTGACAGGCCATTGGAGATCTTTACAAAGTCCATCTTCAGGATGCATGAATCCTTTAAACAGCATGCATGTTTACAATCAGACTTCCCATTGAACGTCTGCAGTTTTAGGGACCTTAATACCTCCTGTCCAGTCGGATTTCCCATTGCAGGCAGCTCTAATTAAGAAGTCCTTTTAGCCGGGCGTGGTGACTCATGCCTGTAATCCCAACACTTTGGAGGACCGAGGTGGGCGGACCAGTTGTGGTCAGGAATTCGAGACCAGGCCTGGCCAACAGGCTGGTGAAACCCCGTCTCTACTAAAAATAAAAAGGTTAGCTGTGGTGGCGTGTGCCTTAATCTCAGCTATTCGGGAGACAGAAGAGACAGTAGAATCGCTTGAACCCTGGAGGCGGAGGTTGCAGTGAGCCGAGATTGCGTCACTGCACTCCAAGCTTGGGCGACAGAGCAAGACTCTTGTCTCAAAAAAAAAAGAAAAAAAAGAATTCCTTTGATATGGTCAGCCAAAAGTCTCTCAGTTGCTATTTACTTTTATATTTATAATATTTATTATATATTTGTAATTATTTTATTTATTTTGAGATAGGGTCTCACTCTGTCACCCAGTCTGTAGTGCAGTAGTGAACATAGTAGCCTCGACTCTCCTGGGCTCAAGTCATCCTCCCACTTTTGCTTCCCAAGTAGCTGGGACTCAAGTACTCGCCACCTCGCCCAGCTAATTTTTTGATGTTTTGTAGAGACAAGGTTATTGCCCAGGCTGATCTGAGCGCCTGAACTCAAGCAATCCTTTTGCCTTGGCCTCTCAAAGTGCTGGGATTACAGGTTTGAGCCACTGTGTGCCCTGCCAAGAATTTGAGTTTAAAAACGTTGAGAACGTTATGCGAGTTTTTCATTTTTAAAGTTCACAATACGTAACAGAAAACAGGGAGGAGCAAAATGTTCAGTTGAGGCTGGGTGTGGTGACTCACGCCTGTAATCCCAGCACTTTGGGAGGCCGAGGTGAGTGGGTCACCTGAGGTCAGGAGTTCGAGACCAGCCTGGCCACCATGGCAAAACCCCATTTCTACTAAAAACACAAAAGTTAGCCAGGTGTGGTGGTGGGCTCTTGTAATCCCAGCTACTCGGGAGGCTGAGGCAGGAGGATCACTTGAACTCGGAGGCGGAGGTTGCAGTGAGCCGAGATCGCGCCATTGCACTCCAGCCTGGGTGGTGAGTGAAACTCCGTCTTAAAACAAAAAAAGAAACAAAAATATTCTGTTTACAGGCAGATCACTTGAGGTCAGGAGTTTGAGATCAGCCTGGCAAGTCAGGTGAAACCCTGGCTCTACAAAAATATAAAACATGGCAAAACCCTGACTGTACTAAAAATACAAAAATTAGCTGGGCATGGTGGCACGCGCCTGCAATCCCAGCTCCTTGGGAGGCTGAGACAGGAGAATCACTTGAACCCGGGAGGTGGAGGTTGCAGTGAGCCACGAGGTGGTGGAGTTGGGAGGGAGATTGCATTGGGGAGGATGGAGGTGTGATGAGGACATTTATTTGTGCATGAATGAATGAATGACAGAGTCTCGCTCTCTCACCCAGGCTGGAGTGCAGTGGCACAACCTTGGCTCGCTCCAGTGTCTACCTGCCAGGTTCAAGTGATTCTCCTGCCTCAGCCTCCCGAGTAGCTGGGATTACAGGTGTGCACCACTAGGCCCTGCTGATTTTTGTATTTCTAGTGGAGACGGCATTTCACTATGTTGGCCAGCCTGGTCTTGAACTCCTGACCTGAAATGATCTGCTGGCCTCGGCCTCCCAAAGTGCTGGGATTACAGGATGAGCCACCGTGCCCGTTTCTCTCTCTCTCTTTCTTTCCTTTCTTTTCTTTCTTTTTTGAGGCAGGGTCTCATTCTGTTGCCCAGGCTGGAGTGCAGTGACCTGATCTCGGCTCACTGCAGCCTCCGTGCCTCCTGGGTTCAAGCAGTCCTCTTGTCTCAGCCTCCCCAGTAGCTGGGATTACAGGGGCCCGCTCCCACCAACCTCCTAGCTAATTTTCAAACTCCTGACCTCAAGTGATCACCTGCCTTAGTCTCCCAAAGTGCTAGAATTACAGATGTCAGCCATCATACCTGGCCTGGTTTTTTTTTTTTTTTTTTTTTGAGACGGAGTCTTGCTCTGTCACCCAGGCTGGAGTGAAGTGGCGTGACCTTGGCTCATTGCAGCTTCTGCCCTCCAGGTTCAAGGAATTCTCCTGCCTCAGCCTCCCTAGTAGCTGGGATTACAGGCACCTGCCACCATGCCCAACTAATTTATGTATTTTTAGTAGAGACGGGTGTTGCCATGTTGGCCTGACTGGTCTCGAACTCCTGACCTCAGGTGATCCGCACCTTGTCCTCTCAAAAGTGCAGGGATTACAGGGATGGAGCCGCTGCACCTGGCCCTGGCCTGTGTTTGTTTGTTTTGTTTTGTTTTCAACTTTTATTTTCACGGAGTACGTGTGCATGTTGGTTACATGGATAAATTGCTTGTTGTTGAGGTTTGGTATACAAATGATCCCGTCACCCTGGTAGTAAACATAGTACCTGATAGGCAGTTTTTCAACCCTCACTCTCTCCCATCCTTCCCTGTCTAATAGTCTCCAATGTCTGTTGTTCTCATCGTTATGTCCACGTGTACTCAGTGTTTAGTTTCCACTCGTAAATGAGAACATGCCGTCTTTGGTTTTCTGTTGCTGTTTTTTTTTAGGCCAGAGTGCAGTGGCACGATCTCGGCTCACTGCAACCTCTCTGCCTTCCGGGTTCAAGCAATTCTCCTGCCTCAGCCTCCTGAGTAGATGGGATTACAGGTGCTCGCCACCACATCTGGCTAATTTTTTTCTATTTTTAGTAGAGACAGGGTTTCACCATGTTGGCCAGGCTGGTTTCAAACTCCTGACCTCAGGTGATCCACTTGCCTTGGCCTCCCAAGTGCTAGGATTACAGGCGTGAGCCATTGCGTTGGGCCTCTGTTCGTGTTAATTCAATGAGGATAATGGCCTCCAGCTGTATCCATGTTGCTGCAAAAGACAGGATTTCATTGTGTTTTTTTTTCGTTGTTTTTTTGGCTGCTAGTATTCCATGATATATTACGTACCACATTTTCTTTATCCAGTCCACCATTTATGAGCATCTAAGTTGATTTGATGTCTTTGCTATTTTGGATAGTGCTGTGATTAATATGAGTGCTCTTGTACTTTTGGTAGAATGGTTTTATTTTCCTTTGGGTTTATACCCAGTATTGGGATTGTTGGATCGACATACATGTGTCCAATAAATATATGAAAAAATGTTCAACATCACTGATCATTAGAGAAATGCAAACCAAAACCACAATGTAAATCAAAACCACAAACCCATCTCACCACCAGTTAGAATGGATATTATTAAAAAGTCAAAAAATAACAGATGTTGGCAAGGTTGTGAAGAAAAGGGAATGCTTATCCACTGTTGGTAGGAATGTAAATTAGTTCAGCCACTATGGAAAGCAGTTTGGAGATGTCTCAAAGAACTATGTTTAATTTTGTGTCCTTTTTTTTTGAATTATGAGCTATAGCATTTACCCATTTATAAATAATAAATGTGATTTAAAAACTTTTGATTATGAGAAAACTGAGACATACACAGAGAGATAGTACAATGAATCACATGTCACTCAGCTATAATAGTTCAACTACGCCCATACTGACTCCTCACAAGTCTACAGTTTGTCATGTGACACATCTATAAAGCATTTTTGTTCTTTTACAAATCGTAAAAAGACGCTTATTTTTATTGGTACCAAGTTTGTGTATAAGTTCATATTATTTCTTGGAAATGAGAAATGGAGTTCTATGAAGATTTTTAAGACAATTATTGAGTAAAATACAAAGAATAAGATGACCTGGCATTCCATTTTTTTTTACTTTATATATGTGTCTAATTTTCAAATTTAATTGGATGAATTTTGTAACAAACATCTTTAGATAACTTACATTCTAATGGTTTTTACAGATTATTGAATAATAAAATACAGTTTTGAAAAAAATGGATGAAGAACCTGAAAGAACTAAGCGATGGGAAGGAGGCTATGAAAGAACATGGTAAGGAGAGCTTTATTGCCCTGTCTTTTCTTTTAGACAATGTCTTTTTTTTTCTTTACAACTTTATTAAAGTATATTTTACATATGTTAAAATTCACCCATTTCCAATGTACAATTCAGTGATGTTTTATTAATAATTTACTGAGCTGTGCAGCCATTATCATAAACCAGTTTTAGAATATTGTAACCACTCCAGTAAGATCCTTCACATTCATTTACAATTAATTTAAATCTTAATTTAATTCCACCTGTGGGCAATCATTAGTCTACTTTTTGTCTCCAAATTTTAACCTTTTCTGGACATTTCACAAAAATGTGATCATATACAATCATGTGCCACATAATGATGTTTTGGTCAAAGACAGACTGCATATATGACAATGGTCCCATAATATTATAATACTGTATTTTTACTCTACCTTTTCTATGTATGTTTAGATATACAAATACTGACCATTGTGTTACAGTTGTCTTAAGATATTCAGTATAGTAACGTGCTGTACAGGTTTGTAACCTAGGCGTGGGATAGGCTATACCATCTAGGTTTGTGTAAGTATACCCTGTGATATTCACACAATAATGAAATTGCCTAACAATGCATTTCTCAGAATGTATCCCTGTCAGTAAGCGATGCATGACTATAATAGTTGGTCTGTTGTGGCTGGCTTTCACTTATTTTTAAGACTCATCCATGATGCAGTGTGTATTAATACTTCATTCCTTTTTTATTGCTGAATAGTATTCCCATCTATGGTTATGCCACATTATTGTTTATCCATTCACTAGTCTGTGGATATTTAGGTTCTTTACAGTTTTTGACTGTTAGGAAAATGCAGCCATGAACACTTACATGCAAATCTTTGTGTGGACATATATTTTCATTTCATTTGGGCTAGTAATCATTTTAGCTTGTCTTTTCAAACAAATAATTATGACTTATAGGGAGATTCTTAAAGAAGATGAATCTGGATCACTTAAAGCTACAATAGAAGACATTCTATTCAAGGCAAAGAGAAAAAGGTATGTAACCTTCCTATGTATCTTAAAAAGGTAAAATATATTCATTTTAAGCCTTTCTATCTATAAATACTCCTCAGTACTTCATTTTAGCTGTGTTTCAGGGTAACTGACCTATTGCCTTCTGACTATGGGGAAAGAACTAGCCACCTACCCTTGCCCCAGCAGGAAATGGTCTTTAGAGACTGTCTACAATACCTATAATTGTGTGTATTGTATTCCATAAGTTAATTATTTACTCCACTAAAAATGCACGTTATGACATTCTTACTCAGAATTAGAAAAAAAGAAAAACAAAGGAGGTCAATTGGAAAGTTGTATTTTTTTTGTGGGGGGGGATAGTATATGGAATTACATTAAAATGTTTGTATAATTTTAACAGAGTATTTGAGCACCATGGACAAGTTCGACTTGGAATGGTATGTCATTATTTTTTCTTTTACTAGTACAGAACTAGTTTAGGTTAGAGAAACATTCTGTCTTGCTAGAAAAAACAATAGCAAAACAACAAAGTTTTTAAAAGAATATGTTAAAAATACGTGCATAGAATATGTAATTATTAAATGCCATTTTTACTAGTCAAAATGGCACTTGAGGCTGGGCACAGTGGCTCATGCCTATAATCCCAGCACTTTGGGAGGCCAAGGCAGGAGGATTGCTTGAGCCCAGGAGTTTGAGACCAACCTGGGCAACAGAACGAGACCCAGTTTCTACAAAACAAAACAAGTACTTGAAATTGGCCCTTTCTTTTTTCCGATAGATGCGCCACCTTTATGTGGTAGTAGATGGATCAAGAACAATGGAAGACCAAGATTTAAAGCCTAATAGACTGACGTGTACTTTAAAGGTAAAATTTAAGTTTATACTAAATCATTTAAATTTGTACCAAAATCACTTAAACTTTTACTAAAAAAGTGGGGAAGAACACTGGATTCTAAAGGATATTTTTAAAGAATGCAATATTTTTTATTTTTTGCCTTGTATTTTTAGTTAATGCTAATGATAGCTAAGTAGAAGTACTGCCAGGTTATTTAGGGAAATTTTAAACCAACATAGCTAATTATTTGTGTTTTTAATTTCTATCCTCCCACCCCACATCAGGATCTTGGTTTATCAGTTATCCCTTTTCTTTCTTGAATCTTCATTCTCCTTTGCCTTACTTAACTCTGTCTCCTCAGATTACAAATATGTTCGTATTCCTAATTTATCAAAACCTATTCTCAATTCTGCTCGTTCTCCCATCTCTCTTCATTGGATCTTTTCCTCATTGAAATTTCTTCTGACACATCCAAATGGTTCCATCTTTTAAAACCTAGCTCAAACCTGTCTCATCACCCACCATTTCAAATTAACGTTTTTACTGTTTAATATTTTTATTACTTAACAGTTTTTGAAAATCTGTAAGTTTAAAAGTCATGAGAAGTGACGCTTGATTAACAGGTTTCACAAACATCAGTTGGACGTGTTCTTTATGATTGTTATTTTGCCTTTATCTAGTATGTCTTTTTTTGTTTAAACAGTTGTTGGAATACTTTGTAGAGGAATATTTTGATCAAAATCCTATTAGTCAGGTACGTATCTAAGTGATAGAATTCAGAATTAGATTCCTATTTTGCTTCCAAATGTAATTTATTTTTAAAAATTGGACATGTATTTTGTGAATTACCCAAATTGTTTAACCAGTTTCTGGTATACTTAAAAATGAAAAGCGTAATAACTCTAAAAGTTAAACGTAATGTGAACTCATAGCTAAATTTATTTGCCAAAAACAGCATGAGAAAAAGTTTCTCACCTGTTGCTTCTTTCTTTTGTAATTACTAGTTTATTTTAGCTATATAAATTATTTTTTTTTCTGCTCCAATATCATCTACAGGAATAGTTATATATATTCTTAATGGGAGGAAATAACTTGT
The DNA here is from genome assembly GCF_000001405.40 of Homo sapiens. NCBI lineage: Eukaryota > Metazoa > Chordata > Mammalia > Primates > Hominidae > Homo > Homo sapiens. The sequence goes on from NW_003315917.2 coordinate 351,069, forward strand.
TATATTAATAATAATTTTTGTTTTTATTTCAAGATTGGAATAATTGTAACTAAGAGTAAAAGAGCTGAAAAATTGACTGAACTTTCAGGTATGCATAAAATTACCTTTACATGACTCAAGGACTTTGCTTTATTTACCCAACCTCGTAGCCCTGTTTATATGGCTGCTTAATAAGTAACGTGAAGGGTGGTTCCTCTGTCTTCTCTAGGTGAAACAATTTAATAACATCTCCCCCACCATTATATTCTTAGGATACAAGGTTAACTATTCTAAATTGAGTTCTGCGTAGTGGTAAATAATACTACATTGAATATAAATGTTTTTATTTAAAATCTATATGTGCTTATCCTGAAATTTTTTTTCTTTCCTTTTTTTTTTTTTTTTTTTGGAGATGGAGTCTTGCTCTGTCGCCAGGCTAGAGTGCAGTGGCACAATTTCGGATCACTGCAAAGTCCGCCTCACGGGTTCAAGCGATTCCCTGCCTCAGCCTCCTGAGTAGCTGGAACTACAGATGCCCGCCACCACGCCCTGCTAATTTTTTGTATTTTAGTAGATACGGGGTTTCACCATGTTGGCCAGTATGGTCTCAATCTCTTGACCTTGTGATCAGCCCGCCTCAGCCTCTCAAAGTGCTGGGATTACAGGCTTGAGCCACCGCATCCGGCCTTATCCTGAAAATATTAAAATACAGTTATTGTAATCATTTATAAAATCCAGTTAATCTTAAAATTAAATTCTTAGAAAGTTAAGCATCTAATTTAAAAGGGAAAAAGTATAAAAATTAAACTGTAGCTATTGCTAATGAATCAATTTTTCTGCTTCCATGACATACCTAACTGAATTTTAGTTTCAAAACGTAGTAATGGCATTTTTTATTTGCTTTGGTATATATGCTGTTACAAATTTGCATCACTGATTCTATTTTATTTTCTGTGAAATACACTCTCCCTTAAATCTGGTTTTCAACCTTTTATCCTTGCCGGCACACATAAGGGAAATGACATACTTTCTTCATTAGTAGTTTTTCATTAAATGCAGTGAGGAGTGAAATGTACATTGGCCTGGAGTGATTCAAGAAACTCAGTTGTGAGTAACCAAAAGAATGTCACACTAGCTTAAGTGCAGAAGGAAAATTTTGGGCTATGTTCAAAGGTGGGCCAATTCCATATATAGTTGCTGCATATGTTGGGGTCCTGGCTTTGTCTGGCTTCATTCTCTGATAGATTTTCTGGAAGTTGAAAAGATGTCTCTTAATTGTCCCAGTCTACATTGTACCCGTAGCCTATAGCTTCAGCACACGTCTAGGGAGAACTCTGATTGGCCTGAGTTACGATCTGCCCATCCATGAACAAAGTGGCCAGGAAATGAAGTATTTTGTTTGTACGCTTCGATTGCCTGCTGATGCCCAGAGCAGGATAGAAGTAGGGTCAGCACCACATGAACTAAGCAGGATTATTATATAGTGGAAGAAGGATGGTTCCTCCAAGGTAGGAATATAAGGTCAATATTTTCCTCTCACTTTACCCACCCCGAGTTACCAGCAGTTTTCTATTACTTCTTTTTTTTTTTTTTTTTTGAGAAGGAGTCTCTCACTCTGTCGCCCAGGCGGTGCTGTCTTGGCTCACTGCAACCTCCGCCTCCCGGGTTCAAGTGATTCTCCTGCCTCCCCCTCCCGAGTAGCTGGGATTACAGGTGTGCGCTGCCACACCTGGCTAATTTTATTTTTAGTAGAGACAGGATTTCACCATGCTGGCCAGGCTGATCTCGAACTCCTGACCTCAGGTGATCTACCCACCTCAGCCTCCCAAAGTGTTGGGATTACAGGCATCAGCCACCATGCCCGGCCCCAGCAGTTTTCTATGGATGTTAGTGAAGTCATGTATAAAGATGAAAAATATTCTGGAGATTCTGACAGGCCTCTTGAAGCCACCTTTTTTTCCCTCCAATCAGACCACTGCTGTAAACCACACTGACACTATTGTAGTATGCTTTTTTCCTATACCCATAACACAGTGGGAGATTAAAAATAATTTTGTAGGGTAGGAAGAGAAGTGGATAGAGAGCCAGGAGATCTAGGTTTGGGTGCTGCTGGTCCTGCAGTTAAGCAGGCATATGTCTTTGGGCAAGTCATTTCACTTGTTTAGATTAATTTTCTCACTTATGAAGTGAGGGATTTGGACTGCTTAGCGAGGTACTTTTCATCTCTAAAATTTATGAATCTAAAATACTTGCAGTAAATATTAAATATTACAAATGGTTAATATTTTAAAACTTACTCAGATGAGTAAAAACTCAAGGGAGCTCCAAGTTGATGAATAGACAAAGAAGACATGATTCACACAGAAGAAACCCAGAAATTAAATCAGGGAAACTAGTAATCCAAAAAAACTCCACCCAATTACATAACATTTTATTTTTTAATATATTTTAAATGAGCAAAATTAAGTTTCCAAAGCAATATGTTGCTTGTGGAACCACAGAGAAACTGTTATTTATAGTGCTGATAGTCTTACAAATTAGTTCAATATTTTTTAGAAAAGCATAAAAATTGTTCCTGAAATTATATTTAGGGAATGTTATGGAAGGAGAATGATCACTCTACAAAGATACTCTTTGTAACATTATGTATAATAGTGACAGATTAAAAATTAAATGTTTAATAGTATGCTTTGATGGATTATATTTTATGACAAAATCAATTTAATGATACTTAGGTTATTGATTGATACGAAGACAGTGCTGAAATGGAAAATGTTTACGGAATACTATATTTCATTGAAACTCAGATTCCATCAATTACAAGATACTTTTATAAGCCATTAAGAAGGAAAAGTCCTAGTAGTTAAACTTTGACACAGTATCAAATGATATATGAGTTGGCTATACTAGCTTCTTGGTAATTTGACATGTACAGACATCTCAAATTTGGGGGCCAGGCGTGGTGACTTACACCTGTACTCCCAGCACTTTGAGAGGCTGAGGCGGGAGGATTGCTTGAATCCAGGAGTTCAGGACTAGCCTGGACAACATGGTGAAACCCTGTCTCTACCAAAAATATACAAAAAAATTTAGCCAAGTGTGGTGCTGGGCACTTGTAGTCCCAGCTACTTGGGAGGTTGAGGTGGGAGGATGGTTTGAGCCTGGGAGGTGGAAGTTGCATTGAGCCAAAATTGCCCCATTGCACTCCAGCCTGGCAACAGATATATATATAATCTAAATATAAATAATATAAAAAAATATTATATTAAAAAGAAAAAAAAGGATTTGGCAGCTTCTCCCCCCTTCATTTGAATTGCTTAGCATAAGATAGACAATCTTTTCAGATGCTATTTGGTAAGATAACACAGCTTCGTCTGTTTGTGGGAATATTCGTTTCTTAGGTCTTGTAAAGTTCTTGATTTCTTCCCTCAAGAAAAATACGGAATTGCATGCATTCTTCCATCAATATTTGATTCATTATAATAAATTTATGCCTCACTGCTGTGTTCCACACCTTTCTACATAAAAATATAGCCTTTTGTATTAACAACATTTCTAAAAACATTTTATTGTTTGTTTTTTGAGATGGAGTTTCGCTGTTGTTGCCCAGGCTGGAGTGCAGTGGTGCAATCTCAGCTCACTGCAACCTCCACCTTCTGGGTTTAAGTGATTCTTGTGCCTCAGCCTCCCTAGTGGCTGGGATTACAGGTGTATGCCACCATACCCAGCTAATTTTTGCATTTTTACTACAGATGGGATTTACACCATGTTGACCAGGTGTGTCTTAAACTCCTGACCTCAGGTTATCTGCCTGCCGTGGTCTCCCAGAGTGCTGGGATTACAGGCGTGAGCCACCGCGCCTGGCCTTAAAAACATTTTAAATGGCAGTTAAACTCACCATGAAGAGGACAATGTACATAATGCAATTGAAGCAACAACATATGAAGACCTATTTGTAGGTTCACATATGAACAGGCAAAGACTATGTTACAAGTGCTGCTGGCTACCAGTGATTATTAAACACATGCTGATTTCAGAGATGTTAAATGTGAAAATGTATTGGTCTTAAAAATGATGAAATATGGAAATATTAAGAGTAAAAAAATGCACTCTAGGTTAGCATTATTTTAAAATATGTATGCTAGTCTATAAGGAGATTATTTGTATTCTGTTTTTCAGTATGAAGTGAGAGTGTTTACAAAATATTGCAGATAAAATTCCAACAGAAATATACATTGAAAGGATTCTGTTCTTTAACATCATAGATATGTAAATTTTGAGAGAAACATAAACTTTTTTAATATATAGGATTTTATTTAAAGATCTTATTTCTATTTTAGGAAACCCAAGAAAACATATAACGTCTTTGAAGAAAGCTGTGGATATGACCTGCCATGGAGAGCCATCTCTTTATAATTCCCTAAGCATAGCTATGCAGACTCTAAAGTTAGTATTATACATTATGTATAATTGAATTAGAAGTTTTTTAAATGAGTTAAGCTGAAGTGATGTGTTAATATGGGGCCCATAAACCCAGCTATAACAAAATTGTTAAGTACAAGAATTATGTAGTGTTATTTATGATGTTTAGTGTGGTGTTGGTTAGTAATCTTTATTTTACATTTTAGTAAGATATTGTTAAAGGTTTTATAAAAATATAATTTAAAACTGTCGGCAGTATCAATAGTACAAAAATATGTTGATGAAAAAATATTTTATTAAAATGAGATTTAATATAGTATAATAATTGTAAGTTGGTTGTACCTTTATTAACATTTATTAATTTATTTTGAAAGTAATGGCCAAAACCACAGTTCCTTTTGCACCAATGTCATATATCTGTAAATTAATAGATATGGCAAGTTCAGCTATATGGAATAGAGCTAAGACCCCAAAGGAAATACTTGGTATAGTTAAAGCTTATATATATATATAAGCTTTATATACATATTATATATATAATTTATTATACATATATATATAAAGCTTATATATATGTTAAACTTACATATATAAGTTAAAGCTTATATATCTATTATATATACACACACACACACACACACACACACACACACACACACACACACGTATATATATATTTTTTTTCGAGACAGAGTCTTGCTCTGTCACCCAGGCTGGCATGCAGTGGCGTGATCTCAGCTCACTACAACCTCCACCTCTGGGTTCAAGTGATTCTTGTGCCTCAGCCTCCCTAGTGCTGGGATTACAGGTGTGTGCCACCATGCCCAGCCAATTTTTGTATTTTTAGTACAGATGGGGTTTCACCATGTTAGCCAGGCTGGTCTTGAACTCCTGGCCTCAAGCGATCCGCCCACCTCAGCCTCCCTAAAGCTTATATATTTTATCTCTGGATAGTCCGCCCTGGCTCAGACTTATACCTTTATATAATAGATATTTTTCTAGTTTTGAAGTGGATGAGAAGGAGGCAACACATGTAATAGAGGTAAGTACAGTAGCAGGGTCTACCAGTGAGAGCTGAGAAGATAACAATGAAAATATAAGCAGGAAAGCTATAACTAACTGATAAAATTGCTGCAGAAAGCATAAAAAGGTCTATTTAGTGTAGGTGAAAACTGGTCACCACAACTTAAAAATCTACAAGCTATCATTTTAATTAAATGGTATGCAATATTAATGTTCATGATTATTATGACTCTGAATTACTGTGAGGTTAAATTATAGTAATCCCCCCTTATCTGCAGTTTCACTTTCCAGTTTTAGTTACTCTTGGTCTGAAAATATTAAATTGAAAACTTCAGTAATAAATAATTCATAAGATTTAAGTTGTGTGCCATTCTGGGTAGCGTGATGAGATCCTACACCTTCCCTCTCTGTCCTGCCCAGGACGTGAATCATCCCTTGGTCCTGTAGATCCTCACAGTATATGCTGCCCACCCATGTAATGGCCTAAGTCATCAGATTAACTGTTGTTATTGACTGTCAAAACTATTGCAGTGTTTGTGTTATTTTACTTAATAATGACCTCAAAGTGCAGGAGTAGTGATGCCGGCATGTTGTTATAAATGTTCCATTATTAGTTATTGTTGTTAATCTCTTATTGTGCCTAATTTATACATTATTGATCATAGGTGTGTATGTAAGGCACACCTCATTTTGTTGCACTTTTATTGCACTTTTCAGATAACTTTTTTTTTTACAAACTGACAGTTTATGGCAACTCTGTTGAGCAAGTCTGTTGGTGCCATTTTTTTTTAACAGCATGTGCTCACTTCTTGCCTCTATATCACACTTTGGTAGTTCTTGCAATATTTCAAGCTTTGTAAATTATTGTTATATCTGTTATGGTGATCTGTGATCAGTGATCTTTGATGTTACTATTGTAATTATTTTAGGGCACCACAAACTGCGCCCATATAAGACAACAGACTTAATTGATAAGTGTTACGTGTGTTCTGAGTGCTCCACCAACTGGCTGTTTTCCAGTCTCTCTCCCTCTGTTCGGCCCCCCCATCTCCTAAGACACAAAAATATTCAAATTACACCAATAATAACCCTCCAGTGGCCTCTGAGTGTTCAAGAGTAAGGAGGAGTCGCATGTCTCACTTTAAATCAAAAGCTAGAAATGATTGAGCTTAGTGAGGAAGGCATGTCAAAATGCAAGACTGGCTGAAGGCTAGGTCTCTTGTGCTAAACACTTAGTCACATTGTGAATGCAAAGGTAAAGTTCTTGAAGGAAATTGAAAGTGCTGGGCTGTGCGTGGTGGCTCTTACCTGTAACTGCAACACTTTGGGAGGCTAAGATGGGAGGATCACCTGAGGCCATGAGTTTGAGACCAGTCCTGGTAACATAGCAAGACCTCCACCTCTACAAAAAAAAAAAAAAAAAAAAAAAAAAACAATTAGCCAGGCACAGTGGCGAGCACCTGTATGTAGTCCCTAACTTCTCAGGAGGCTGAGGCAGGAGGATTGAGCCCAGTAGTTTGAGGCTGCAGTGAGCTACGATTGTGCTACTGTACTCCAGCTTGTATGATAGAGCAAGATCCTGTCTCAAAATAAGAAAAAAATAATGGAAATTCAAAGTGCTGCTTCAGTGGACACATGAATGATAAGAAAGTGAAACAGCTTTATTGCTGATACAGACAAAGTTTTAATGGTCTAGATAGAAGATTAAAGTAGCCACAACAGTCCATTAAGTCAAATCCTAATCCAAAGCAAGGCTCTAATTCTCTTCAATTCTATGAAGGCTGAGAGCAGTGAGGAAGCTGCAGAAGAAAAGTTTGAAGCTAACAGAGCTGAGCTCATGAGGTTAATGAAAGAAGCCATCTCCAAAACATAAAAGTGTAAGAGGGGCTGGGCGCGGTGGCTCACGCCTGTCATCCCAGCACTTTGGGAGGCCAAGGTGGGCAGATCATGAGGTCAGGAGTTCAAGACCAGTCTGGCCAACATAGTGAAACCCTGTCTCTACTAAAAATACAAAAAATTAGCCAGGTGTGGTGGTGTGCGCCTATAATCCCAGCTACTCGGGAGGCTGAGGCAGGAGAATCGCATGAACCCAGGAGGCAGAGGTTGCAGTGAGCCGAGATCGCGCCATTGCACTTTAGCCCAGACAACACTGTGAGACTCCGTCTCAAAATAAAGAAAAAAAAAGTGCAAGAGGAAGCAGCAAGTGCTGATGTAGAAGCTGCAGCAAGTTATCCAGAAGATCTAGCTAAAATAATTGATGAAGGTGACTACACTAAATATCAAATTTTCTTTTTCTTTTTTGTTTTTGAGAGAGAGTCTCGCTCTGTCACCCAGGTTAGAGTGCAGTGGTGCAATCATGGATCACTGCAGCCTCAAACTCCCAGGCTCAAGCTATTCTCCCAGCCCCACAAGTAGCAGGGACTACAGGCATGTGCCACCACACCCAGCTAATTTTTGTTGTTGTTGTTGTTGTAGAGGTAGGGTTTCGCCACATTGCCCAGCTGGTCTTGAACTCCTGGGCTCAAGCAGTCCTCCGCCTCTGCCTCCCAAAGTGCTGGGATTACAAGCATGAGCCACTGCACCTGGCCTCATATTTTCAATGTAAATGAAACAGCCTTCTGTTGGAAGAAGATGCCATCTAGGATTTTCATAGCTAGAAGAAGTGAATGCCTGGTTTCAGAGCTTCATGGGATAGGCTTCTTCTCTTGTTAGGGGCTAATACAGCTGGTGACTTGATGTTGGCACCAATGTTTGTTACCATTCTGAAAATCCTAGAGTCCTTAAGAATTATTCTAAATCTATTCAGTCTGTGCTCTGCAAATGGAATAACAAAGCCCAGATAACAGCACATCTGTTTACAGCATGGGCTTACTGAATATTTTAAGCCCATTGTTGAGATATATCTCAGAAAAAAGATTTATTTCAAAATATTATTGCTCATTGACAATGCACCCAGTCACCCAAGAGCTCTAATTGAGATGTACAAGAAGATTAATGTTATTTTCATATCTACTAACATAGCACTCATTCTGCAACCCTTGGATAAAGGAATACTTTGAACTTTCACGTCTTGATTATTTAAGAAATACATATCATAAGGCTGTGACTGCCATAGATGGATCTGAGCAAAGTACATTGAAAACCTTCTGGAAAGAATTCACCATTCTAAATGCCATTCATAGAAAGAGGTCAAAATATCTACACTGGCTGGGCATGGTGGCTCATGCCTGTAATCCCAGCACATTGGGAGGCCGAGGCGGGTGGATCACTTGAGGTCAGGAGTTCAAGACTAGTCTGGCCAACATGGTGAAACCCCGTCCTCACTAAAAATACAAAAATTATCTGGGCATGGTGGTGCATGCCTGTAATCCCAGCTACTGGGGAGGCTAAGGCAGGAGAATTGCTTGAACCCAGGAGGCAGAGGTTGCAGTGAGCCGAGATCGCACCACTGCACTCCAGCCTGGGTGTCAGAGCAAGAATCAGTCTCAAAACAAAAAAAGAATAGCCCATAAACTTAGTTGGTAAAGCATCAGTGGGGTTTCAAAGGAATGACTCCCATTTTGAAAGAGGTACTACTATGAATAAAATGCTACCAAACAGCATTTGCATTCCTTTCATGAAAGGAAGAGTTGACCCATGTAACAAACTACTTTGTCTTATTTTAAGAAATTGCCATAGCCACCTCACCCTTCAGAAAGCACCACTCTGATCAGTCAGCAGCCATCAATATCAAGGCAAGACTCTCCTTCAACAAAAAGATATTATTCACTGACAGTTCAGTCGATTTTTAGCAATAAAGTATTTTTCATAAAGGTGTGTACTTTTTTTTTTAGATATAATGCTGTTGCACACTTACTAGACTACAGTATAGTGTAAACAGAACTTTTCTTTTTCTTTCTTTTTTTTTTTTTTGAGACGGAGTCTCGCTCTGTCGCCCAGGCTGGAGTGCAGTGGCGCAATCTTGGCTCACTGTAAGCTCCGCCTCCTGGGTTCACACCATTCTCCTGCCACCACGTCCGGCTCATTTTTTTGTATTTTTAGTAGAGACGGGGTTTCACCGTGTTAGCCAGGATGGTCTCGATCTCCTGACCTCGTGATGTGCCCGCTTCAGCCTCCCAAAGTGCTGGGAATACAGGCGTGAGTCACCATCCCTGGCCGTAAACAGAACTTTTATATACACTAGGAAACCTGAAAGTTCATGTGACTTGCTTTATTGCAAATATTTATTGTGATATTTGCTTTATTGCTGCGGTCTGGAATCCAACCCTGCAGTATCTCCAAGGTATGCCTGTATAGGGAAAAACATGGTATAATCAGCCCTCTGAATCCTGGGTTCTGCTTCTGTGAATTCGATCAACCACGCATCAAAAATTTTTGGAAAAAAATTGTACCTGTACTGAACAAATAGACATTTTTTCTTGCCATTATCCCCTAAATAATAGAGGATAACAATTACTTACATAGTATACATTGTATTAGGTATTATCAATAATCTAGAGATGACTTAAAATATATGGGAGGATGTACATAGGTTATATGCAAATACTACGCCCTTTTGTATCTGGGACTTGAACATCTGCAGATTTTGGTATCCATAGGAGGGCCTGAAATCAATCCCCCAAGGATACCGAAGAACGACTGTATATATAGGGTTCAGTACTATCCTTGATTTCAGGTATCCACTGGGGGTCTTGGAATGTATCCTCTGCAGATAAGAGGGGACTACTATAGTCTTTGAGAAAGAAGTGTGTGTTACTGTTTTGAAGCCACATCTCTGCACTTTAAAGCTGATCCATATGATATTGCCACATTTTAGTTTAAAGTTTATCCATATATTGTTGTATTTTTTATTGTATACTCTAGACTTTGTATGAAACAAACCTACTAGAATGTAAGCTTAATGATGTCGGGAACATTGTCAGTCTTGTTTATCACTCTACCCCCAGAACTTGAGAGTACTTGGTAAATATTAAATGAATCAATTAACAATTTTTTGAAGTGCATAGCTCATTTTAGAAAAATTTGCATTAAAGTGTTTAAAATATACTCACAACCTTTCTTTGCATTGTTGAAACAAATGAGATATTCTATAGTCTAAATGTGTAATCCTATGTTTACTGTTCTTTCTGGGTAAATTTTTTGGTAGTATAATTTGTTGTACCTAATTGGAGTGTATTTTATCTTTCTTTTAAGACACATGCCTGGACATACAAGTCGAGAAGTACTAATCATCTTTAGCAGCCTTACAACTTGCGATCCATCTAATATTTATGATCTAATCAAGGTAGACCAAAAAATCAAAACCAAAGTTATAACTGTAAAGAGAATTCTGTAGCAAATTGATTTATATATATATGTATTTTTGTATGTGTGATTCATCTTTGTGGTAGATGTATTGAATTTATTACTAGTTTTCAGAGCATTCTTTATTTTTCAAATACATTAAATCTTAAATGTTTTTCTTCTTTCCTAAAACTATCTATCTACTTGGATTTTATGAAGACCCTAAAGGCAGCTAAAATTAGAGTATCTGTTATTGGATTGTCTGCAGAAGTTCGCGTTTGCACTGTACTTGCTCGTGAAACTGGTGGTATATATATAATTTATTTAATATTTGCTTATAATTACTGTGTAGGAAATAATTTATTAATTAAATTAGGATGTTTTAATCTGTTCTGAGCTACTAAACTTAAAGTAGTCTAAAATATGGGCAGTCATCTTAAATATATCATTGATTCCATAAGAAATCATCTCCAAATGCAAAGAGTTTTCAGTACTTATGTCAGTATTTAGAGGAGGTATTATAACTCTTGGAAAGCTGGAAATTTTACTGTATGTAATTCTTTATAAAGATTTTATAACTTGTCTTTAATTAAATTGTAATTACAGGCCAGGCATGATAGCTCATGCCTGTAATCTCAACATTTTGGTAGGCCAAGGCAGGAGAATCACTTGAGGCCAGAAGTTTGAGATCAGTCTGGTTAACATAGTGAGACCTGTCTCTATTTATATGTTAAAATAATAATAGTAGTAATAATAATCAATTGTAATTATAGTTATTCCTAGAGAAGTTGATTTAGATATATTACTTAAATAAGGTTTTAAAAGTGATAATTTAGCTAAAATCATTATTTTAAAAATGTACATTTTCAGATGATACAACTTTTACAGAATTACGTAGAACGTACAGTTCGTTATGTCTATGAAGGTGTTTTTTTTTCCCTTTTCATCTTGTTAGGCACGTACCATGTTATTTTAGATGAAAGCCATTACAAAGAGTTGCTCACACATCATGTTAGTCCTCCTCCTGCTAGCTCAAGTTCTGAATGCTCACTTATTCGTATGGGTAAGTGTTTTTATGTTTTTAAAAAATACATATCTAGGCTCTCTATTTTCATTTGCACAAGTTATTTTAATATTTAAGAATTTTTAAAGAAAAAATATGCTTGTTGAAGCAATTTTGGAAAGTACAGAGAAGTGGAAAAAAAAAATTAAAACTACCAGTAGTCCTGTCACCCAGAAAATACTGTTGGCTTTCTTTATTTTTAAGGCTAGAAAGGTATAAACTGTGTTTATAGAAAAATACTTATATTAAGCCGGGCTCGGTGGCTCACGCCTGTAATCCCAGCACTTTGGGAGGCCGAGGTGGGCGGATCTTGAGGTCAGGAGATCGAGACCATCCTGGCTAACACGGTGAAACCCCATCTCTACTAAAAATACAAAAAATTAGCCAGGCGTGGTGGCGGGCGCCTGTAATCCCAGCTCCTCGGGAGGCTGAGGCAGGAGAATGGCATGAACCCGGGAGGCAGAGCTGGCAATGAGCCAAGATCACACCACTGCACTCTAGCCTGGGCGACAGAGCGAGACTCTGTCTCAAAAAAGAAAACAAAAGAAAAACACTTATATTAAAAATTTTTTAAAATAAGCTACAAAGTCCGGGCGTGGTGGCTCATGCCTGTAATCCTAGCACTTTGGGAGGCCGAGGCTAGCGGATCACCTGAGGTCAGGAGTTTGAGACCACCCTAGCCAACATGGCGAAACCCTGTCTCTACTAAAAATTACCAAAAAATGGCTGGGCATGGTGGCAGACATCTGTAATCCCAGCTACTCAGGAGGTTGAGACAGGAGAATTGCCTGAACTCAGGAAGCGGAGGTTGCCATGAGCTGAGATTGCGCCACTGCACTCCAGTCTGGGTGACAGAGCAAGACTCTGTCTCAAAAAAATAAAATAAAATAAAAATAAAATAAGCTACAAAATTCTCTGTACTGGATGATCAAAGCTGTGTAATGCAAACTGTGCAAAGACAAAGCTTGCAGGGAAGTACACCAAATTGCTCAAAGGAGGGGAAATTATTGGTTTTGGATCACTTTTTTTTTTCTTTTTTTTTTTTGAGATGGAGTCTCATTCTATTTCCTAGGCTGGAAGTGCAGTGGTGCGATCTCAGCTCACACTGCAACCTCCGCTTCCCAGGTTCAAGCAATTCTCCTGCCTCAGCCTCCCGAGTAGCTGGGATTACAGGCGGGCACCACCATGCCCAGCTAATTTTTGTATTTTTAGTAGAGACGGGGTTTCACCATGTTGGCCAGGCTTGTCTTGAACTTCTGACCTCATGATCCGCCCGCCTCGGCCTCCCAGAGTGCTGGGATTACAGGCTTGAGCCACTGTGCCCGGCCTTGGATCACTTTTTTAAAATGTTATTTTCTTCTATTTTACAAAAATGTTACAATGAAAATTTATTACATTTATATTGAAAAAAGTATAACTTTTAATAGAAAAATAATCTCCTTATTTAATATGTATGTTTTTAAATGTTAATGAAATAAAATGCTTTTCTACTTTTGGCCTTTTATATTACCAGTCGACCTCTCTTTTCCACGGTCTTCTCATGTGTTTAATGATGTCAGTAACTATCAACCTTATTGTGTGTTTCAAGGATTGAGTTAATACAGATGATGCGTTTAGAATAATGCTTGATGTAAACATTCAATACATTTTAGATCTTATGTTTGGCTAATCTTTTTGATTTACTGATATATTTTCTTATTTCATTTTAAAGTTATTTAAATTTATAATTTATTTATTAGAGTCCTTTAGGAATGTTAACCCTTCTCAGTCACCCGATGCAAATATTTTTCTTGTTGGTTATTTGCCTTTACTTTTATTTATTTGTTTTGATATGTAGATACATTTACATTTTTTATGTAATATATCTTTTTTAAAATGGTTTCTGCTTTTCCTGAACATGTTTTCAGAATTTAAAATTGTATATGGAAAACAAATTACATGAAAGATTTGAGCATTTCAAAATTTTAAACATAAAAGCATAAACGTAGATAAAATGGTGTACTATGATATCTTCAGTTTTATCAGAAATGATGTAAAAATTACAACCTCTTTAAAAAGTAGTGTTAATCATTAAGTTAGAAAATATATAGCTGGGCATGGTGGCGGATGCCTGTAATCCCAGCTACATGGGAAGGTGAGGTGGGAGAATCGCTTGAACCCAGGCAGTGGAGGATGCAGTGAGCCAAGATCATGCCACTGCACCCCAGCCTGGGTGACAGAACAAGACTCCATCTCAAGAAAAAAAAAAAAGAAAAATATATATATGAACTTCAGAATCTGAGGTCATATATAGACAGGTCTTTCCCCCGTTTCCTCTACTTTTTCTTGTAGCTTGGAATTAGTCAGTTTCATCATGCTATAATAAGCTTATCTGAAAGGCAGTAAAGTGATATTTTGTACAACTTCATTGGCTTTTTGAGAAGAACATTTTTAGGTTCTTAGTCCTAGAATTCTGCTGTTTGCTTGGAAAAAGAAAGTAATACATTTTCTTCTATGAAGGATTTCCTCAGCACACCATTGCTTCTTTATCTGACCAGGATGCAAAACCCTCTTTCAGCATGGCGTAAGTAAAGACCTTGAAAATATCAGTGATAATGTTTTTACATTTTTAATTCCTTCTTTTAAGTTATAAATTCAAAAGATAGGCAATGAAGACTATCTCTATATACTTGTATGGAGTGATCTTCAGGATAAATTACTAAGTAAAACAGTAGTTTGAGAGAATTTTGTAGTATGCTGCTAATCACCTAAGAAGAAAGTAGAGATGTAAGTGGATGTATATACTTGTTTATGTTAATAATAAAAACAATAGTATGGAAATAATAAAAACTTAAAAGGGGTGGAGGGGGAAATTTTTTTTTTTAATGTTTACCTCAGTGAGTGTGTAGGGAAAAGCAAAGGGTTAGACCCTAGACTTTTCTGAATGCATCACTTAATGATAGGGATACATTCCGAGAAATGTGTCATTAGGTGATACCATCATTGTGCAAACATCACAGAGTGCACTTACACAAACCTAGATAGTGTAGCCTACTAACATCGCAGTTATATAGTATAGCCTATTGCTCCTAGGCTGCACACCTGTACAGCATATTGTGTACTGAATAATGTAGGCAGTTGTAATGTAACACCTAGTGTTTGTTTAACTAAACACAGAAAAGGTACAACTAAAATGTATTATTTTATGGGACCACTGTCATATATGTGGTTCATCACTGACCAAAATGTTATATAGAATATTACTGTACCTTGTTTTAACTTCAGAGCTTTGTATTTTACATAATTATAAAACAAAATTAAATTTAAGAGAGTAATTCTTAAAAATCACAAACAAGATTTCTGCCTCCAGCCAAAAAGCTGTAACAGGGACTAGATTTACCCTCCTGTCAAAAAAAGCAGACAAAATATATAAAACAGTGGTTTTCAGACGTTGGACAGCAAGCCTTGCTGATAATGATCCCTGAAAGAAAGGAAACAAATGAGATGGGCCCTAAGAGCACTCCACCTTACTGCCTGGATGGAATTTCCAGGCTGCACACAGAGGCTGGAGATGTTGTTGAGTTGAAGAAACAAAGTTCATCTTTCAAGGAGGCTGAGATGGCGATAATTTTGCAGGTCAGAGTACTGGAGAGGAAAGATCTGCACAGAGAGAACTCTCTGGGGAGCTGCATAGACTTGCTCATGAGTCAGCAGCTGAGCGTTGATCAGCCCTTTTGTGTGAGGAGACTACTGGAAGTCAGGGAAAAAATCACTGGAAAGCAGCAGACAGAACAGTTTCCAGAGCTCACACAGAGAACATTCATGTTCTCACCAGTCTGTATGGAAATACCTCTTAACATGACAGGCATTGAATAGAGTCCACAGTAATGGGATCAAATTAATTCTATCACAAGAACTGGAACCAGAGGCAAAAAGAAAAGAAAAGAAAAATCTAGACTAACAGCTGTTCTAGACCAGCCTAACAAAGTTTAAAAGCAAATTTTGAAGAGATTAAACTATTTCCAAGTTAATGAAGTATATTTCAGAACAAACCCTTAAATATTTGAGGGAATACAAAAAAAAAAAAAAAAGAAAAAATCCAGCACCCAAAACAAAGCAAAATTCACAATGTCTGGCAAAGCAAAATTCATAGTCCCTGGCAGAAATTACCAGGGATGCAAAGGAAAATATGACCCATAAAATGGAGAAAAATCACAGAATGGAAACATACCCAGAAATAACCCAGTTGGTAGAATTAATAGACAAAGGGTTGGGTGCGGTAGCTCCTGCCTGTAATGCTAGCACTTTGGGAGGCTCAGGTGGGCAGATCACTTGAGCCCAGGAGTTCGAGATCAGCACAGCCAACATGGCGAAACCCATCTCTACTAAAAACACAAAAATTAGCCAGGCCTGGTGGCACACGCCTGTAATCCCAGCTACTTGGGAGGCTGAGGTACAAGAATGACTTGAACCCAGGAGGTAAAGGTTGCAGCGAGCTGAGATCGTGCCATTTCACTACAGCCTGGGTGACAGAGCGAGACTCTTATCAAAAAAGAAAAAAAAGAATTAGTAGACAAAGATGTTAGGACAACAATTATAAATGTACTCTGTATGTTCAGGATGTTAGAGAACATGAGAATGGTAAGAAGAGATATGGAAGGTATAAAAAAGACCCAAATCAAACTTCTAGTGATGAAGAATACAGTGTTTTAGATGAAAAATATATTGGCTGGGATTAACAGCAGATTAGACACTGCAGAAGAAAAAATTAGTGAATTCAAAGATAGTAATAGAGACTTTAAAAATGAAGAGAAGGGCTGGGTGTAGTGGCTCACATCTGTAATCCCAGCACTTTGGGAGGCCGAGGCAGGCAGATCACTTGAGACCAGGAGTTTGAGACCAGCCTGGCCAACATGATGAAACCCCATCTCTACTAAAAATACAAAAATTAGCTGGGTGTGGTAGCACGTGCCTGTAATCCCAGCTACTCAGGAAGCCAAGGCACGAGAATTGCTTGAACCTGGGAGGCGGAGATTGTAGTGAGTTGAGATTGTGCCACTGCACTCCAGCTTGGGCAACAGAGTGAGAAGCCGTCTCAAAAAAAAAAAAAAAAATGAAGAGGGGGAAAAAAATGAATGTAGCATAATTTAGTTATAAGACATACTCACAGATTTTAAAATAGACTTTTAGACCAGGCATGGTGGCTCACACCTATAATCCCAGCACTTTGGGAAGCTAAGGCAGGTGGATCACTTGAGGCTAGGAATTCAAGACCAGCAATATAGTGAGAGACCCCCATCTCTATATAAGTTATAAATTTTTTTTTAAATATAGACTTCTTTTGTTTTTTTTTTGAGATGGAGTTTCACTCTTGGCACCCGGGCTGGAGTGCAGTGGTGCAATCTCAGCTCACTGCAACCTCTGCCTCCTGGGTTCAAGCAATTCTACTTCAGCCTCCCAAGTAGCTGGGATTACAGGCGCCTGGCTAATTTTTGTATTTTTTAGTAGAGATGGGGCTTCACCGTGTTGGCCAGGCTGGTCTTGAACTCCTGACCTCAGGTGATCCACCCGCCTTGGCCTCCCAAAGTGCTGGGATTACAGGTGTGAGCCTCTGCGCCCGGCCAAAAATACAGACTTTTAAATAGATTTTTAAATAGTGTCAAGATTTTAAGGTCAAGATAGCATGCTTTCCCGCTCTAACTTTTCAGATCATTATATATTACCCTTTTTCCCCCTACAGGCATTTGGATGGCAATACTGAGCCAGGGCTTACATTAGGAGGCTATTTCTGCCCACAGTGTCGGGCAAAGTACTGTGAGCTACCTGTTGAATGTAAAATCTGTGGTAAGAAAACAACTATTCATTATTCAGTAAATCTTGAATGACTTCTTAATCTGTATTGCTGCTAAAATTAATGTAAATGTTAAGTTATTCCTATGTTTCTGGATTTAATCTGTGCAAAGAAAAATAGATTACTTTTTAAATTGAGTGCCCAGTACTCCACTTCCACGTATAAATGTAGCATTCTAGTTTCCTGATCCTCTTTCTGAAAAAAGTATATTCTTTAAAGGCAGTGCAGTAGATGTAGTAGACATTTTTCCATCTCTTACCTTTATAAAGTAAATATATATAAGAATGAAGAATTAAACTAATAGAATTGTCGAATTTTATTTCATTTATAATATAAGTAAGCAAATAGACCGAGACAGGTTGGTTACACACTTAGTGACAGAACTAAGACTCCATCCTACAATCTTCTGTTATAGCCACAGGTAAAATTAATAACTGCCATCCTAAAAGAAACTGAACATATTCTGCTGAAGTTACATCTTTTGGCTTTTCAGCCGTTGTCTTCATGAGGTTTGGACTACTCAACATGTCTCTCTGCTTAATGTGTTAGGTCTTACTTTGGTGTCTGCTCCCCACTTGGCACGGTCTTACCATCATTTGTTTCCTTTGGATGCTTTTCAAGAAATTCCCCTAGAAGAATATAATGGAGAAAGGTATTTCAGTTTGGACTAATTTATATCTGTTATAAGTGGTAAGCTAATGTTTGAATAGATTGTTACTACCTTAAAAAATAATCTGATTAACTTGGACAAGAGTACTTCTAATATGGAAGATGAGATAAAGAATGCCATAGTTATGATTGAAATGACTCGTTGCTAAATAGATCTGAATCTCCAGAAACCAAATAATTTCACTAAACCCACCTATGTATAAATAGGGGTGATGATTGTACTACTAAATCAGTTTTCCAGAAGGAAAAGAAAAAAAGCCCTGATTGGTAGTATTTGCTGATTTCCATGGTTTGAATACTCCCACCATGGCCAATTTTTAGCTACAATTAACAACCAGCTTTCTTGAATACATATTTAACAATATATCCTTTTGATCCAGTACAATCCAGTCCTAGCACACTACTGAAAATAAGAGGCTCATTCAGCACTTTGGGAGGCTGAGGTGGGAGGATCACTTGAGGCCAGGAGTTGAAGACTAGCTGGGGCAACATAGTGAGACACTGTCTCTTAAAAAAGAAAAAAAAAGCTGGACATGGTGGCTCATACCTGTAATCCCAGCACTTTTGGAGGCCAAGGCAGGCAGATCACCTGAGGTCAGGAGTTCAACACCAGCCTGAATGACATGGAGAAACCCCATCTCTACTAAAAATACAAAATTAGCCTAGTATGGTGGTGCATACCTGTAATCCCAGCTACTCGGGAGGCTGAGGCAGGAGAATCGCTTGAACTCGAGAGGCAGAGGTTGCGGTGAGCCAAGATCGCACCACTGCACTCCAGCCTGGGTAACAAGAGCGAAACTTCGTCTCAAAAAAAAAAAAATCTGGCATAACATAATTTATCTAAAATCTTTAAGTATTTTTACGAATGCTATTTGTGTGAAATACAACAAATAAGGTCTGAAATAGAGGTAGTCAATCCTTTAGAGAATAGTTTTCAGAAAATAAAGATTTACTACTTTTAAGAACATCTAGGATCGGCTGGCACGGTGGCTGACGCCTGTAATCCCAGCACTTTGGGAGACCGAGGCAGGTGGGTCACCTGAGGTCAGCAGTTCGAGACCAGCCTGGTCAACATGGTGAAACACCGTCTCTACTAACAATATAAAAATTAGCCGGGTGTGGTGGGAGGTGCCTGTAATCCCCAGCTACTCAGGAGGCTGAGGCAGGAGAATCCCTTGAACCTGGGAGGTGGAGGTTGCAGTGAGCCAAGATCACACCATTGCACTCCAGCTGGGCGACAAGAGCGAAACTCCATCAAAAAAAAAAAGAACATCCAGGATTTAGGAATCACATTAAACACTTACTGGCTAGCCAAAAACAATTATGTATCCATCTTGCTTTTCACACTTAAGTCATTTAGAAGTCATTCAATATCACCATATCTAGATCAATGTTGTTTTTGAAATTGTTGCATATTTCAGGTATAATTATGGTTTATATAATCAATTGCTTCCTGTTGGATATTTAAGATTTTCTTTTTTTGCTATTAACAAATAATGCTTATATCTATATTTTTGAACATTTGTACAAGTATAAATGCATGGTAAATTCCTAGAGGTAAAATTACTGAGTCAAGAGTTTTACATGTTTTGTGAATTTTGATAGATATTGTAAAGTTGTTCTTCAAAGAAGTTTCATTTATTGTTTTCCCACATTTAGCCAACATTAGGTATTATGAAACTTTTTTATATTGGCCAAAACTCACAGGCAAAAGAAAAAGAAAAAAGTCTCATTGTTTTAGCTTGGTATTTATTTGCTTATGGTTGAGGTTAAATGTAGTAAAAATGAAAAACCCAGTACTATAGAAGATAGAGTTGAAGAAATATTCCAGAAAGTACAATAAAAGGAGTAAAATAAAGAGGTTCAAATAGGAGAGTAAAGATAAGAATATTCACTGGTGGAATTATCCAGAAGGTCCAATATGAGAATGATACGAGAAAAAAAGAAAAAAAGTAGGATAGAAAATCATCAAAGACATAGTTCAAAGAAATTTTATATTGAAGGACAGAACTTTCTAGATTGAAAGGGCCTGTTGGCTGGGAAGGGTGGCTCATAGCTCTAATCCTTGCACTTTGGGAGGCTGAGACTGGGGGATCACTTGAGGCCAGGAGTTCCAGGCCAGCCTGGGTCACACAGCAAGACCTCATCTCTGCAACGAAGATAAAAGAAAGGGACTGCCAAGTGCCTAACGTATTGAAGGAAGGCAGACCCCATAATTGTGAAATTTCAGAATACACAATAAACCATTAACCCTAAACATTTCCAGAGAGGAAAAACTAGGTCACACACAAAGGATCTGGAATTAAAATTGTTTGGCTTCTCATTAGCAACACCGGATGCAGAGAGGGAGCAGTCACCTTCAAAGTTTGTGGTGAAAATTGTTACCAACTTAGATACCCAGCCAAACTGTCAGTTAAGTGTAGGTAGAATAAAGACATTTTCAGACTTGTAAGGTCTCAAAAAGAGATTTTTCTGGGGAAGGTCTGGAAGAGGTAGGTGATTCAAAGGAACTGAGAAGGAGAATGACATGGGATCTAGTAATATGTATCTAATTCAAAACAGGCTGAAGAACGGCCTAGGATGATGGTAAGGAGAAATTCCAGAATGATACCTGTGTGTCACATATGGGGAACCGTCCAGTTTGGAGACAGTCAGGATGCTCCAGGAGAGAGATCACCAAGGGGATGAAAACTGCAGAACTCCTGATGTATTTGAACATATCGAGAGGACAGTTAGACTATTCCGGAGAAGATTGGGCCTGAATTAGTGTCAATTATATAGGAAACTAACCTTGGGAATAGCAACACAGTATTTCCAGGAAAAAAAAAATGTTTTAAATAGGGGAAAACTTATGGCTTAGCTGAGAATATTTTTATAGGCATAGTAAACTAAACATTGATTATTGTTCTATCCAAAAGGAAGACTTCACTATGTAGAAAGAATTGAGAATGACACTAGTTAAATATTTATGCATTACTGGGTTCAAGATGATTGAAAGATAATTAAATTCTCTTCTTTCATAGTTGGAGATTTATAGCCAATAACTGTGAAGAATCACAAAGTAGCACTTATTAGAATAAGTGACTATCAAACAAACGTTAGAAAGTGCTTCTGGCTGGGCATGGTGGCTCATGCCTGTAATCCTAACACTTTGGGAAGCCAAGATAGGAGGATTGCTTGAGCCCAGGCATTCGAGACCAGCCTGGGCAATATAGCGAGACCCTGCCTCAATAAAAAATTAGCCAGGCATGGAGATACATGCCTGTAGTCCCAGCTACTCAGGAGGCTGAGGCAGGAGGATCACTTGAGCCCAGGAGGTTGAGGCTGCAGTGAGCTGTGATAGCACCTCAGCACTCCAGCCTTTGAGACAAAGCAAGACCCTGACTCGAAAACAAAGAAAAATAAAGCATGCTCACAGTTAACCTTAATGAAAATAAAAACTAAATTTTGGGCTGTCAGATGACCTTGTATATACTGTGGAATTTTTTTTTAAATTATTGCTATTCTTTTTTTTTTTTTTTTTTTGTGAGTCAGAGTTTTGCTCCCGTTGCTCAGTGTGGAGTGCAATGACACCATCTCGGCTCACTGCAACCTCCGTGTCCTGGGTTCAAGCGATTCTCCTGCGTCAGCCTCCTGAGTAGCTGGGATTATAGGCGCCTGCCATCACGCCCAGCTAATTTTTGTATTTTTAGTAGAGACGGGGTTTCGCCATGTTGGCCAGGCTGGTCACGAACTCCTGACCTGAGGTGATCCACCTGCCTCGGCCTCCCAAAGTGCTGGGATTATAGGCGTGAGCCACTGTGCCTGGCCTATTGGTATTCTTAACTCTTTTTCCTGAAAGTCATGTGTAAAGACAAGTACATATTAATTAAAGGATTCTAGTTAGTGAGATTTTGTTGAACTATTTTAATGAGTAAATTCTAAGAAAAAACATTGTTAAACTTTTTTTTCAGATTTTGTTATGGATGTCAGGGGGAATTGAAAGACCAACATGTAAGTTCTTTGGCTTTCTAAATATTAAGTAATGTACAAGAAATATTGAAATCAATGGTACTATAAGTTTTCAACAGGTTGTTAAAGACCAGGCTCATATCAGTTTATTTCTTGTAAAGATAATGACAATAGGTGAAGGTAAAATAGGAACAAAATAGTTTAAATAGTAGTTTTGTTATTCTGCATTCTAATTTTTGCTATAAAGTATTTTGTAATTCATCTTTTTAAAACTTTTTATTAAAAATTTTTTAATTTTTTTCCTCTTTTTTTAAATTCTTTGATTGTTTTGTCTACTTTGGTACACCCTTGTAAAACATGTAATTTGTCTTTAGCTTTCAAGCTAAACTGCATTTAGTCTGAAAGTATTTAAAATATTTTCTTCATATTATACTTTAAGCTGTGTGATAACACATTGAAATTGTTTAAGGTGGCCACAGATAATAGGTGATTCTTCCATTATGCCAATGAGAAAATACTTTTTTAAATTTTGAAGAGGGCCAACTTTAATAAATAAATTTGTATAGATGTAAATAATATGGATCACTGTCTAGCTTTAATTTTTAATTTAGTTACATGTTCATATTTAAAACTATATATATTATATAAAATAATAATTAGAAGTATTGCTCTTCCACTGTCACAATTTATAAAGTAATTTTATTAAATTTTATATACCTCTTTGACATCAGTAGTTTACTCTTAACTGGAACCACTTTTTGAATCATTTGACAGTTTTTTGGTTTTATTTTCTGAGACAGACTCTTGCTCTGTCACCCAGGTTGTAGTGCAGTGATGCAATCTTGGCTCACTGCAACCTCTGCCTCCCAAGTTCAAGTGATTCTCATGCCTAGCCTCCCAAGCAGCTGGGATTATAGGCGTGCACCACCATGCCCAGCCAATTTTTGTATTTTTAGTAGAGACTGGGTTTCACCATGTTGACCAGCTGGTCTTGAACTCCTGGGCTCAAGCAATCCACCCGCCTTGGCCTCCCAAAGTGCTGGGATTACAGGCGTGAGTCACTACACCCGGCCTCATTTGAGTTTTTAAGAATAGGTCATTGTCTGTGTTGTTTGAAATTTATTTATTCATTCTTTCTTTTTTTTTTTATTCAAAGCCAAATACTTCTGAGATTTAGTGATTTTTGAATCTGTGTATGAAGCTGCCCTGGAAATTTTATCCCAAGGAGCAAGTACTCATATATGTAATGCTGAAAGAACAAATGTAGTTTTTTCCTTTCTGCTTGTCTTATCTGTGTCATTTGACATATTTTTTTAAAGGTTTACTTGAAAGGGAAATATGTTTGCAATTGTGAGGTCATTCCCTAAGAATAATTAAATCGATGTTAAATTTTTATGCTTCTCTTTTTAATTGAATCAATCAGGTGGTCTTGCTAAGCATTCAAAAGTAGCGCTGGTTTGAAGCTCATATGTCTTTCCTAAACCTTAGAATGAAATAATTGAGAGCGAACTGTAATAGAATAGACTTTAAAGACTCAAAAACAAAACCATTCCCTCATTTCTAAGGGATAGTTTTGGGGAAAAAATTAATTGCCTTAGATTTGAGAATATAGAGTACATTGGAAGTAATAAAGTAGGTAGTGGGAAAAAATTGGTAGAGATATAAAAGAGCAAAGCACACCTTGAATGTCATCTAGCTGTGCTGTAATTAACTTTTGGAAACTAGTTTATCACTTTTCTTCTTTTCACTACAGGTTTATGTTTGTGCTGTGTGCCAAAATGTTTTCTGTGTGGACTGTGATGTTTTTGTTCATGATTCTCTACACTGTTGCCCTGGCTGTATTCATAAGATTCCAGCTCCTTCAGGTGTTTGATTCCAGCATGTAGTATACATTGTATGTGTTAAAAAGAAATTTGCAACTGTGAATAAAAGGACTTCTTTAGAAGAAGCTTCATTTAAAACATGAAAGGATAATCTGACTTAAGAAACTTTTTGCTAAGAAAAGGTAATATTTTATTAAATTTTAAATTTGTGTTGTCACAGAAATACCTGAAATTCAGTAGTACTTCATTCAATTAATTTTGTTTTCTATTATTTTGAGTTATACTGTTTTCAAAGTCATTATGCAGTATGTATAAACTTATAAGAATTAAATTGATGTGATAATTTTATGTTTTTATAATTAAATATAGAATCTTTATGATTTATGTTAATTCATTAATTTAGTGTAAGAAGAAAGTTAAGTCTGAATGTAAATTCAGTGTAAGATGAAAATTTATCAATACTTATGAAATTAGGCTGGGCGCTGTGGCTCACACCTGTAATCCCAACACTTTGGGAGGCTGAGGTGGGCAGATCACTTGAGGTCAGGAGTTCGAGACCAGCCTGGCCAACATGGTGAAACCCCGTCACTACTAAAAATACAAAAAATAATTAGCCGGGCATGGTGGTTCACGCCTGGAGTCCCAGCTACTTGGGAGGCTGAGGCAGGAGAATCGCTTGAACCCAGGAGGCGGAGGTTGCAGGGAGCCGAGATTGTGCCACTGCACTCCACCCTAGAGTGAGACTCCCTCTCAAAAAAAAAAAAAGTTATGAAATTAATACATATGAAATGATGTACTGCTACATCCACCAGAGAGGTCTTTTTAGGTTTAACCAAACATCTGGAATATGTTTATCAAGTTAGTACATCTGAAATTATTTGTGGCTATGACCAACAGAAGTCACTTTACATTAAACATTCAAACTCACAAGACTGCCATGGCCATACTTGGTACCCGCTTACTCAGAAGGATATTAAACAGAAACAACAGCCTGCCAGCACAGCATCAAGCAGTCCTCATTAGCAGTGGAAGTCCTTGTAGCAGTCCACTAGTACAATTTGGGTGCAAGGAGATAAGATCCTCCACAGGCATCAAGGAACCAATATCTCTTAACAATTCCATAAACACAGCTTCCAGGTATCCACAAGGGATGTGTCAATTTCAAGAGTCACTACACTCAGGAAAGCCTAAAGCTTGAAGACTCCATTTATTTATAGTGCATCCCAATCCAGATACGTAACAATTAACGAGTTATTTTTACTATAAGCAAAGTTGCCTAAAATCATAGTTGATACTAACCATGGTTAACAGAGCTCTAAAGTTTGACAGAAAGTGAGATTCAAATCCTTTCACTCTCATATGCTAAACCTTTTGCCTTACTCTGGGTCATCAGAGAAATTTAGGTGAGAATGTATGATGAAGTCTGTGTTTTAGATTCAATGCAGATATATCATTGTGGGCAGAACTCTTTCTGGTTATATCCAGTTAAGAGTAAATCAGGCTTTCAGCCGGGCGCGGTGGCTCACGCCTGTAATCCTAGCACTTTGGGAGGCCGAGGCGGGCAGATCACGAGGTCAGGAGATCGAGACCATCCTGGCTAACACGGTGAAACCCCGTCTCTACTAAACATACAAAAAATTAGCTGGGCCTGGTGGCGGGCGCCTGTAGTCCCAGCTATTCGGAAGGCTGGGGCAGGAGAATGGTGTGAACCCAGGAGGCGGAGCTTGCAGTGAACCGAGATCGCTCCACTGCACTCCAGCCTGGGCGACAGAGCTAGACTCTGTCTCAAGAAAAAAAAAAAAAAAAAGAGTAAATCAGGCTTTCATAGCAAAGGTATGTCTATTTTATGTATATAAACTTCAGGTACTCTAACTTGAGTTTCACTATGAAATTTGTGATTTTTTTTTTTTTTTTTGAGATGGAGTCTTGCTCCATCGCCCAGGCTGGAGTGCAGTGGCCTGCTGTTGGCTCACTGCAACCTCCGCCTCCCAGGCTCAAGCCATTCTCCTGTCTCAGCCTCCTGAGTAGCTGGGACTACAGGCGCCTGCCACCACGCCTGGCTAATTTTTGCATTTTTGGTAGAGACGGGGTTTCACCTTGTTGATCAGTCTGATCTCCAACTCCTGACCTCAGGTCATCCACCCACCTCCGCCACCGTGCCCGGCCGAAATTTGTGATTTTATAACTAAGAATTTTTAGTTAAGAACATTATCAGTAAAGACAACGTAATCCCACCCTGGAGAGTTTATTGGGAGCCCAGGAATATTCATTTTTAATACACACACACACACACACACACACACACACACACACACACACTGATCAGAGTAACGGGAGTTTCTCTCAGGAGTCATACTCCATGAGCCTGGACCCAGTGGTTCTTTATGTGGAAACAAATTTCACCTATAGGTAACCTGGTAACTGCTATTTTCTTCTGTGTGCTCTGTCAACAAAGGTATCAGTGGCTTGCAGGAGATGCCTTTAATACTCAGAGCATTCTATCTCCCCCTATCTGGTTTAGAAGGAAGGCCTTCATTAGTTACCTTTTGAGAAGTTACTAGAACTCTCTATTAGAGACTTACCCTCCTGACCTGATAAAAAGGGATACCCATGTCTCTATTAACAGCTTTATCTCTTTCTACAGTTTTGGGTATTTGATAAGGTTAAGGCAAAATTTTAGTTATGCTTAAGGAGGAGTTCTTTTTTCACAATTACAGAGAAAATTTTGGTTTGTTGAAGATTGCAGAAACAGCAATGGTAATGTAAGACAGTTTTGGCCTTTAATTTTTTTCTTGAAACTCTACAGTATACTACAATAGTGAAGGAAACTATTATCATGAGAGATCCTTCTGAATAGGATGTCTTTCTGAGTTCCACTATTCAGTTACAAAACTCCTTAATGCTTAAAATTCATTATGAAAATTAGATTTATTTTAAATACTTTCAAGTGTATACATTTTTATTTCATAATTTTTATTGTCTTTTAACTAAAGCATTTAGTTCATTTATATTTACTGTGTACCTTTTATATTTAATAAATATATTTACTTATTAAAAGATTACCACTGATATATTTTATTTATTATAAATATTATATTTATAAATATATTATTTATATTTATATTTATATATTTATATATATTTATATATAATATATATTTTAATATATTATATATTAAAATATATAAATATATCTAATAAATATAAATATTTATTAAAAGATTACCACTGATATATTTGGGTTTAAGTCTATTATCTTTGTGTTATTGGTTCCAACAATTCCATCTTTCGTTTTTTTAAATTTTTTTAACTACATATTTGATACGATCTTTTCCTTCTTGCCTTCTTTTTGATTACTTACTTTCTACCATTCTATGTTTTTCGTCACTAGTTTGAAAATTGTATACTTTGTTTTTATTCTTTCAGTGGTTACCCTAGAAATTACAACAAACAAAAATTGCAACAACAATAAATTACAACAAGAAGAATTTTTTTTTTTTTTTTTGAGACAGAGTCTCGCTCTGTCGCCCAGGCTGGAGTGCAGTGGCGCGATCTCAGCTCACTGCAAGCTCCACCTCCCGGGTTCATGCCATTCTCCTGCCTCAGCCTCCCGAGTAGCTGGGACTGCAGGTGCCTGCCACCACGCCTGGCTAATTTTTTGTATTTTTACTGGAGACGGGGTTTCACTGTGTTAGCCAGGATGGTCTCGATCTCCTGACCTCATGATCCATCTGCCTTGGCCTCCCAAAGTGCTGGGATTACAGGCGTGAGCCACCACGCCTGGTCAACAACAAGAATTTCTTAACTTAGGTCCCCTAGGAAGTAGAACCTGAGGCAAAGATGAAAGTATTGTTACTTTATTAGGGAGGGACAGATCTAGGGGGGTGAGAGTGTGGAAGAAAAGGGAAAGCAAAGCAAGGAAAAACGTGATGCATTGTGTTACTGCAGTGACCAGGCTTCATGACAAGCTGTGACGAGATACAGGAGCCTTCCAGCAAGTGTGTTCACTTAGAGTGTGGGGCTTCTCCAGAAGGTTTATAAGGAGAAACTGCCCCTCTGAGCAGTCCATTGAAGGGAGGAAGGAGAAGTAACTTAGTTTCCTAAGTTCTTCCATTTCCCGTTGATCCTAGTTTGCCCACAGGGCTGTGTCATCTCGTCCTTTGGTAACTGCTCAGGAAGCCAGATCTCGTGCTCAGTGGTGTGGCATTGCATCTACTTCTAGAAGGATTTCTCAATACTTTATAACTTCCTCATGTTTCTGGTCATGTTTGTGTTCAGCTATATCTCTAGAACGGTTGGCCAATTCATAGCATGAAATGATTTCATGAGTGGTGACAAAGAAAGGGTGCAATCAGCCCTTGGGGAGTGGGTTAGTGGAATCCCAGTCCTGAGGCCATTAGTGGGTGGCAGAGTTTAGGAGAAAAGGTAAGAAGTTTCAGTCCTTGGGCCCTGTAGTAAGGAGAAAAAGGGTACAGGAGGTTGTCACACTTCTGAGAAGTAGTCTTAGAGTGCCCTAGTGCCTGCTTTGGATCCAGTTCTGTAAGGGCAGAGGATTCATTATTTCCAGGTAATTTAAGTATGTTCTGGGGAGAAGTGTTACAAGATGGACTGGGGACTCGGCTGGGATCCTGATGGGATCTAAATTATTGATTTCACCTGACTGAATTGCTATTTGCGTCACACCTCAGGACCCTGGAAACAATACACAATTTGCCCATTCATTAATTTATTAATTCACTCAACAAACTTGTACATCTGCCATAAGTCTGACACCATCCTAGTTATCAGGGATGTAGATAGTCAAAAGAAGATGTAAACCTAACCTCATGCATCTGTGAATCTCCCCATCTAAAAAGACACAGCCTTGTAAAGAAGCTTGTGTGAAAGTGCTAACGACAGACATGCCAAGTGTTAAGGGGATGCAGGAGAGGCGTGGTAAAATGGGTTGGGAGGCAGCTCAGATGTCTAAAGGGGTCAGGCAGACAATGCAGATAAGTGAAAGAGGGCCAGTTGATGCAGAGTGGGGACATCTGGAAAGCACCCGCCCCATCTAAAGGAGGCAGCCTCTGAGAGTCTGGGGATCAGGGATAGAAGGGAGATGTACTTTTCACTGTACATCCTTTTGTATTTTTTAAATTTTGTTACTTAATTCAAAAAAATGTAAAAATAAAGTGAGGTAACCATTATTTGGCCCCAGCCTATTTTTTTCTTCTGGGAATGATACTTAAAGAGAAACTAAATCTGGATTTTTTTTTTTTTTTTTTTTTTTTTTTTTTTTTTTTTTTTTTTTGAGACAAAGCCTTGCTCTGTTCCCCAGGCTGGAGTGCATTGGTGCAATCATGGCTCACTGCAGTCTCGACCTTCCAGACTCAAGTGATGGTCCCACTTCAGACTCCCTAGTAGCTGGGACCACAGGTGTGTGCCATTGTGCCTGGCTAATTTTTAAAAAGTTTTTTTTTGTAGAGACAGTGTCTTCCTATGTTGCCTAGGCTGGTCTTGAACTCCTGAGCTTAAGTAATCTGCACACCTCAGTCTTCCAAAGTATTGGAATCACAAGCGTGAGCCACCATGCCCAGCCGTAAAAACTGGATTTTTAAAGTGAATTCTCCCAAGTTTGAGATGTTAGCCTCTAATTTAGAAAAACACAGAGGCTAAATAAAACTTATCTTCAGTCCACCAGTTGACAAACTTTGGCCTGGCCTGTCTCTTTTCTATCGTTTATCATCAGGGCAGATAATCTTTTAAGTTTCAGGTGTTACACTTTCCTGGGATATACTCCTCCTAGGGGGTAATTTATTTACTTTTTGTTTTTGTTTTTGTGACAGAGTCTTGCTCTGTCAACCAGGCTAGAGTGCAGTGGCATGATCTTGGATCACTGCAACATCTGCCTCCCGGGTTCAAGTGATTCTCCTGCCTCAGCCTCCCGAGTAGCTGGGACTACAGTCATGTGCCACCATGCCTGGCTGATTTTTGTATTTTTAGTAGTGACGTGGTTTCACACCATGT
This sequence comes from Homo sapiens, assembly GCF_000001405.40. Taxonomy (NCBI): domain Eukaryota; kingdom Metazoa; phylum Chordata; class Mammalia; order Primates; family Hominidae; genus Homo; species Homo sapiens. The sequence continues at coordinate 381,118 of NW_003315917.2, forward strand.
TGACCAGGCTGGTCTCGGAACTCCTGACCTCAAGTGATCCACCCACCTTGGCCTTCCAAAGTGCTGGGATTACAGGTGTGAGCCACCGTGGCCAGCCTTAGGGGATAATTTAGGTTTTTTGTGTTTCTGTTTTAAATTTAAATTTTTATTTTTTTGAGGCAGTATCACTCTGTCTCTCAGGCTGGAGTGCAATGGCACAATCAACTCACTGCAGCCTTGAATTCCTGGGCACAAGTGATCCTCCCAATTCAGCTTCTCAAGTAGCTAGGACTACAGGTGTGCACCACCATGCCTGGCTGAATTTTTTTTTTAAGAGATGGACTCTTGCTGTGCTGTCCAGGCTCGTGTCAACTCCTGGCCTCAAATGATCCTCTCTCCTAGGCCTTCCAAAGTGCTGGGATTACAGACGTTAGCCACTGTACCCAGCCTAGTTCAAGTTTTAAGCATTAAGAATTGACTCTTTGGAGGAATAGGGATCTTTTAAGGATCTCTACAGTCAGTGACTCTAAATGTAGTGTTTGGACCAGTAAGTAGCATTAGCATCACCCAAGAAGTCATTAGAAATGCAAATTCTTGGCCAGGCGCGGTGCCTCATGCCTGTAATCCCAGCACTTTGGGAGGCTGAGGTGGGTAGATCACGAGGTCACGAGTTCGAGACCAGCTTGACCAACATGGTGAAACCCTGTCTCTACTAAAAATACAAAAATTAGCCGGCCGTGGTGAAGGGCATCTGTAATCCCAGCTACTCAGGAGGATGAGGCAGGAGAATCACTTGAATCCAGGAGGCGGAGGTTGCTGTGAGCCAAGATCGCACCACTGCACTGCAGCCTGGGCAACAGAATGAGACTCCATCTCAAAAAAAAAAAAAAAAGCAAATTCTTGAGCCCCATCACAGGCCTGTTGAATCAGAAACTCTGAGGATGGGTCTAGCAGTCCGCTTTAACAAATCCTCCAGGTGGTTACCATAAATGTTGAAGTGTGAGAGCTACTGCCTGTAATCCCATTTAGAGAGGTACATAGGTAACTTAAAAACAGGTCCTGATAAAAGAATTCTACTAAACTTAAAAAACAAATTCAGGTAACTTTATAAACAAACAAATCTCGGCCGGGCGCGGTGGCTCACGCCTGTAATCCCAGCACTTTGGGAGGCCGAGGCGGGCGGATCACGAGGTCAGGAGATCGAGACCATCCTGGCTAACACGGTGAAACCCCGTCTCTACTAAAAATACAAAAAATTAGCCGGGCGTGGTGGCGGGCGCCTGTAGTCCCAGCTACTCGGGAGGCTGAGGCAGGAGAATGGCGTGAACCCGGGAGGCAGAAATTGCAGTGAGCCGAGATCGCGCCACTGCACTCCAGCCTGGGTGACAGAGCAAGACTCCGTCTGAAAACAAACAAACAAAAAAAACAAATCTCAAACATGGAATTATTTTTTCACTTCTCTCTTTTGTTTTGTTTTTTTTTTTTTTTTTGAGACAGAGTCTCGCTCTGTCACCCAGGCTGGAGTGCAGTGGCGCGATCTCGGCTCACACTGCAATTTCTGCCTCCCGGGTTCACACCATTCTCCTGCCTCAGCCTCCCGAGTAGCTGGGACTACAGGTGCCCGCCACCACGCCCGGCTAATTGTTTTTTTGTATTTTTAGTAGAGACGGGGTTTCACCGTGTTAGCCAGGATGGTCTCGATCTCCTGACCTCGTGATCCGCCCGCCTCGGCCTCCCAAAGTGCTGGGATTACAGGCGTGAGCCACTGCGCCCGACCTTTTTCACTTCTCTTAATGCTCTGTAAACATTAATGTATTTATATATGTATTTAGAATTTTAAAAAATCAATTTTATTGAGTTATAATTAACATACAGTAAAAATGCTCCCATCTTGAGTAATTCCATGCCTTTTGACAAGTGTTCTGTACCCATGCCACGACCACCACAATCGAGAGAGAACATCTTCATCACTCCAGAAGGGCTCCTTTGCAGTGAGTACTCCCTAGGAGTTCCAGCGGCCGGTGACATTGATCTGTTTTCTGTCACTGTAGATGAGATTTGTCTGTTATATACAATTTTTAAAAATTAAATGATATGTATGGCTTCTTTTGCTTAGCATAATGTTTTTGAGCTTATTCATTTGTTGCATATATCAATACTTTGCTTCTTTTTACCACCTGTACTTCATTTATGGATACGTTGTTTATCCATGTGTTTATCCCCAATGGACATTGGGTTGTTTCTGATTTTTTGGTTATTATTATGAATAAAGTTGCTATGAACATTATTGTATAAATCTTTGTGTGTTCATGTGTTTTCATTTTTCTTGGGTAAATATGTAGGAATGGAATTGCTAGATTGTATGGCAAGAGTATACTTAGCTTTCCATGACACCAGTGAACTGTTTTTCCAAAGACATTGTATTAATACCATTTTACATTCCCACAACTAATGTATGAGCTTCCAGTTGCTCCATATCCTCAACTAACAGTTGATATTGTACAATACAAATGTTAACTTTTAGAATATCTTCACAACTTTAGAGTAGATAGTGATTTCTTAGGACACAAAAACTATCAATCATAACAAAAATTAAAATTGGACTTCATCAAAATTAAAAACTTCTTTTTGAAAGACACCATTAAGAAAATGAAAAGATGGTTAACAGACTGAGAGAATATATGTGCAATGTAAATATCTAACAAAGGACTAGTATGCAAAATATATAAAGAATCCTTATAATTTAGTAATAAAAAGGAAAACACGCACTTTTTAAATGGGTCAAGAATTTAATTACGGCCAGGTGCAGTGGCTCACACCTGTAATCTCAGCACTTTGGGAGGCCGAGGTGGGTGGATCACGAGGTCAGGGGTTCGAGACCAGCCTGGCTAACATGGTGAAACCCTGTCTCTACTAAAAATACAAAAATTAGCTGGGCGTGGTGGTGGGCGCCTGTAATCCCAGCTACTCGGGAGGCTGAGGCAGGGGAATCGCTTGAACCCAGGAGGCGGAGGTTGCAGTGAGCTGAGATTGTGCCACTGCACTCCAGCCTGGGCGACAGAGCGAGACTCTGTCTTTTAAAAAAAAAGAAAAAAATTTAATTACCTTACCAAAGAAGATACATGAATGACCAATAAGCCATTAAATTAAAACTTCAGTGAGTATACACATATGCCCTGAAGTAGCTAAACTTTAAAACACTGCCCTATGTGTGTGTACTTTTTAGCTAAAAAAGTGTTTGAAAACAGTATTATTTTGAAACTCAAAATTCCAAATCCTCTCTTCAAATTAGGTAGTAGTGTCACTGGAAGTAAAAGAGAAGTTACTTTAACTGCTAAAGAGTATCCACTAAGAATCTACAACAAACATCATGTTTAATGCTCAAACTTTAGAAGAATTTATACCAAAAGTCAAGAATAAGATAGGATATCTATCTTCATTATTAAGCAACATTATATTAGAGGACCTAATCAATGCAACAAGGCAATAAATAAAAGACAAAACTGTCATAATCAGATACTACAAACATCTAAGAAAATTCAGGGGGATTTACAGTCATATATTAAACAGTCCAGAAGGAGTCCTATACATCATCAATGAATATTGAGAATAAAAAATAGTTTTTAAAACCCCTCCAATTTATAAGGGCAACAAAATGTACAAGGTACTAAAATAAATGTAATGTGTATTTGGGTATAAATACAGCAACATAATGAAAAGGTTTATTGGGGAAAAAATTACAGGGAGAAGGGTCAACAACGTGAAGAGGTTCCCCTGCCATCTGGACTTCTGGAAAAAGACCTGCTGGTCTAGGCACAGCTGGATGCACCATGGAAAGTGGTTCCAATAAACACTGGCACTGTAACAATTGTGTATGTTGATACAAAAAGAGGGAGCCAATGAATACTTGGTCGATTATTTAACAATTGCTTCTCTGCTGAAGAAATGGCCTTGTTGGACTAGAGCTTAACTGTGGTTCACATACTAATGCTGCTATAACAGCTAGAAGCCTTACTAAGAAATTTGCTAAACCACCAAAAAGAGGAAATGAACCTTCTAGGACATCTGGATTGCCTTTTCTTAAAAATCTAGTCTTGGCTGGGTGCTGTGGTTCACGCCTGTAATCCCAGCATTTGGTGAGGCTGAAGTGGGCGGATCACGAGGTCAAGAGATCGAGACCATCCTGGTCAACATGGTGAAACCCTGTCTCTACTGAAAATACAAAAATTAGCTGGGCGAGGTGGCATGTGCCTGTAGTCCCAGCTGCTGGGGAGGCTGAGGAAGGAGAATCACTTGAACCCGGGAGGCGGGGTTTGCAGTGAGCTGAGATCACGCCATTGCACTCCAGCCTGGCAACAGAGCAAGACTCAGTCTAAAAAAAAAAAAAAAAATCTAGTCTGTATGGCAGCACAACATCAGGTAAAAGTACAGACTAGCCAGATCACTGGTTAACCTTAACCCCTATGTGCTTGAGTTTCCTTATCTGTAATATGGAGATGATATAGCAATAGCTGATTTTGGACTGTTAAAGGAATTAAGTGGACACATGTAAAGTGCTTAGAATTGTGCCTGGCAAGTAGTAGGCTGCAATATTGTGATATAATAAATATATATATTTGATCTTCATCCAGTTCCTGGCACAGATCTCCAGAAACCCTTGTAATTTCCTGAGTGACAGGGGTGATAGAAACATCTTTTATTAGAATACTTGGTCTTGGTTCCTGACACAAGAGCTTCTAAGACCTTTGGAATCTCCAAGTGATAAGAGTGTATGACAGTGAGCTAACTGGTGGCTGGGATCCTTTAGACAACTTCAGGATGGGGGCTATCCCCTGAAAGACTAAGGCATGATTAGAGGTCTGGGATTTGCAGCCCCACGCCTCGACCTCCAGAGAGGGTAAAAGGGCTGGCGATTGATTAACCACCAATTGCCAGTGATTTAGCCAATCATGCCTAAGTGATGGCACCTCCATTAAAAAATAAACCACAGGTTTGGAGAGCTTTCGGTTTGGTTAACCCCAACCACATACCAAGAAGGCGATGCACCTCAAACTGCATGAAGACAAAAGGTCCTGTGCTCACCTGGGACCCTTCTGGACGTTGCCCTGTGTACCTCTTCGACTGCCTGTTCATCTGTATCCTTTATAATAAAGCAGTAAACATAAGTAAAGTTTCTGAGTTCTGTGAGCCATTATAAGAAACGATCGAACCTGGGATTTTCCTTTCGGAAGCCGCTCTCTCTCACAAGGGAGAGAGCTGTTCTCCTTTTTCTTTTGCGTGTTAAACCTCCGCTCCTAAACCCACTCTTCGTGTGTATCGTGTCCTTAACCTTGTTGGTGCGAGACGACGAACCCCGGGTATTGACCCCAGACAACAATGCCACTTCATATTGGGGACTTCGTCTGGGATTCCAAGGTGCATTCATTGCAAAGGTGAGTAAAGGGGCGGACCTCAACTCTGTCCTTTGATTTCGAGGCTCTTGGCCTCCATTTTAGAATCAAACCAAACCAAATACTGGGCCCCCTTCTGCTTCTGTGAATGAGAAAACTCTGCCTTCACCAATTAGCCATTTAAAAATTATGAGCGTGGCTGCCAGCCTTACAAGTTTTGGGGGACAGGCTTGCTGGGGAGAACATGGAGAACCCCCCAATACCCACGGGCTGCTGGGCATATTGGCCATGTTTGAACCAGTTTCCTTTCACGGAGGACCAAGCTGTCGTGTGGGGCTGGAAGAGGTCCTGGAGCAACTGAGGATTTCTGGCTGGGGCTACCTCCTGGTGCCATCCGAAGGCTTCTGGACTGACCCCAGCCTCCGACCACCCTAAGGGGTGTCGGCAACAGGACCTCCAACTTTCCTATCATAATTCCCTCATTTCCTATCCACGACCACCATGTCTCCTAACCTCTCTCTGTATGCAGTACTGAGGGAGTTTTACAGTTCAGGGAAGTAATCTTGTTAGGCAAGAACAAAGACTGCTGTAGTAACCAGGGATATAGCACAGGGGCATGCTGTTGTGATTTTCTAGGAACAGAGGGTCTCCTCTCCCACCACAGTGAGCGTCACTCTCTGCCCTTGTTCTGGAAAGCACATGGCATGTCAAGGTCACTCTGCCCTTTGTCACAGTAAGATTAGGGTGGGGCGCCCAACCTTCCCCGCGTGCTATGTAAACGTCACACCTGTTCAAACCAACCTGTGGGCTCTGCGCAAATCAGACGCCGCCTCCTCAGGCCTACCTATAAAATCTGGTGCAGTCCACCGCAGGCCGGATTTTCCTTTCGGAAGCCCCTCACAAGGGAGAGATCTGTTCTCGTTTTTCTTTCTTTTGCCTATTAAACCTCTGCTCCTAAACTCCCCCAACCCCCAAGAAAGAAATTATCGAACCTGAGGGGGTTGCAGATACCCATGATTTGTAGTGAACTCAGACAGAAGTGTGGGTACCCTGAGGTCCTAATAGTTGTGGCTGGCATCTGAAGTAGGGGGCAGTCTTGGGGGCTGAGCCCCTAACCCGTGGGGTCTGCACTAACTCTGGTTAATTAGCATCAGAATTGAGTAAAATTGTAAGACACTCAGCTGCTGTCTGTGGAGAATTGGAGAATTGGTTGGTGGAAAACCCATATATTTGATGTCAGAAATGTGAGTAGAGAAATGGTTTTTCCTTGATAGGCTCTATGTAAATTTTAGTTCATGTTTTTGGTAATAAATACACAATATTACTGATTCTTAAAAGTATAAACCCAGGAAAATTAAGAAAACAAGAATGTCAAGTCCAACAGAGTTTAAAGGTAAAAAAAAATAAAATAGAACAGAAATGGGACCAGTAGCACATAGAATATTTTAACACATTCTTGGAAAGTAGAAACTATATGGACTAGTAGTCAGGAAGGAAGCAGCTCAAGGAAACCGCTTCCTGAATATGGAGTCTCCTATGAGAGACTATCTGCCCTATGGAGAAGCTTGGAGTAACTGCGGACACAGGATGCCAGATAGGAAGGAGGGCTGGAGTGACATGAAGGGCTGAAAATTGAGGGACTAATTGGAAGCCCGTGCACGGGACAGTCAGCTCTCTCTACCCCATGATCAGAATATTTGACACACAAGTGTTTACCCTGGGGCAAAAAATTACAGGAGTCTTCCCTGCTCCCCCCAAAATTGAACACATTGCTTTCTCTTAGCTGACCTAGAGAACCAGTGTGGGCACTGGCACCCCAAAACTAAGAATCCTTTTAAGAAATGGTGATTTTATGTCCAAGGAACGTTCCAAGTAAGTTTTCGGCTGCTAGCTTTGTCTTTACAAGTAACGGGCCAGGCCCAGTGGCTCATGACTGTAATCCCAGCATTTTGGGGGACTGAGGTGGGCAAATGGCTTGAGGTCAAGAGTTCAAGACCAGCTTGGGCAACATGGCGAAACCCTGTCTCTACTAGAAATACAAAAATTAGCCAGGTGTGGTGGTGCATGCCTGTAGTCCCAGCTATTGTGGGGCTGAGATGAGAGGATCACTTGAGCCTGGGAGGTAGAGGCTGCAGTGAACCGAGATTGTGCCACTGCACTCCAGTCTGGGTGACAAAGTGAGACCCCATCTCCAAAAACAAAACAAAACAAAAAAAACCCCAAGTAACTTGAAATCATTTTCTGAAATCTTTCTCTGACATTCTGACATTAGGGTAATTCTTGTTCTCCATAGAGTGAAAGGCTCAGGTTCAAGTCCCACTCCTGTGGCTCCTGATTTTTTAATGATTAGTTTGACCAATGTGTTTTTAAATGACTTAATTTTTAAACATGAGTTGAAAACCCAGGATCACTACACATTTGAGGAAAGTTGATAATATGAAAAGTAAACACCAAGGTAAGTGGTAAAAACCTTTGAGGAAACATAATTCAGGAAACAGGAACTTAAACATTAGTATCGTACAGCAGATTCAGGAAGATGGCACTGGTTAAAAAAATTGACACTATGAAAATAAGGCACAGAGAAAAGAAAGAGCTGTGGGAAATTATAATTGCTGAAATTTTAAACTAGATTGGAGAGCCGGAATATAAAGGAGAGGACAGCTGGGTGCGGTGGCTCACACCTGTCATCCCAGCATTTTGGGAGGCTGAGGCCGGCAGATCACTTGAGCCCGGGAGTTTGAGACCAGCCTGGGCAACAAGGTGAGACCCCCATCTCTACACAAAATAAAATATAAAATCAGCTGTGCATGGTAGCACACGTCTGTAGTCCCAAAACTTGGGAGGCTAGGTGGGAGGATCACTTGAGTCCAGGAGGTGGTGGCTGCAGTGAGCTGTGATTGTGCCATTGCACTCCAGCCTGGATGACAGAGCGAGACCCTTAGAAAGTAGGAAAAGAATATATGAAAAAAAAATAAGTGATCAATTAATTACTCACCTGAATAGTGGGAATACCAAAAGAGTAAAAAGAGAGTAACAGACAGTAGGAAGTTATCAAATAAATAATAGAAGGTAATTTCCCAGGCTTGATGGGAGACCCAAGAGCTCAGACTGAAAATGCCCATTGAATACCCAGCCCAATGAATGTAGAGAGGTCTACACTTAGGAGAAAAGATCCTAAAAGCTACCAGAAAGATAGAAACTGTTACTATAACAGAAATAAGACACTAGCACCTTAACTATTAACCAATCTTAACAAACTAGAATAAAGGCCGGATGTGGTGGTTCATGCCTATAATCCTAGCACTTTGGGAGGTCGAGATGGGAGGATCGCTTCAGCCTGGAAGCTTGAGGCTGCAGTGAGCTAGGATCGTGCCACTGTACTCCAGCCTGGGCGACAGAGTGAGACACTGTCTCAAAAACAACAGAAACAAAAAAACTAGAATAAAATACTTCTGGTGTGAGACTCTGTAGGTTTCATTACTCCTTTTGGGTCCTGATTAAATCCTGTTGACTCAAGACCTTAGAGCATTTACTGGTAAAGTCTCTGACTGCGCGATTTTTTTTTGCATTTTAGTTCCTTAAATATTTTCTCACTGCTTCCTACTAAAGGACGGACAGAGCATTTGTTCTTCAGCCACATACTTTCCTTCCACTGGCCAGCATTCTCCTCTATTAGACTAGAACTGTGGATAAACCTCAGGTAAGTAAATTACTATCCCTGGCAAAGGTGCTTTTCTTCCACACCTAAACCTATGGTCCCTTCTTTGTCTTGCTATTGTTTCTCTCTTTGGAGGCAGGATGGTATGGAGGAAAGAGGACAGACACTGGAGTCACACAGACTTGGGTTTAAATCCTAGCTCCATGGCACAGTTGCCTCAATGGCACTCTTAGCACTGTAGTCAAAGAATATTAGACCTGGAAAGGGCCTTGGAAATTACTTCTCCTCCCCCAGAAACAGCCTCTAGACTGGCATGATTGACCACCAAACTTCGTTGTGTCAGACAGGATCAATGTCTGCTGGTCTGCTGCAACTCTGTACTCATTTATCTCTGGGGAGGCCTGAAGCCTTGGTGCTGTTCCTTGGCCAAACCTAAATGAAATGTACTAGCCAGTGATTAATAGAGTCCTGTGCTGGGGTGGGAGACAGACCAGGGAGCAGCCTGTTTCTTGCTTCTTTCTTTCTTTTTGGAGATGAAATCTCATTGGCTTTGAACTTCTGGGCTCAAGTGATCCTCCCACTTCAGCCTCCCAAGTAGCTGGGATTACAGGTGCATGTCACTGCCCCAGCTTGACTATACCAGCTTGTTTCTGGTTTTGAGCCCTGGTATGCAAGCTAGTGTTGGCTACCTGATCAGAGGAGTATAAAAGAGCCTCAGATGAGGTTACAGTTCTCTTGAGACCAAGGTGTCTTGCATGTATCATCTAGCTGGTTCATTGCTTAAAGATGAAGCACATCTTCCACATCCTCTGTGGCTGCAAAAGGACCCTAGGAACTGGGTGTGGTGTTTCACTTGCCTTTTGGTTTGTTGGGTTTTTTTTTTTTTTGTATCTATCCTTTACCTTTATTAAAGCCTTATGTGAGGATACTATGCGGAGTCTTCTAAGTCTTTTCAATGATCCAAACCTGTGTAATTGATGAAGAGGGTACTGTGAATAGGATCATTACTTTTTTTTTGTTTTTGAGACAGGGTCTCTCTCACTCTGTCACCCAAGTTGAGTGCAGTATCTTGATCACAGCTCACTATAGCCTCAACCTCCTGGGCTCAAGAGATCCTCCCACCTCAGCCTCCCGAGTAGCTGGGTCTATAGGCGCACACCATCACGGCTGCCTAACTTTTAAAAAAATTATTTTGTAGAGCTGGAGTCTTACCATGTTGCCCAGGCTGGTCTCGAACTCCTGGGCTCAAGTGATTTGCCTGCCTTGGCCTCCCAAAGTGGTGGGATTACAGGTGTGAGCAACTGCGCCTGGCCCCAGGTTTTTTTTTTTCTTTTTTTTTTTCGAGACAGGGTCTCACACTGTTGCCCAGGCTGTAGTGCAGTGGCACTGAAGCCTGAAACCTCTGCCTCCTGGGTTCAAACAGTTCTTGTGCCTCAGCCACCCGAGTAGCTGGGATTACAGGCATGCACCACCACGCCCGGCTAATTTGTTTGTATTTTTAGTAGAGATGGGGTTTCGCCATGTTGGCCAGGCTGGTCTTGAACTCCTGAACTCAAGTGATCCGCCCGTCCCAGCCTCCCGAAGTTCTGGGATTACAGGTGTGAGCCACTGCGCCTGGCCCCCCAGTTTTTTACTTTATAATTTAAATGATAGCTAAGGCTTTGTTTGGGAGAAAGATGAAAAGTGGGGAAAGATTTAGAGCCACTGGTGCCAGGCTAGTTGCTGGGGAATCCCTGTTTGAATTTGCTGAAGTGCTACAACTCTCAATGGGAAGAAAGGGATGACAATGGAACTTGAAGGTGGTTGATGCAGAGCAAGAGGAAATCGCTAAATAGATTTAAAAAGAAATCCAGACACAGAGGAAGTCAGCCAAGAATACAGTTCCCTGGCTGGTTAGGCTGCTTTGGCAAAAATGAAAGTAACTAAAAAAGAGCCTGTGTTGCCAAGTCCACCAATTTCCTTCTGTAAAGGGAAGGAACATGATGCCAAAGAGGAGTTGGGCAGATATTTCTTCTGATGGGAATGTGACCCTCATCGGGTAGATAATCACCAACGAAACTACAGTGGGAGGGCATGAAGAGACAACTGAAACAGGGAACTACACAAGAGTGAAGTTGCCTGTGGACTGACAGAGCTTCCTGCAGAACCACTGCTGGGTTGGATATACATGAATGACAAAGGAGCTCTTTTCCTTGTATTAGGTACTGTCAAATGTACCTTCAAATGAAAGGGTGTGTTTGGTCTTAATTAGCTGAATTCGTTGAAGATCTTCAATTAGCTGCAGCTTTTGCCGGAATGTGGTTAGCTGGGCAAATTCCAAATCGGTTGAGCTGCACAAAGGTGGCAGTACATAAAACATATCTTGTAAAGGGGAACTGCCCAATTCCACCCATAATTGTTAGAAGAAATACTCCCTAGAGGTTACTGAAATGTTGAGAATGCAAACAAACACATTTGGACTGGTTCTGTGATGAAACTAAGGTATCCCTTAATTTTATGTCTTTGACTTAAGTGATGATTGTTGCTGTGATAAGAGGGCCTCTACCTTCGTAGACTTTTTGTATGACCCTACTACTGGGGGAGCAGGATGAAGTGAAAGCCTGTTGAAGACTTACTAGTTCCTTTGCTCCAAATTGTGCTGAATGATGAACAGATTAATATCATTCAAAAGAAAGGAGGCCGGGTGTCCTGGCTTACACCTGTAATCCCAGCACTTTGAGAGGCTGAGGCAAGAGGATTGCTTAAGCCCAGGAATCTGAGGCTGCAGTGAGCTAGAATCATGCCACTGCACTTGTACTACAGCCTTGGCAACAGAGTGAGCCCTTGTCTCCTATAAAAAAAAAAAAAAAAAAAAGGAAAGGGCTGGGCATGGTGGCTCACACCTGTAATCCTAGCACATTGGGAGGCCGAGGCAGGTGGATCACCTGAGGTCAGGAGTTCGAGACCAGCCTGGCCAACATGGTGAAACCCTGTCTCTACTAAAAATAAAAAAATTAGCCGGGCATGGTGGCACATGCCTGTAATCCCAGCTACTCAGGAGGCTGAGGCAGGAGAATTGCTTGAACCTGGGAAGCAGAGGTTGCGGTGAGTCAAAATTGTGCCACTGCACTCCAGCCTGGGTGAACAGAGCAAGACTCCATCTCACTTTGTTGCCCAGGCTGGTTTCAAATTCCTGGGCTCAAGCAATCCTCCCACCTTAGCCTCCCAAAGTGCTGGGATTACAGGTGTGAGCCACTGTGCCCAGTCAAGATTTCTAATGTATCCTAGTCTTGATGAATTAAACAAATAAACCTTTAGGATGATGCAAAAGCAGAATCTACAGTCACTTTAAAGCAGTGTGATGTAAAGAAAAGGGTGGCAGAGTCTCTTGGTGCTATGGGACCCAAGGACATTTACATTGGTGTGGATAAAATGCCCGGAGTGGTGAAAAACTTTATTGTCATTGTTGGACCATGGTGCATAATGTATTGTTATACCTGCTAATAAAAAATTAAACGGCAATTAACTTAGTTTAGTATGACAATACAACTGTAAGTTTAAGAGTGAAAAATGGGCCAGGTGTGGTGGCTCAGGCCTGTAATCCCAGCACTTTAGGAGGCTGAGGTGGGAGGATCACTTGAGCCCAGGGGTTTGAGACCAACTTGGCAACATAGTGAGACCCCCCCCACCAACACCCCCAACACGCTTGTCTCTATAAAAAATGGTGGTGTGCTCCTGTCGTACGAGCTGCTTGGGAAGCTGAGGTGGGAGGATCGCTTCAGCCCTTGAGGTTGAGGCTGCAATGGATGGTGATCAAGCCACTGCACTCCAGCCTAGGTGACAGAGCAAGACCCTGTCTCAAGAAAAAAAAAAAGTGAAAAATGTCCATATAAAAACTTGCACACTAATGTGCACAGCGGTACTATTTATAATAGCCAAAAAGCGTAAACAATCCACACATCCATCAACTGGGTTGAGGAATAAAATATGGTATATGTGATAATAAAGTGTGGTATATCCACATAATGAAATATTATTTGACAATGAAAAGGAATATGAAGTACTAAAACAATACAACATGGATGAATTTCGCTTCCTTTTTTTGTTGTTCTTTTTATTTTATTTTTTAAGCACCTCTACCAACATGAACATTTTGCAAAGTGAAAGCAACCAGACACAAAGGACCACGTACTGTATGATTCAATTTAAATGAAATGTCCCCAGTAGGCAAATCTATAGAGACAGAAAGTAACATAGTAGTTGCCTAGGGCTAGGAGGGTAACGGGGGACATGGAAAGCAACTGCTAATGGGCACAGCGTTTCTTTCTGGGGGGATGAAAATGTTCTAAAATTGATTGTGGTGGTGGTTGTGCATGTTTATGAATATGCTGATATTTATTGAACTGTACATTTTATTTACTTTTTTTAGAGACAGAGCCTCACTCTGTTGTCCAGGCTGGAGTATAGTACTGCAATCATAGCTCCCCGCAGCTTCATATTCCTGGGCTCAAGAGATCCTTCCACCTCAGCCTCCCACGTAGTTAGGACTACAGGCACATGCCACCATGCCCCGCTAAGTTTTCGTTTTCTTAAAAAAAAAGTTTTTTTAGAGACAGGGTCTAGCTATGTTGCCCAGGCTGATCTCAACTCCTGGTCTCAAGCAATCCTCCCGCCTTGGCCTCAAGAGCATTGGGGTTATAGGTATGAGTCACCGCACCCTCAGTTGTTCATTTTAAATGGGTGAATTTTATGATGTGTGAATTATATTTCTTTCTCTTTTTTTGAGATGGAGTTTCACTCTTGTCGCCTAGGCTGGAGTGCAGTGGTGCGATCTCGGCTCACTGCAACCTCTGCCTCGTGGGTTCAAGCAATTCTCCTGCCTCAGCCTCCCGAGTAGCTGAGATTATAGGCATGCGCCACCATGCCCAGCTATTTTTTTTGTATTATTAGTAGAGATGGGGTTTCACCATGTTGGCAAGGCTAGTCTTGAACTCCTGGCCTCAGCCCCCCAAAGTGCTGGGATTATAGGTGTAAGCCACCACAGCCAGCCCCAACTAGCTGGGACTACAAGCACGTGCCACCACACCTGACTAATTTCTTTTTTTTTTTTTTTTTGTATTTTTAGTAGAGATGGGGTTTTGCCATGTTGGCCAGGCTGGTCTCAAACTCCTGACCTCAGGTGATCCACCCACCTCGGCCTCCTAAAGTGCTGAGATTACAGGCATGAGCCACTGCTCCCGATGGATTATATTTCAATATAATTCAATTATGCAATATAATTGCATAATTGTTATCATCTCTCCCTGATATATTATCGGAATGGATGTGACATCTGAATGGGGATGCTGTTGAGGAAAGAGATTTCATGAAATGTACAGTGAGTGGCATAATTGTGGCTCACTGTAACCTTGAATTCTTGGGCTCAAGTGATCCTTCTGCCTCTGCTCCCCGAGTAGCTGGGACTACAGGCATGTGCCAACACATCTGGCTAATTTTTAAAATTTTTTGTAGAGACAAGGATCTCACTAAGTTGCCTAAACTGGCCTCAAACTCCTAGCCACAAACAATCCTCCCACCTTGGCCTCCCAAAATGCTGGGATTACAGGTGTGAGCCTCCACACTTGGCCACTTACTTTCTTTTTGATTCCTATTTCAGGAGAAAATCATAATCAATTTGCATTTGTGTGGAAAGGCCACCAATGCACATTTAAGCTGCTCCCACAGGACATTTAAATTATCTTGCTTATTGCTACAACCTAATGAGGAACAACTTAGATTTGATTGCACTGGAAAATACTATATCTTTTTTTTGTTTGTTTGAGATGGAGTCTCACTCTGTCACCCAGGCTGGAGTGCAATGGCGAGATCTTGGCTCACTGCAACCTCTGCCTCCCAGGTTCAACTGATTCTCCCGCCTCAGCCTCCTGAGTAGCTGGGATTACAGGCACCCACCATCATGCCCGGCTAATTTTTTTTATTTTTGTAGAGATGGGGTTTCACCATGTGGGCCAGGCTGGTCTTGAACTCCTGACCTCAGGTGATCTGCCCGCCTCAGCCTCCCAAAGTGCTGGGATTACAGGCATGAGCCACTGCGCCCAGCTAATACTATGTCTTATTATATTGATGATAATAATGTTAATCTCTCAATCCAAATATCCAGCTAAGACTGAATTGGAAGTGCTTGTTAATCATATAACCACCAGGGAGGGATGATTAACTGGCTAAAATGCAAGGCTTAGAATAAATGGTAAAATTCTTAGAAATTACTTGGGCTAGGCTGGGTGTGGTGGCTCACGTCTGTAATCCCGGTGTGGGAGCTGAGATTGCGCCACTGCACTTCAGCCTGGGCGACAAGGACAAGAGTGGGAAGCCAAGGCAGGCGGATCACTTGAGGTCAGGAGTTGGAGACCAAGCTGGCCAACATGGCAAAACCTTGTGTCTACTAAAAATACAGAAATTAGCCGCAATTGGTGGCACGTGCCTGTAATCCCAGCTACTCAGGAGGCTGAGGCAGGAGAATTGCTTGAACCCAGGAGGCGGAGGTTGCAGTCAGCCGAGGCCACGCCACTGCACTCCAGCCTGGGTGACAGAGTGAGACTGTCTAAAAAAAAAAAAAAAGGAGGAATTACTTGGGCTAGAGCCACTAGAAACATTCCCAAACAACCAAAATTAAGTTGCTAGCTACAAGACAGAGGAAAAAGGCACGAAAATTAGTTCAATTTCTTGGTTCCTGGAGAAATCACATACCATGTTTGGGAATTTTATCAACCCTTATTCTCGAAGTTAAGAGGGAATGGGGAGCTAATTTACATGGGGCTTTGAAAAATGAACAAATGGGAGACTTTTTGGGAACTTCGAAGAGATTACTTTGGGGCCATAGCACCTCAGTGTTCAAATGATGTTAGCAATGTCAGCAACCGACTCACGCTGATGGAGCTTCTTACCAAAGCCCGTGACTGCCCCTCAGGGATGGTCATGGGGATTTGACACTAGAAAGTTACCCGAGGCTTCTGGCAGGTATATGTCCTTTGAAAAACAGTCATTGGCCTGTTACTGAGCTTCTTTTTTTTTTTTTTTTTTTAAGACGGAGTCTTGCTCTGTCACCCAGGCTGGAGTACCGTGGCGCGATCTCGGCTCGCTGCAAGCTCCACCTCCTGGGTTCACGCCATTCTCCTGCCTCAGCCTCCCGAGTAGCTGGGACTACAGGCGCCCGCCACCACGCCCGGCTAATTTTTTTTGTAGTTTTAGTAGAGATGGGGTTTCACCTTGTTAGCCAGGATGTTCTCCATCTCCTGACCTCGTGATCCACCTGCCTCGGCCTCCCAAAGTGCTGGGATTACAGGCGTGAGCCACCGCGCCCGGCCAGAGCACCGAGACTTAAAACATGAACACAAAATAATGATTTTTTAAAACTGAGTAATTCGATCAAATTGTTGCTGCCAGGCTATACAATTTTGTCTATGTTTTTCTTTAATATAAATGTTCAGTATATGCTCATGTTACCACATTGTGTCCATAACTGATATCTGGAAAGCTTCATGAATGGAGGCAGATGGGTGTCTGTCTTGTTGGTTGCTAGATCCCCAATGTCTAGCACTGTACCTGATATATAGTAGGTGCTTAGTAAATATTTGTTGATTAAGTAGATGAATACTGATGTTTCATAATTTTCCAACAATTTATCTTTTGTGTTGAAATTCCAGGCATTCCTTTAATTCCTGGTTTCTTCGGAAACAGTGGGAAATGCTCTTCTAAGAAAAATCTTACTATAAGGGATCAACCTGCTTTATTTTCCTTTTCAGAAAATGGCCACCCAGCAGAAAGCCTCTGACGAGAGGATCTCCCAGTTTGATCACAATTTGCTGCCAGAGCTGTCTGCTCTTCTGGGCCTAGATGCAGTTCAGTTGGCAAAGGAACTAGAAGAAGAGGAGCAGAAGGAGCGAGCAAAAATGCAGAAAGGCTACAACTCTCAAATGCGCAGTGAAGCAAAAAGGTTAAAGACTTTTGTGACTTATGAGCCGTACAGCTCATGGATACCACAGGAGATGGCGGCCGCTGGGTTTTACTTCACTGGGGTAAAATCTGGGATTCAGTGCTTCTGCTGTAGCCTAATCCTCTTTGGTGCCGGCCTCACGAGACTCCCCATAGAAGACCACAAGAGGTTTCATCCAGATTGTGGGTTCCTTTTGAACAAGGATGTTGGTAACATTGCCAAGTACGACATAAGGGTGAAGAATCTGAAGAGCAGGCTGAGAGGAGGTAAAATGAGGTACCAAGAAGAGGAGGCTAGACTTGCATCCTTCAGGAACTGGCCATTTTATGTCCAAGGGATATCCCCTTGTGTGCTCTCAGAGGCTGGCTTTGTCTTTACAGGTACCTTGAAATTATTCTCTGAAGTGTTTCTCTGGCGTTTTAAGTTTAGGTTTTATTTTTCAATTGCTTTTGCAATATTTTGCTAAACTTTCTTCACTGGTTAAATGTGTTATATTAGGTATAAGGTCTAGTTTATTAAAATTCAACATCAATATTTTTATTTTTGCTTCATTTTCTATTTAGTACAGCCTGTGTTAATTTGTCAAATATATATAAAATAAGAAAGTTACGTCTCCTTAAACTTGGACCTTAGAAAATACTGGCTGTATTCTTAAGGTCCTGAAAAGATTAAATAACTCATGCGGTCATCCTGATCCCAGTCTCCTCACCCACCCTCCTTCTACTGCTCTTACATGATCTTTCTTTGATTCTTCTCATTGCTGCAGTATTGGAGGGTTTTGTTTGTTTGTCCTAGCCCCGCCATAGGGGTTATGATATATAAATCAGAGTTCTAACAATAACAACGATCATTTACTGAGTACTGTACCTACTTTATGCTAGGCATAGAGTGAGTACTAATTCTTATCCAATGAATTTACCCCTTTCTCTCCCATTTCACAGCTGAGTTCATGGAGGCTCAGAGACTTTAAGAAACATGCCTATGTTTCTACCGAAATGTCATGGCAAGGCTAAAACGTAGGTTTTCTAATTGCACGTTACTTCAGCTGGTCCTGGTGTTAGTCGGCTTCCCTATCACTTTGACCCTGAGAGCTCAAAGAGCAACATACCAGCTCTGGGGGGCAGCTGGGGCAGGATATTGAGTTACACAGCTTAGGGTTCTGTACCTAGAGCACGGCTGTGGTGGAGGGGCCCATTTTGGGTGGTGGGATTGAGGATGGAGACTCAGGCCAATGAGATCGGGAGTGCACAGCCACGCTGGAGCTTGTCTTGCTCCTGAACAAAACAATCAACTCTGTGTACATACCCCCTGGTGCCACTGCCAGGCAATCTAAATATTTTCCTTCATATATAGGTAAACAGGACACGGTACAGTGTTTTTCCTGTGGTGGATGTTTAGGAAATTGGGAAGAAGGAGATGATCCTTGGAAGGAACATGCCAAATGGTTCCCCAAGTAAGTAGATAATTTTTGCTTAAATGTTTCTTTCTTTTTTTTTTGAGACAGTCTTGCTCTGCCACCCAGGCTGGAGTATAGTGGCATGACTTCAGCTCGGTGCAAATTCTCCCTCCCTGGTTCAGGTGATTCTCCTGCCTCAGCCTTCTGAGTAGCTGGGATTATAGGTGTGCACCACCAAGATGGGCTAATGTTTGTATTTTTAGCAGAGATGGGGTTTTGCCATGTTGCCCAGGCTGGTCTTGAGCTCCTGAGCTCAGGCAGTCCACCCACCTAGGCCTCCCGAAGTGCTAGGATTACAGGCGTGAGCCACTGTGCCTGGCTAAATTTTTCAGTTCTTTAAAAGACAAAATGAAAGACAAAAGAGCCACCTTTCTGGAGTAGCACCTTCAGTTTTGATCTTTCCCTATTCAAAATTGGACCACTCCAGGATTTATTCAAGCAGGAAAGGCCTAATTACATTGTGAAAAGTTTGAATTATAGAATTTTAAACAGTTTTTAAGTATTTCATTATCCCAAATTCTAAGATAGGTTTTGCCCAGTAGAAGTTTCATGATCTGCCTTAATTAATAAATAAGGCTGGAAGTGGTGGCCCACACCTGTAACCCCAGCACTTTGGGAGGCCAAGGCAGGAGGATTGCTTGAAATCAGGAGTTTGAGACCAGCCTGGCATGTAGAGACCCTGTTTCTACAAAAATAAAAAAAATTGGCCAGGCGCGGTGGCTCACACCTGTAATCCCAGCACTTTGGGAGGCTGAGGCCGGTGGATCCGAGGTCAGGAAATCAAGACCATCCTGGCTAACACGGTGAAACCATGTCTCTACTAAAAATACAAAAAATTAGCCGGGAACGGTGGCGGGTGCCTGTAGTCCCAGCTACTTGGGAGGCTGAGGCAGAAGAATGGTGTGAACCCGGGAGGCAGAGCTTGCAGTGAGCCGAGATAGCGCCACTGCACTCCGGCCTGGGCGACAGAGTGAGACTCCGTCTCAAAAAAAAAAAGTTAGCCAGGCATGGTGGCGTGTACCTGCAGTCCTAGCTACTTGCGAGGCTGAGGCAGGAAGATTGCTAGAGCCCAGGTAGTCAAGGCTGCATTGAGCCGTGATCAAGCCACTGTGCTCCAGCCTGGGTGACAGAGTGAGACCCTGTCTCTAAAACTAATTAAATAAGTAATAATAATTTCCATAGGGGTGGTGTAAAATGGTGTATGCTGGAAGGTAAAAAATATTTAAACATTATTACAAATGGTTTCATGTACTGCTAAATATATACCAAATGAAAACACTGTATTTTTAAACCTCAGAAAGAGTTTTTATTACTGCAGTGGTCTTTAGTTCCTGGCTTAGAAAAGGAAGTACATTTTAATTATTTTTAATGCTATATTTACTAGTATTTTCTACATGACTTTCTTTGTTTCTACCAAGTACAGATTCATTCCTTTAACAAGTTTTTAAACTTTCACTGTGTAAAATTTCATACAAAGATAGAATAGTGTAATAAATACTTGTCAACACATAGCCAAATCATATTTCATCCATCTCCTACCCACCTTTTTTCCTGGAAATAATAACAATAACTATATTTTTATTTTATTTTATTTGAGACAGAGTCTCGCCCTGTTGCCCAGTGGTACGATCTTGGCTCACTGCAACCTCCACCTCTCAGGTACAAGTGATTCTTGTGCCTCAGCCTCCGAGTAACTGAGATTACAGGCATGCACCACCACACCTGGCTAATTTTTGTAATTTTAGTAGAGATGCGGTTTCATCATGTTGCCCAGGCTGGTCTGAAATTCCTGGCCTCAAGTGATCCACCCACCTTGGATTCCCAAAGTGCTAGGATTACAAGCATGAGCCACCTGTGCCTGACCAAGATTTGTTGTTTTCTTTCTTTCTTTTCTTTTTTTTTTTTTTTTTGAGAGTGAGTTTTGCTCTGTTGCCCAGACTGGAGCCCAGACTGGAGTTTAGTGGTGCAATCTCAGCTCACTGCAACCTCCACCTCTCAGACTCAAGCAATCCTCCCACCTCAGCGTCCTGAGTAGCTGGGACCACAGGTGCCTACCACCATGCCCAGCTAATTTTCATATCTTTTATAGCGACAAGGTTTCACTTTGTTGCCCAGGCTGGTCTGGAACTCCTGGTTCTACAAACTCCTGGGCTCAAGTGATCCTCCCACCTCAGCCTCCCAAAGTGCTGGGATTACAGGCATGAGCCACTGTGCTCAGCCCCTTAAGATTTTTAATTCGTAGATTTCCTCTTTATCCATCTCTTTTTTCTTGTCACTTATTTGTTAAAGAAGCCATGTAATCTGTCCTGTAAAATTCCCTCTACTCTAGATTTGGCAGAATGTGTTCCTCTGGCATAGTCTAACATGTTCCTCTACCTTCTGCATTTCCAGGAACCTGACACTTGGATCTAGCAGTTTGGTCAGGCTCAGATTCTATTTTCTTTCTTTCTTTTTTTTTTTTTTTTTTTTTTGTGACAGTCTCACTCTGTTGCCCAGGCTTGAGTGCAGCGGTGCAATCTTGGCTCACTGCAACCTCTGCCTCCTGGGTTCAAGCGATTCTCCTGCCTCACCCCACCCAGGTCTGGGATTATAGGTGCGCACTGCCACACCTGACTAGTTTTTGTATTTTTAGTAGAGACGGGGTTTCTCCATATTTGCGAGGCTGGTCTCGAACTCCTGACTTCAGGCAGTCCACCTGCCTCGGCCTCCCAAAGTGCTGGGATTATAGGCATGAGCCACCGTGCCCAGCCTCAGATTCTATTTTCTTTAACAAATATTTGTCACACACCTACTACATGCAAAGTTGTTGGTTGGATACTAAATTAACTACAAAACTGGACACAGTTATTTACATTTATAAGTCATCTTGCACATGGACAGCCATGCCCACAAAAGTGAATGGAGGCCCGGCATGGTGGCTCATGCCTGTAATCCCAGCACTTTGGGAGGCTAAGGTAGGCGGATCATTTGATGTCAGTAGTTCAAGACCAGCCTGGCTAACATGGTAAAACCCTGTCTCTATTAAAAATACAAAAATTGGCCAGGCGTGGTGGCAGGCACCTGTAACCCCAGCTACTTGGGAGGCTGAGGCAGGAGAATTGCTTGAGCCCGGGAGGCAGAGGTTGCAGTGAGCTGAGATTGCACCACTGCACTCCAGCCTGGTCAACACAGCGAGACTCCATCTCAAAAAAAAAAAAAAAAAAAAAAAAGGCTGGGCACAGTGGCTCACACCTGTGATCCCAGCACTTTGGGAGGCCAAGGCGGGCAAATCACTTGAGGCCAGGAGTTCATTCAAGTGATGAACTCTCCTCTCCCCTCTTCCCTCTCTCCTCTCTCCTCTCCTATCTCCCCTCTTCCCTGGCCAACATGGTGAAACCCCATCTCTACTAAAAATACAAAAATGAGCCGAGCGTGGTGGTGCGTGCCTATGGTTCCAGCTACTCGGGAGGCTGAGGCAAGAAATTGCTTGAACCTGGGAGGCGGAGGTTGCAGTGAGCCAAGATCACTCCACTGCACAGCAGCCTGGGCAACAGAGTGAGACTCCATCTCAAAAGAAAAAAAAAGTGAATGGATATCTTTGATATGTTTTGATACGTTGTGTGGGAAAGCAATATGCACAATAAGTGCAGTGTGAGACTTTGAAAATGTTTAAAACCACTCAAACTATATATGGAGTTGCTTGAAAATATATAGAAAACCTTATGAAAATATGTAAACCAAACTGTAGATACTTCTGGATCTGGATTTGTCAGGGGGTGAAGTAGTGATGGATTTTCACATTTATTTTGTTCATTGCTGTCTTGTTTAAATTTTTGGAAACAAGTATATATTACTTTCATAGTTGAAAAGAAAGTGAGGAGATTAGGAGGGAGGAAGTAAACAAGGGAGGAGAGGAGAAAGGCAGGAAGAGGAGAGAGAGAAAGTTAGACAAGTAGATGAGATGGTTATAGGGACGAATGAAGCTAGAATTGTGAAATCATTTGACAGTCACTCTGGCTCCCTGACGAATCAAAACAGCCACCCAGGCAGTCCTTGTCCATGCTGACAGTGCACCATATATGCATATGTAACAGGGAACAGCAGCCCCGGCTGGAGCACAAGCCGCTGCTCGTGGGCACCTGTCTCAGCTCTAGCCTCAGCTCAGGCTTCACTTAGCCTCAGGGTCACTGTGTTTAGTGTCGCTGGGTTATACACTGGACAAGTACCAGTGGCACCACTCACAC
Organism: Homo sapiens; assembly: GCF_000001405.40. Classification (NCBI taxonomy): domain Eukaryota; kingdom Metazoa; phylum Chordata; class Mammalia; order Primates; family Hominidae; genus Homo; species Homo sapiens. The sequence continues at coordinate 403,796 of NW_003315917.2, forward strand.
ATGATCACATTATCATGTGACTAGCACCTACTAGAGCCGCACATCCTGTCTGCAGGGGCCTTCATATGCCTTCTCTAACATAGTCAGAGGGTAAGGTAATAAGCACAGGGAGGGGAGACAGCAGTCCAGCAACCACTCCTAGAGAGGAAGGAGTTCAGGCCAGCAAACAAGGGCAGGGGGTAGTGCAGAGGCTTAGGAGATAGAGCCAGGCTTGAATCTGCTGCTACCTGACTACCAGACCCTAGGCAGGTGACTGACCTTGTCTGAATCTCATATGTAAAATGCAGTGTCAACAACAACAAAAAAATTAGAGACAGATATCCCCAAATATGTCAAATTTATTCAGGAATAAGAAAAGAGGGTTATGATTTGGAATGCACTACTGTAAACCACAGGCACGTGCAGTGAGGGAAGAGTAAAGGGAATTTTTCTTGGCAAAAGGGAGAAGTTCACATAAGCTGCTTAGAAACAGAGTTCATAGCTGGGCATGGTAGCTCATACGTGTAATCACAGCTATGTGGGAGGCTGAGGCGGGAGGGTCTTTGGAGGCCAGGAGTTTGAGACCAGCCTGGGCAATGTGATGAGGCTCCAGTTTCTTTAGAGAGAGAGGAGAGAGGGGAGAGGGGAGAGGAGAGAGAAGACAGGGGACGGGGGAGAGGGGAGAGGAGAGAGGGCAGAAGAGAATTCCTTGGTTCTGAAGGCTCAAAGCCAGAGTTCTTGTGTGTTCATTGGTGGAGATGCTGTTCCTGGGCAGGTGTTCTTTTGACAGCATCTCATCTCATGTTATCTTATCTGAATTGCTGCAGTCCAAAAGAATGTGCAGTGATAAACCTTGCCATAGAAATATGTGCGTACATGCAAGCAATGCAAAGCAGGAGATGCGTGACAGGCGTGAAGGGATTTCTTATGGGATTCTTAGAAAGTCTTTGGAACCGTTCCTGTCTTGGACATGAAAGCCTGAACCCCACTCCTTCGTGCCTTCCCAGCCCTATTTTGTGTGGGTCTGATAAAAGTGATTTCATCTTGGTATCTGCGACTTCCACAGCAGATAATAATGTACAGCTTGTCTGGTGGTTGTAAGGATGAGAAACAAAGTATATGGATCAAATGCTTTGTAAAAATTACCATGTATAATGTGAGGATGACAGATGACCAACTGTTTTGCCTTTCATTTGTTTGTCGTCATAAGCACATGGTCAGTCAATAAAATCTAAGAGCTGGAATTAGAGCAAGAATCCCCAAGTTTCTTGTTGGGTTACTCTGTCTTTAGCTTTCTGGACTTCAATTTGTTGCTTCTTTTTATCAACTGTCAACAAAATGAGTATACCCTTACACTTTTTAAAATGTGGCACTCCATAAATGTAAGATGATTTTATGGTAACTTTTTAAGGTACTGAGTTCCTCCTCAATCCATATAAATCATGAGGACAGGGAACCACCCCGTGCATTGTGTGCCATGTAGGTTATGTGCAGACTTACGGCAATCCTTGGAAACATTTATACACCTGAAAACTGGGAACCCTGGCTGCCTATCACATAGAATCATGGCCCTGGGGAAATATGCAGATCATCTGATGGCATCCATGTTCTCCTGTGATTATAAGAGAACATGGCAAGGTTGGTCACATCCCCACTGGTGGAAGAGCGGGTACTAATGCTCCAGCCTTTGGGTTCCCAGCCCATTCTTTGCTACAGCACCATAGAAAGAAAACTTAAATTTGAATTGGAGGGATTTTTATTTTTATTTTTATTTTTTTTGAGACAGAGTCTCTCTCTGTTGCCCAGGCTGGAGTGTAGTGGTACAATCATGACTCACTGCAAACTCTGCTTCCCAGGTTCAAGTGATCCTCCCGCCTCAGCCTCCCAAGCAGCTGGGATTACAGGCGCCCGCCACCATGCCTGGCTAATTTTTGTATTTTCAGTAGAGATGGGGTTTCACCATGTTGACCAGGCTGGTCTCAAACTCCAGGCCTCAAGTGATCCACCCGCCTCAGCCTCCAAAAGTGCTGGGATTACAGGCATGATCCCCCATGCCCAGCTGAATTGGAGGAAATTTTAAAAGTTAATTTTAAAACTGCTTCTCTTTTATGGGAAAGGAATATGTTTTTAAATGGTATTCAGTGTGCTCTTTTTTAAAAAAATCAAAAATTATCCATTAACATCCGTTACTTTTTTTGTTTTTGGTTTTTTTTGAGATTGAGTCTTGCTCTGTTGCCCAGGCTAGAGTGCAGTGGCATGATTTCAGCTCACTGCAACCTCCACCTCCCAGGTTCAAGCGATTCTCCTGCCTCAGCCTCCCAAGTAGCTGGGATTACAGGCGCCTGCCACCACACCCAGCTAATTTTTGTACTTTTAGTAGAGACAGGGTTTCACCATCTTGGCCAGGCTGGTCTCGAACTCCTGACCTCGTGATCCACCTGTCTCGGCCTCCCAAAGTGCTGGGATTCCAGGCGTGAGCCATCACGCCTGGCCTAATAGCCATTACTTTTTAATGCATGGTAATTTTTTGTTCAGTAGATAAATATATTGTTATCTTAAAAAGATTTTTTGTATTTACTTTTGAGACTGGGTCTCAGTCTGTTGCCCAGGCTGGAGTGTAGCAGCCTGATCATGGCTCAGTGCAGCCTCTACCTCCCCGGGCTCAGGTGATCCTCCCCCTTCAGCCTCCTGAGTAGCTGGGACTACAGAGGTGTGGCACCATGCCCGGCTAATTTTTGTATTTTTTGTGGAGATGGGGTTTTGCCATGTTGCCCAGGCTAGTCTTGAACTCCTGGATGTGAGCCACTGCGTCTGGCCTATTATTTTAAATATAGTTCTCTTTACTGCCAGTAGCTTTCATATAACCCTAGCGACTAGATTTAGTCACCACTGCTTAATTCCAAAAAACAAAAGCTCCATCCTATATTTACTGTAAATCAGTCTCTTTGATTGTATTGCATGTTTTATTTCAAGAAAAAAGTTAACCTGAAGATTTAATTTTAAATAACTACACATGTTGTCACTAATAGAAATAACAAATAATTATATGAGAATAATGGTAATTCTCCTAAGTTTTGTGGTAAATTTTTTGGCAATTTTATTGAAGTATAATAAAATTCAACAATTCAATACGTCTTTATAAATGTTCATTGTGATATAGGACAGCTCTATCACAGTACTGGGGTAAATTTTAATTATATTTATTAATTACAGATGTGAATTTCTTCGGAGTAAGAAATCCTCAGAGGAAATTACCCAGTATATTCAAAGCTACAAGGGATTTGTTGACATAACGGTAATGTATAACAGCAATTTTTTTCTCAAGTTTTTGGATTACCTGTAAGTGTCTGACTCAGAAGGGCATAGGCATTCTTTTTATGTCATGGGTTTGATTTCTTTCTTCCTTTCTCCTTTCATTCCCCTGGCTCCCATCTTCAAAGTGAAAAATATCACATTCACTTGCTGACCTAGAGCCTTTTTCTTTTTCCAGGGCTGGCTTCTGACGGGCTCTGCTTGCCTTCCTGATAGTCTTCCCCTTTATGAATGAAGCCACTTGCCCCAGCTTCCCTCTGCTGCCCCTATCTGCAGGCTTGCTAAGATCTCCTGACCTAGGCGCTGTCACCCACAGTGGGCTGCAGAGCTGGCTCTTCCTAGCTGGCTAACTATCCTGAATCAGTAAAAATTTCCTAGTGGAGAGTGATGGGAAATCGAATCCAAACTGGCTTAAACAAAAATGAGAATTTATTGATTAACATGACTCAGGAGACCAGAACTCTATAGAGAACATGGCCTGACAGTGGGGGAAGAGAGGTGTTTCCTCAAAAAGAAATTGGGTGCAGCTTTCCCAGAAGAATCAGTTGCTCAATATATAATACCCTGATGAATTTAGTTACCATTCTATGTCTCTTACTTCCTCATTCTTCAAAGTACATCTGTGATATTTAAATGCAGGTCTGTTTTCAAGGTCAGTTTCCGGAAACAGTGACCCTGAGAAGGCTTCCTCCTGAGTATGCATAAACATTCACAGCTTGCATGCGTGTGTGTGTGTGTGTGTGTGTGTGTATGTTTGCTTGCACTGCATAAAAACAATTGCAACATCAACAGAAATAAAAATTAAAGGAATAATTCTCCTCCGACTCTGCCGTTCCATCCAGTGAAACTCTTCATTCTGGGGTAAAGTTCCTTCAGTTCTTGTTCATAGATAGGTATATACTTCATAAGTCAAACAATCAGGCTGGGTGCAGTAGCTCATGCCTGTAATCCCAGCCCTTTGGGAGGCCGAGCTGGGCAGATCACTTGAGATCAGGTGTTCGAGACCAGCCTCAAGACCTCCAACATGGGCCGGGTGCAGTGGCTCACGTCTGTAATCCCAGCACTTTGGGAGGCCGAGACGGACGGATGATGAGGTCAGGAGATAGAGACCATCCTGGCTAACATGGTGAAACCCCATCTCTACTAAAAATACAAAAAAAAAAAAAAATTAGCCCGGCATGGTGGCAGGCGCCTGTGGTCCCAGCTACTCGGGAGGCTGAGGCAGGAGAATGGCGTGAACCTGGGAGGCGGAGCTTGTAGTGAGCCAAGGTCGTGCCACTGTGCTCCAGCCTGGACGACAGAGCGAGACTCTGTCTCAAAAAAAAAAAAAAAAAAAAAAAAGACCTCCAACATCGTGTCTGTCTCTACTAAAAATACAAAAAAAAAAAAAAAAATTAGCCGGGTGTGGTGGCACATGCCTGTACTACTCGGGAGGCTGAGGCAGGAGAATCACTTGAACCCAGGAGGCGGAGGTTGCAGTGAGACGAGAACCTGCCACTGCACTTCAGCCTGAGCAACAGAGTGAGACTCTGCCTCAAAAAAAAAAAAAAAAAAAAAAGTCAGATAATCAACAACTTGAATTTTAATTTCCCTCAGGGAGAACATTTTGTGAATTCCTGGGTCCAGAGAGAATTACCTATGGCATCAGGTAAAAACTCAAACATTTTCCAAAGGCTTTGCTTGTTTATTTCTTCTTTTGATTTTTTGTCCCTATCTCTTTTTGTCGTCCCCCCCGCCCCGCCCCGTTTATTTTGAAGCAAACTCTAGACATCATTCCATCTGTAACTGTGAAGGGACAACTTGAACGCTGATACTTGCAATATCAAAGCCTACTGGTCTCTTTAATTTGTGCAGCAGCAATAAAGATATAGAAAAAAAAAAGACTAAAGCCTGCTGGTCTCACCTTGTGCTTTTTATTCAAGCTTATTGCAATGACAGCATCTTTGCTTACGAAGAACTACGGCTGGACTCTTTTAAGGACTGGCCCCGGGAATCAGCTGTGGGAGTTGCAGCACTGGCCAAAGCAGGTCTTTTCTACACAGGTGAGTCAGTAGGTTGTGCCCACTTGCTTGCTTGACCTTTAATTCCCACATAGACTTTATGCTCCTGGGCTTACGTTTAGCTACACTCAGCAATGTCCACTAGCTTCAGCGTTTCTTTTTCTTTTCTTTTTTTTTCCCCCTTGGAGACAGAGTTGCCCAGGCTGGAATGCAGATCTTGGCTCACTGCAACCTCCACCTCCCGGGTTCAAGAGATTCTCCTTCCTCAGCCTCTGGAGTAGCTGGAACCACAGGCGCCTGCCACCACGCCCAGCTACTTTTTTGTATTTTTAGTAGAGACAGGGTTTCACCATGCTAGTCAGAATGCTCTTGATCTCCTGATCTCGTGATCTGCCCGCCTTGGCCTCCCAAATGCTGGGATTACAGGTGTGAGCCATCGCGCCAGGCCTCTCTTCAGCATTTCTTATAGATTCGTTTTCTTTTCTTTCTATTTTTTTTGAGACATGGTCATCCAGGCTGGAGGGCAGTGGCGAGATCATGGCTCACTGCAGCCTCAACCTCCTGGGCTCAAGTAATCCTCCTGCCTTGGCCTCCCAAAATGCTGGGATTACAGGTGTGAGCCACTGCACCTGGCATACATCTCTTTTCTTTCCTGCATCATAAATCCTCTCCCAGTTTTCTATTCCTCCCTTAGGTGGTAAACCTTCAAATTTGAAACCTTAAGGTCTGGACTAACAATGAATACAAGTATTCTATTTGTGATAATTATCATGTCTTTTCTTTCTACACATTACTCTCCTCACCTCTTGTCCCCTGACAAAGTGCTCCTAGAAACTGTCACAGGACACTTCTGCTTATATTTCTTTAATCAGAACTTAGTTGGATGGGCCGGGCATGGTGGCTCACGCCTGTAATCCCAGCACTTTGGGAGGCCGAGGTGGGTGGATCACCTGAGGTCAGGAGTTTGAGACCAGCCTGGCCAATATGGTGAAACTCTGTCTCTACTAAAAATACAAAGAATTAGCCAGGCATGGTGGCGGGTGCCTGTAATCCCAGCTACTTGGGAGGCTGAGGCAGGAGAATCGCTTGAACCTGGGACGTGGAGGTTGCGGGGAGTCAAGATCATGCTATTGCACTCCAGCCTGGGCAACAAGAGTGAAACTCTGTCTCAAAAATAATAATAATAATAATAATAATTATTATTATTATTATTATTAGTCAGATGACCATACCTAGCTGTAAGAGGAGCTGGGAAACCTAATCTTTTTCCTGGGTGACAATGTGCCCAGCTAAATATTGGGATTTCTATTAGTATGGAAGGATTTGAGATAATAGGAACATGGATAGCAATCTTTGCCACATTCTGCCTGCAGGAGAAAATCAGGAAATTAATTTTCATGATTCCTAAACATGTAGAGCCTTCCACCAGATTGTGGCATTTTCTCTTTAGCTGCTGGTCATTAGGAAGCACCTCTGCAATCTATAAATGATGGGCTGGTTCCTGTCAGCTAAATCTCTGCCTGAAATACAAGATGATCAGGGAAAGGTTCCTAGGTACCTTGCTGGTCTTGCTCAAACCGAACACATGCATAAGTTACAGTGGAGGTTAATGCAGATCTTTAACTGAGAGATCAAGTAGTTGTCACAAATACCATAGAGCAACACAGAGAAGCAGAATATAGTTGTCACTCTACCTAACAGACATGTGCCATTGGAAAAAAAAAATCTGACTGCCTCACAATCTTAAGCCTTTGGAAAGAGTGTTTGCCATTTCTCCCTACTCTACTGTGTCTTCCTCTTGTCAGCCTTCCGCAAGACCCCTCTGACCAGTGTGCTCCCCCTCTTCCTTTCCAATCCTCCACCACTCCACACAAATCCTAATCATCTCTGACTGTTTTCAGATCTTGCAAGCTCTAGGATCTCATATTTCTGGGAGGCTTTCCTCTGCCCCAGCTTTCCCAGAGTGGAAGGAAGATGAGAAATGCTCTGTTTCTAGTTTGATCCTTTTGCAGAGCTAAATACCAATTTCTTTCCAAAGAAATATAATTTCACAAAGAGACTTAATCCTATTTCTGGTGTAATAAACATGGCAATAATGTGGTAAGAGGCAATTAATTCTTCATGCATTCACTTACATAAGGGCTGCTAGATTTGCTGGTATTTTTTTTTCCGTGAGCTCTAAATATATTCTTTCTGATTCATTCATTAAACGAATACTAATTGAGTGCCACATGAGTGTCAAGCACTTTTCTAGGTTCATGTCATTCATTAGTGAGCAAAAACCTCTACCCTCATAGAGCTTATTTTTATTTTTATTTTTTGAGACAGAGTTTCACTCTTGTTGCCCAGGCTGGAGTGCAATGGCGTTATCTTGGTTCACTGCAACCTCCGTCTCCTGGGTTCAAGCGATTCTTGTGCCTCAGCCTCCTGAGTAGCTGGCATTACAGGCATGTGCCACCATGCCCAGCTAATTTTTGTATTTTTAGTAGAGACAGGGTTTCACCGTGTTGGCCAGGCTGGTCTCAGACTCCTGACCTCAGGAGATCCGCTGGCCTTGGCCTCCCAAAGTGCTGGGATTACAGGCATGAGCCACTGCGCCCAGCCCCCTCATGGAGCTTCAATTCCAGATTCTGGTTGCCAATCTGTTTGTTGATCAAAGGAGAATGGGGCAGAGGGATGGTGTGCATCAAAGTGCATGGTGTGTAGGAGCATTCAATGACTACTTGCCAGTTACCCCATTGGTGGACAGAGTCTTATATAGAAAATTGCCTCACTGGTAACCAACTTCTGACTGTCACAAAACCCAACTGGAGACTGAATAGGCTTTCACTATTACAGGTCTGGTGGTTATTATCTGCATGTTAATGGACAGATGCCCATGCCAGTGGCACTGATCAAGTTTCCTTACTTTTAGGTATAAAGGACATCGTCCAGTGCTTTTCCTGTGGAGGGTGTTTAGAGAAATGGCAGGAAGGTGATGACCCATTAGACGATCACACCAGATGTTTTCCCAAGTGAGTGGAATGAATGTTAACCATCTGCAACTTTGGATGCACTTCAACAGTTTTTTTCTTTTTCCTCATTTCCTGCCTTATTTTATCTTTAGATTGAGTCTTTATCCACTCCTCGGATTCAGGCTATGAAGGATGAGTCTTCATGTCTTTCATCCCTTTGCTCCATGACCCCCTTCCTGTACTAGCCTTCCCCTCTTTATAGTTATGGCATAGTTTTGGCTAGATTCATATATTCACATTACATGTTTACATTATCATGACTATACAAATGCTATGTGGAGCTGAAGCTTGTGGTAAATTTTTATTTATTTTCCCTTCCTGTATATCCTTTTATTTTTTTAGGAAGTAATAACTGTCCTGTTGGTATGTTAGCTTATTTTTTTTTCCTGAGGTAAAATTCAGGTAGTAACCATTTTATTTATTTATTTATTATTTTTTGTGACAGGTTCTCTCTCTTGCCCAGGTTGGAGTGCAGTGGTGCAATCATGGCTCACTGCAGCCTTGACCTCTCTGGCTCAAGCAATCTTCCTCGCTCAGCCTCCCAAGTAGCTGGGACTACAGGCACATGTCTTCACACCCAGCTAATTTTTTTTTTTTTTTTTTAAGAGACAGGGTCTCTCTATGTTGCCCAGGCTGCTCTCAGACTTCTAGGCTCAAGCAGTCTTCCCATCCTGGCTTCCCAAAGTGCTGGGATTATAGGCGTGAGCCACCATGCACAGCAATTAAACCATTTTAGAGTACACAATTCTGTGGCATTTATTATAGTACATTCACAATGTTGTGCAACCACCCCCTCTATCTAGTTCCAAAACACTTTCATCGCCCCCAAAGAAAACTCTGTATCCATCAAGCAGGCCCCCCTCCTCTCTCCACCCCACTCCATGCCCAGCCCCTGGGATACACCAACCTAATTGGTGTCTATGGATTTATTTGTTCTGACTATTTCCTCTAAATGGAAGCATACCGTTTGACCTTTTGCATTTGGATTCTTTCACTTGGCATATTGTTTTGAAGTTTATCCATGTTGTAGCTTGCATAAGTACTTCCTTCCTTTTGAGACCAAGTAATATTCCATATGGATACACTGCATTTTATTTATCCATTCATCTATTTGTAGATATTTGGGTTGTTTCTACCTTTTGGCTACCATGAGTAATACCGATAGGAACATTTGGGTACAGGTATCTGATGGAGCATGTAACTGTATTCAAGTCTCTGGGGCATATACCTAACAACGATATTGCTAGCTGTATAGTAATTCTATGTTTTTACTTTTTTTTTTTTTTTCTCACACAGAGTCTCACTCTGTCGCTCAGGCTGGAGTGCAGCGGTGCGATCTCAGCTCACTGCAACCTCCGCCTCCCAGGTTCAAGCAATTTTCCTGCCTCAGTCTCCTGAGTAGCTGGGATTACAGGTGTCTGCCACCATGCCCGGCTAATTTTTTGTATTTTTAGGGTTTCACCATGTTGGCTAGGCTGGTCTCAAACTCCTGACCTCAAGTGATCCACCTGGCTTGGCCTCCCAAAGTGCTGGAATTACAAGCGTGAGCCACAGCGCCTGGCCTGTTTTAACTTTTTGAGGAAATGCTAAACTGTTTTTTCCACAGTGCTTGCACCATTTTAAATTCCCACCAACAACAATGTTGTGCAACCACCCCCTCTATCTAGTTCCAAAACACTTTCATCGCCCCCAAAGAAAACTCTGTATCCACTAAGCAGGCCCTCCTTCTCTCTCCACCCCACTCCATGCCCAGCCCCTGGGATACACCAACCTAATTGGTGTCTATGGATTTATTTGTTCTGACTATTTCCTCTAAATGGAAGCATACAGTTTGACCAACAATGTATGAGGTTTCCCATTTCTCATCAACACTTTTCTATTTTTAAAAAAATTATAGCCATCTGCTTAATTTTTTTTTTTTTTTTTTTTTTTTTTTTGAGATGGAGTCTCACTTTGTCGCCCAGGCTGGAGTGCAATGGCGTGATCTCACTCACTGCAACCTCCGCCTCCTGGGTTCATGCCATTCTCCTGCCTCAGCCTCCCGAGTAGCTGGGACTACAGGCACCTGCCATCACGCCCGGCTAATTTATTTTTTATTTATTTTTTTAGTAGAGACGGGGTTTCACCGTGTTAGCCAGGATGGTCTCCATCTCCTGACCTTGTGATCCACCCGCCTCAGCCTCCCAAAGTGCTCTGATTACAGGCGTGAGCCACCGCGCCCGGCCAGCCATCTGCTTAATTTTTATGTACATTGCTTATTTTTGTTTCTTGAGATAAAATTCATGTATTAATAATTTTATTTATTTAAATGAAATAAATGAAGACGAACACCAGCTCATCTTCAACTTATCCCAAATGTTTAAATCTCCTCTTAAGTCATTCAGACCTACCAGATATCTCATCATTTTCATTTCTTGAAAGAGTCATCATTTTTTTTTTCTTTTTCTTTTTTTTTTGAGACGGAGTCTGGCTCTGTCACCCAGGCTGGAGTGCAGTGGCATGATCTCGGCTCACTGCAGACTCTGCCTCCCAGGTTCAAGCAATTCTTCCTGCCTCAGCATCCCAAGTAGCTGGGACTACAGGCATGCACCACTATGCCTGGCTAATTTTTGTATTTTTAATAGAGATGGAGTTTTGCCACGTTGGCCAGGCTAGTTTCAAACTCCTGACCTCAAGTGATCCGCCTGCCTCAGCCTCCCAAAGTGCTGGTATTACAGGCGTGAGCCACTGCGGCTGGTCCATTTTCATCTTGAAATGAGTTTCCCTGGAAGTCTTCTGGCCTGCTGGATTATGAACAACTTGTCCTATAATCATCCTGGGATCCAGGGATCTTTCTTCACAGGCATCCTGGAGATTATCTCCTCTGTTGTATCTCCTGGATCTAATGTCATCCTCTTCTTGGTTCACTCGCTCATTTTGTTGGAACACTTCATCGGAGTTCCCTGGGAAAGACTGCATAAGAAATACACACTTTTAGTTGCATATAATGCATATACAGACATATAGATCTATCTAGATATATGTTTTTCCTGTATTCTCACACTTATTTGATAGTTTAGCTAGGTGTAGAATTATAGGTTGGAAGTCATTTTAATTCTAAATTGTAGAGGCACTGCTACATTTCTACTGGTTCCTAATGTGCTGTCGAGAAGTTCCATGCCTTTCTGCTTGTCAATCCTTTTACTGCAAACAAAATTTTTTTTTTTCCTGTGCTGGAAGCTTTCAGAAAAATATCTGTTCTAAAATTTTATGAAGAAATATTTCTTTTCTATGAATCTTTAAACTTAATTTTTTTTTACCCATCAAACTCTTTAGAAATGTTTAATTGCAAGAAGAAATTTGTGTTTTCACTATGTAATTAGTAAGAGTTTTTTTTTTAGAAATGAATATGAACACATACAGATTTTAAAATGAATGCTTCCTGCTCATTTGTATAGTGGTAAAAACAAAAATAAAACAAAATGAATACTTCTATCTAATTTTATTGCCTTGAAGGTATTTTGATAGCAGTAGTTACCTCATTTTTCTTTCTTATTTGGGCTTAGTGTATAATAAATTATTGAGAACAATGGGGACATTCTACTTAATTCTTGGAAGGATAAGCTAGGATGCAGTCTAGTCTTATTTAGAACTTACTCTGGAATCGATCAACTCCCTTTTATACTATTATTATTATTATTAGTTTTAGTGTTTTGTTGTTGTTGTTTTTGAGATGGAGTCTCACTCTGTCACCCAGGCTGGAGTGCAGTGGCGTGATCTCGGCTCACTGCAACCTCCGCCTCCCGGGTTCAAGCGATTCTCCTGCCTCAGCCTCCCAAGTAGCTGGGATTACAGGTACCTCCCCACCATGCCTGGCTAATTTTTTGTACTTTTAGTAGAGACGGGGTTTCACCATGTTGGCCAGGCTGGTCTTGAACTCCTGACCTCAAGTGATCCTCCTGCCTCAGCCTCCCAAAGTGCTGGGATTACAGGTGTGAGCCGCCACACCTGGCCTTTAGTGTTTTTTTGTTAAGAGACTGGGTCTCGGCTCTGTCACCCAGGCTGGAGCAAGTGCAGTGGTACAATCCTAGCTGACTGTAGCCTCAAATTCCTGGGCTCAAGTGATCCTCCCACCTCAGCCTCCCAAGTAGCTAGGACTACAAGCATGTGTCACCATGCCCGACTAATTTTTTAAAGTTTTTTTTTGTAGAGATGGGGTCTTGCTTTGTTGCCCAGGCTGGTCTCAAACTCCTGGCTCCAAATGATCCTTCTGCTTCAGCCTCCCAAAGTACTTGGATTACAGGCATGAGCCACTGCTCCCAGCCAACTCCTTTTTGGATTTTTACTCTTCCTTTGCCTCTTAAAAAAACTGCAAACCAGTATGTCTCCAAATGATTACCTAAAATTTTTATGTATGCTTTAAAGAATGAATAAAAAGCAACCTATGAACCTCCTAGTAAAGTCAAGAAATTGGACATTATCAATGCCTTAAAAGACCCCTGCGGCCGGGTGCAGTGACTCACGCCTGTAATCTCAGCACTTTGGGAGGCCGATGTGGGCAGATTGTCTGAGCTCAAGAGTTCGAGACCAGCCTGGGCAACATGGTGAAACCCCATCTCTGTTAAAAAACAGAAAAATTTAACCGGGCCTGGTGACACACGCCTGTAGTCCCAGCTATTAGGGAGGCTGAGGCAGGAGAATGGCTTGAACCTGGGAGGCGGAAGTTGCAGTGAGCCAAGATGGCGCCATTGCACTCCTGGGCGACAGAGCGTGACTCTGTCTCAAAAAAAAAAAATCAAAAAACAAAAAACAACTCTGCATGCCAACCACCCCCTAATTCTGATTATATCCCTGTCCCTCCAATCCAGAGGTAAATGTGATGCTCAGTTTGGGTTAATTATTCCCTTGCTTCTCTTTGTGGTTTTACCAACTACATATACATCCTTAAACATATTTAGCTTTGTCTATTCTTGAAGTTCAAATAAGAAGCATACTGCATGATTCTTCTTGTAATTGGCTGGTTTTACTCCACGATGTTTTTGAGATTCATCCATATTTATATGTACTACACAGTTGTAGTTCACTTGTTTTCATTGGTAAATAGTGTATTATTTTATGAATATATAATAACTTATTTTACTGTTGATTAACCTCGTGGGTCGTTTTCAGAGTGTTGCAAATTCAAATAATGCCCTATGAACATTCTTGTACATATTTTCCAGTGCTCATGTGTGTTTCTCTAGGATACATAACAAAGTAAAGAATTGCAGAGTCATAGAACTTTGCGGGTGTTCAACTCCACTAGATAATGCAAAGCTTTTTCCCAAGTGGTTGCACTGATTTACATTCCCATTGGCCTAGATGCGTTTCTATTGATTTGCTTCCTCACTAACTTGGTATTGCCCAAATTTTAATTTTTGTCAGTGTAATTACTAATAATGTTAAGCTTATTTTCTTCTTCTTTTTTTCTTTCTTTTTTTTTTTTTGAGACGGAGTTTCACTCTTGTTGCCCAGGCTGGAGTGCAATGGCACGATCTCGGCTCACCACAACCTCCGCCTCCCAGGTTCAAGTGATTCTCCTGCCTCAGCCTCCCGAGTAGCTGGGATTACAGGCATGTGCCACCACGCCCAGCTAATTTTGTATTTTTAGTAGAGATGGGGTTTCTCCATGTTGGTCAGGCTGGTCTCGGACTCCCAACCTCAGGTGATCCACCCACCTCAGCCTCCCAAAGTGCTGGGATTACAGGTGTGAGCCACCGCGCCCGGCAGTTGAGCTTATTTTCATATTTTCCTGCAGAATAGTCTTGTTCTTTCTCTTCAAGAGTGTGTCTTAGCTATTTTTTTGCCCTTTGGTCTTTCATATTCCAGAGAATATATTAAATATCCCAAGCAGGCATGGTGGTTCACACCTATAATCCCAGCACTTTGGGAGGCTGAGGTGGGAGGAGTGCACAAGGCGAGGAGTTTGAGACTAGCCTTTGCAACATAGCTAGACTCCATTTCTACAAAAAATTTTTAAAACAAACAGGGTGTGGTAGCATGCATCTGTAGTCCCAGCTACCTGGGAGGCAGAGGCAGGAGAATCGCTTGAGCTCAGGAGTATAGGTTGCAATGAGCTATGATTGTGCCACTGTACTGTGGCCTGGGTGACAGAGTAAAACTTTGTCTCTAAAAAACAGAAATATCCCTCTTTATCCTTGATAGTATTTTTTAGGCCTTTATTAGTTTTTTCATGTTACATCTTTTAGATTATTTTCTTTTTAATCTATCTGTGACTATATTTAAAGTCAATTCTTGTTTTTTCCTTTTCCTTTTTGTGGGTAACGGGGTCTCACTATGTTGCCCAGGCAGATCTCAAACTCCTGGGCTCAAGCTGTCCTCCCACCTCTGCCACCCTAAGTGTTGAGATTACAGGCATGAGCCACTGCACCCAGCCTTAAAGTGAATTGTTATAGGCAACAACACAGTGGGGTCTTTTATTTTATTTTTTATTTGTTTATGAGACAGACTCGCTCTGTTGCCTACGCTGGAGTGCAGTGGTGCAGTCTTGACTCACTGCAGCCTGGACTTCCCAGGCTCAAGCAATCCTCCCACCTCAGACTCCTGAGTAGCTGGGACTACAGGCACATGCCACCAAGCCTGGCTAAGTTTGTTAGTTTTTTATAGAGACAAGGTCTCACTATGTTGCCCAGTCTGATCTCGAACACCTAGCCACAAGCAATTCTCCTGCCTTGTCTTCCCAGAGTGCTGGGATTACAGGTGTGGACCACTGAACCCAGCAGGTCTTGCTTTTTTTTTGAGATGGAGGTGTGAGCCACCACATCCAGCCAGGTTTTCTCTTTTTTTTTTTTTTTGAGACGGAGTCTTGCTCTGTCGCCCAGGCTGGAGTGCAGTGGCACGATCTTGGCTCACTGCAAGCTCCGCCTCCTGGGTTCACACCATTCTCCTGCCTCAGCCTCGCGAGTAGCTGGGACTACAGGCACCCCGCCACCACACCTGGCTAATTTTTTGTATTTTTAGTAGAGACGGGGTTTCACCGTGTTAGCCAGGATGGTCTCGATCTCCTGACCTCATGATCCACCTGCCTTGGCCTCCCAAAGTGCTGGGATTACAGGCGTAAGCCACCACGCCTGGCCAGGTCTTGCTTTTTAAGAGTCTGACAATAACTGCTTTCTAATTGGAATGTTTAGAACGTTTAAATTTAATGCAATTATGAATATGGTTGGATTTAAACCTATTTTACCATTTGCTTTCTATTTATTTCATCACTTCTTTGTTTCTTTTTCTTTTCCTGACTTCCTAGGGTTTAGGGTTTTTTTTTTTTTCTTTTTTCTACCCCCTCCTTGAGTATTTTTTTTTGTACTCCATTTTATTTCTGTCAGCTTATTAGCTATTAATCCTTATTTTACCTTTTTACTACTTGCTCTAGAGTTTACCATATGCCTATTTAACATATCATAGTAATCTTCAAAAATATTATAACAGCTGGGTGCAGTGGCTCATGCCTGTAATCCCGGTAATTTGGGAGGCTGAGGCAGGCAGATCACTTGAGGTCAAGAGTTCCAGAGCAACCTGGGCAACATGGTGAAACCCCGTCTCTACTAAAAATACAAAAAAATTAGCTGGGTGTGGTGGCGCACACCTGTAATCCCAGCTGCTTGGGAGGCTGAGGCACGAGAATTGCTTGAACCCAGGAAGCAGACGCTGCAGAAAGCTGAGATCGTGCCACTGCACTCCAGCCTGGGTGACACAGTGAGACTCTGGGTCAAAAAAATATATAACACTTGACATAAAATGTATGAACCATACAATAGTATATTTCCATTTCTCCCCTCTCATCCTTTGTGCTATTGTCATACATTTTATTTCCATGTACTTTAATAAATCTTACAATATAATGTTATATCTTTGCTTTAAACAATTTAAGTACATTTTTACAACGGCAAAAGTCTTTCATATTTGCCCTCTTAGTTATCTTATCATTCCTGGTACTTTTCATTCCTTTGAGTAGAACCAAATTTCCATCTGCTATCATTTTCCTTTTAAATGATGTGCTTCCTTTCACTTTTTTTTTTTTTTTTTTTTTTTTTTTTGAGATGGAGTCTTGCTCTGTCTCCTAGGCTGGAGTTCAGCGCCACGATCTCGGCTGACTGCAACCTCTGCCTCCCGGGTTCAAGTGATTCTCCTGCCTCAACCTCCTGAGTAGCTAGGATTACAGGTGCCCACCACCATGCCAGGCTAATTTTTGTATTTTTAGTAGAGATAGAGTTTCACCATGTTGGCCAGGCTGGTCTTGAACTCCTGACCTCATGATCTGCCTGCCTCAGCCTCCCAAAGTGCTGGGATTACAGGGGTGAACCACTGTGCCTGGTCCCTTTCACATTTTTTGTAGTGCAGTTATGCTGGCAACTGACTTTATTTGGCATTTGTTTGTATGAA
The DNA here is from genome assembly GCF_000001405.40 of Homo sapiens. Classification (NCBI taxonomy): domain Eukaryota; kingdom Metazoa; phylum Chordata; class Mammalia; order Primates; family Hominidae; genus Homo; species Homo sapiens. The sequence continues at coordinate 420,519 of NW_003315917.2, forward strand.
TAAGTTTATATTTTACCTTCCTTCATAGTTCTTTTCCTTGATGGGCCTATTAAAATATTTTTTTTCTTTTGTAAGCCACTTCACCCCTTCCCTATGGGTTTGTTTTTATTTACCTCTACATGGCTGACTTTGGACAGAAACGTTAAAAGTTCTACTTGTTGTTTTCCTGAAGCTATGCTTCTATTTCTGGACTCATCGCCAAGTCACCTGAAGGCAATACAAATGAAGTATCTGGGCCACATGCAGTGGCTCACGCCTGTAATCCCAGCACTTTGGGAAACTGAGGTGGGAGGATACCTTGAGCCCAGAAAAAAAAAAAATTAGCCTGGCATGGTGGCACGTGCCTGTAGTCCCAGTTACTTGGGAGGCTGAGGTGGGAGGATCACTTGAGCCTGGGAGTTGGAGGCTACATTGATCCTTGGTCGTGTCACTACCCTCAAGCCTGGACAAAAGAGTGAGACCTTGTCTCAAAAAAAAAAAAAAAAAAAAAAAGTGTCCCTTTGCTTTACTCCTGCTCTCCAGTGATTCTACAGCATGGAATAGGCCACTGACTTACTCACATGTATAGTTCTCATCTGTCCATTTTAATAATTGCAACTAGAGCTCTTTTTGAACTTTCTCTCGTTCTTCAAGCATACATCAAACCTGAGTTTAGAGGGTATTTGCGTCCTAGTTTCACGAGATTGGCAAGTAGTTTTTAGAGAGTATGTTTGTGGCCATTCTTTTCTTTTGATACTGACGGAGGGTTTCTTTTTTAATTTTTTGTTTGTTTAAGACAGGGTCTTACTCTGTCACCCAGGCTGGAGTGCAGTGATGCAATCACGGCTCACTGTAGCCCCAACCTCCTGGCCTCAAGTGATCTTCTTGCCTCAGCACCCCCAAGTAGCTGGGACTATACATGCATGCCACCCTGCTAGCTAATTTTTAGAGGAGGTCTCTCTATGTTGCACAGGTTGGTCTGGTCTTGAACTTCTGGCCTCAAGTGAAACTCCTACTTTGGCTTCCCAAAGTGCTGGGATTACAGGCATGAGCCATTGCACCTGGCAATGGAGTGGTTTGTGGTTGGTTAGTTTTTTGTTTGTTTGTTTGTTTGTTTTTGAGACAGAGTTTCACTCCTGTTGCCCAGGCTAGAGTGCAATGGTGCGATCTCGGCTTACTTCAACTTCTGCCTCTTGGGTTCAAGCAATTCTCCTGCCTCAGCCTCCCAAGTCGCTGGGATTACAGGCGTCCGCCACAACGCCCGGCTAATTTTTGTATTTTTAGTAGAGGTGAGGTTTCACCATGTTGGTCAGGTTGGTCTCAAACTCCTGACCTCAAGTGATCCACCCGCCTCAGCCTCCCGAACTGCTGGGATTACAGGCGTGAGCCACCATGCCTGGCCTTGTTTGTTTTTTGTTTTGTTTTGAGACAGAGTCTCACTCCATTGCCCAGACTAGAGTGCAGTGGCACAATCTCAGCTCACTGCAACCTCCGCCTCCCAGGTTCAAGCGATTCTTGTGCCCCAGCCTCCTAAGTAGCTAGGACTACAGGTGTGCGCCACCACTGCCTGGTTAATTTTGGAATTTTCTTTTTAATAGAGACAGGGTTTTGCCATGTTGGCCAGGCTGGTCTCAAACTTCTGGCCTCAAGTGATCTGCCCGCCTCGGCCTCCCAAAGTGCTGGGATTTTGGGTGTGAACCACCGCACTCACAGAGTTTTTTTCTTTTTTTAATAAATTTTTATTTGAAATTATTTAGATTTGCAGAAAGTGCAAAGTAATACAAAGAGTTCCTATATATTGCCATACCCAATTTACCCTAATGCTAACATCTTACACTAGCATATTTGTCAAAATCATCAGTGTACCAATTCATATACTGTACATTACTATTTACTAAAATCCAGAGTTTATTTGGATTTCACCAGTTTTTCCACTATGTTGTTTTTTGTTCCAGAATTCATAAATAGAGGGGTTTTTTTTTCCTATTTTTGATTCTTTAAGTTCATTTTTGTTGGTTGCATGGAGGAGTGTCATATACGCACTCATTCCACCAAATTCCCTTGATATCCTTTACCATTACTTTATAAACCATTTACATTTCTCTTGCAGAGAGCCACAACCTAAGTGCCTTACCTGATGACACTGACAGAGAGAATCACTGGAAATGATAGTTTTATACTTAATTCTTGTCACTAAAACTCTAATAGTGTTTTTAAAAACCTAATACAAGGCCAGGCCTGGCGGCTCACACCTATCATCCCAGCACTTTGGGATGCCTAGGGAGGAGAATTGCTCAAGGCCAGAAGTTTGAAACCAGAACAGCCTGGGCAACATAGTGAGACCCTGTCTCTGAAAAAACAAAACAAACAACAACAGCAACAACAACAACAAAAATACCTAACACAAATACTTAAATGCATACAACTATTTTTATAACTTTTAACTTTTACACTTAGTTGTCCATTTCTCCAAAATATGAAGTCCTCTGCGGAAGTGACTCCAGACCTTCAGAGCCGTGGTGAACTTTGTGAATTACTGGTAATGAACACCGTCATCTTGTCTGTTTTACCAGCACATGATCATATAATTGAAAACTGTTTTGAACAGGAATGTCTCATCATAAATAAGTTAATAAATTCTACAAACATCTACTAAACATCTGTTATGTTCTAGGTACAGATTGGGGAAATCACAATAAACCAGTCGGGCACAATACCTAGCTTCATGAAATGTATAGTCAATCTCTTCTACTTCAAGGCCCAGACTCTCTTAGACTTTGTTGATTAGCATCCAGGCTAAATGGATCCTCTCTGGATCTTCATGTGGAGGGCAATAAGGCTGGATTTGCTACTTGGCCTTTTTAGGGGTTGAGAAGATGTTACTTTAACAAAAGCAAGTGCCCAACAAAATCATAAACCCAGGTAATAGGCTGACCACTTTAAGCTGAGAAATCCTACCTAGTTCTCTGGGATATAAGCCACTACTAATTTAATGCACACATATACCACCTTATTTTGAGGCTGTGTGTTAGGTATGTTATGTTTGTCATCCCCCCACCCCCAACACACACAAAAACCAACTTGCTATTCACGTGATTCATTTTCTATATGAATTGAAAAATGGCACTAAAGAAAAAAGTTTGGGGATATAGAAATAGCTTATTTTTTAAGGAAGAAACATAACCTTTCTAAGTACTGGATGTGTAATATTAAAAATGTAGTTAACCAAGGACAGAGGCTGCACCTAATGACTTTTGGAGGAACCTTCTTGCTCAAGACACTATGATTCTCGTTACCTGGATAGTATCACCCATGGATTGTATCATATATGAACCACTGAGGAACACACATTCCTGCAGATGTTTGCAGATTATTAATTGCTTTATATTTGGAGCACCCCTCCCTTCAATCAGCATAAATATTTGAGGGTGGGCTGTGTTTAGAAGATGTTTAGTCTCCAATGATTACAACATGATGCACCACTCTCCTATACAAATTTTGATTTAAGAAAAGATTTTATTTTTCAAAGGAAACCACAAGTGAAAGCAATCTTGAAGATTCAATAGCAGTTGGTCCTATAGTGCCAGGTAAGAACTTTGAAGTAGCACGTGGGATTATATGTATTTGTAAATATATTTGTATACAGGGCAGTTGCAAAAAAAAGAGTATTTATAATTGTCCAAAGAGCTTCCAAAGAGGAGCAGCATTGCAACAGTGTCGTGTATGAGCAAAAGTCAAGATTCTTGTGGCTTCTCCAGAGTGCAGGCAGGACCAAACTGATAGTAGGCAACGTGTCTCAGGTACAAGCAAACCAGTCCTTAGAAGCACCAATCAGTAAACTTCTTTCCTGAGATTTTTATTTTTATTCATTTTATTTTATTTTATTTTATTTGAGACAGGGTCTTACTTTGTCACCCAGGCTGGAATGCAATGGCAAGATCATGGCTCACTGCAGCGTCGACCTCCCAGGCTCAAGTGATCCTCCCATCTCAGCCTCCCCAGTAGCTGGGACCACAAGCATGTGCCACCACACCTGGCTAATTTTTGTATTTTTTGTAGAGACAGGGTTTTGCCATGTTGGCCAGGCTGGTCTTGAACTCCTAGGCTCAAGCAATTCGCCTGCCTCGGTCTCCCACAGTGCTGGGATTACAGGCATGAGTCACTTTGCCTGGCCTCTTTCCTGAGATGCATGGTGCTTATGATAAGCACACATTATGTCTAGGTCCCTGCTTCAAGTGTGGCACTTTGGACACATGCTTTCCACATTCCGATTTTGTGCCAAAACCTATGAGATGATCGCAATGTGGGAATCATGGATGGCTGTGGAAAATCCTAACACATTCGTAGTAGACAGGCAGAATCATGGAATGAAAAGGCATGGCGTTCAGACTGAGGGAGATGTGACTATGAATCCCTGTTGTGCCCCCCTTTCTTTCTCTCCACAGAAATGGCACAGGGTGAAGCCCAGTGGTTTCAAGAGGCAAAGAATCTGAATGAGCAGCTGAGAGCAGCTTATACCAGCGCCAGTTTCCGCCACATGTCTTTGCTTGATATCTCTTCCGATCTGGCCACGGACCACTTGCTGGGCTGTGATCTGTCTATTGCTTCAAAACACATCAGCAAACCTGTGCAAGAACCTCTGGTGCTGCCTGAGGTCTTTGGCAACTTGAACTCTGTCATGTGTGTGGAGGGTGAAGCTGGAAGTGGAAAGACGGTCCTCCTGAAGAAAATAGCTTTTCTGTGGGCATCTGGATGCTGTCCCCTGTTAAACAGGTTCCAGCTGGTTTTCTACCTCTCCCTTAGTTCCACCAGACCAGACGAGGGGCTGGCCAGTATCATCTGTGACCAGCTCCTAGAGAAAGAAGGATCTGTTACTGAAATGTGCATGAGGAACATTATCCAGCAGTTAAAGAATCAGGTCTTATTCCTTTTAGATGACTACAAAGAAATATGTTCAATCCCTCAAGTCATAGGAAAACTGATTCAAAAAAACCACTTATCCCGGACCTGCCTATTGATTGCTGTCCGTACAAACAGGGCCAGGGACATCCGCCGATACCTAGAGACCATTCTAGAGATCAAAGCATTTCCCTTTTATAATACTGTCTGTATATTACGGAAGCTCTTTTCACATAATATGACTCGTCTGCGAAAGTTTATGGTTTACTTTGGAAAGAACCAAAGTTTGCAGAAGATACAGAAAACTCCTCTCTTTGTGGCGGCGATCTGTGCTCATTGGTTTCAGTATCCTTTTGACCCATCCTTTGATGATGTGGCTGTTTTCAAGTCCTATATGGAACGCCTTTCCTTAAGGAACAAAGCGACAGCTGAAATTCTCAAAGCAACTGTGTCCTCCTGTGGTGAGCTGGCCTTGAAAGGGTTTTTTTCATGTTGCTTTGAGTTTAATGATGATGATCTCGCAGAAGCAGGGGTTGATGAAGATGAAGATCTAACCATGTGCTTGATGAGCAAATTTACAGCCCAGAGACTAAGACCATTCTACCGGTTTTTAAGTCCTGCCTTCCAAGAATTTCTTGCGGGGATGAGGCTGATTGAACTCCTGGATTCAGATAGGCAGGAACATCAAGATTTGGGACTGTATCATTTGAAACAAATCAACTCACCCATGATGACTGTAAGCGCCTACAACAATTTTTTGAACTATGTCTCCAGCCTCCCTTCAACAAAAGCAGGGCCCAAAATTGTGTCTCATTTGCTCCATTTAGTGGATAACAAAGAGTCATTGGAGAATATATCTGAAAATGATGACTACTTAAAGCACCAGCCAGAAATTTCACTGCAGATGCAGTTACTTAGGGGATTGTGGCAAATTTGTCCACAAGCTTACTTTTCAATGGTTTCAGAACATTTACTGGTTCTTGCCCTGAAAACTGCTTATCAAAGCAACACTGTTGCTGCGTGTTCTCCATTTGTTTTGCAATTCCTTCAAGGGAGAACACTGACTTTGGGTGCGCTTAACTTACAGTACTTTTTCGACCACCCAGAAAGCTTGTCATTGTTGAGGAGCATCCACTTCCCAATACGAGGAAATAAGACATCACCCAGAGCACATTTTTCAGTTCTGGAAACATGTTTTGACAAATCACAGGTGCCAACTATAGATCAGGACTATGCTTCTGCCTTTGAACCTATGAATGAATGGGAGCGAAATTTAGCTGAAAAAGAGGATAATGTAAAGAGCTATATGGATATGCAGCGCAGGGCATCACCAGACCTTAGTACTGGCTATTGGAAACTTTCTCCAAAGCAGTACAAGATTCCCTGTCTAGAAGTCGATGTGAATGATATTGATGTTGTAGGCCAGGATATGCTTGAGATTCTAATGACAGTTTTCTCAGCTTCACAGCGCATCGAACTCCATTTAAACCACAGCAGAGGCTTTATAGAAAGCATCCGCCCAGCTCTTGAGCTGTCTAAGGCCTCTGTCACCAAGTGCTCCATAAGCAAGTTGGAACTCAGCGCAGCCGAACAGGAACTGCTTCTCACCCTGCCTTCCCTGGAATCTCTTGAAGTCTCAGGGACAATCCAGTCACAAGGTATACCTGTATATATTTTGGATGACTATTCTGATGTATAATTTCTTTTTCTTACTTTAAGTGGTTGAAAACTTCTGAGGCCATGAAAGCATGCATGCTCATTGATAGAACAGATATAAAATAAACCTTCACTAATTTTTTTTGACAGTAGCATGAATTAGTGAAAAGTCCTTGAATAATAGAATGGTTTTCAAATAACTCAGACAAAATGAATAAAATATTTATATTAAATTATTGAAGGTTCTTAATAAAGACATGAATTATCTGTTATTAGTAAAAGAATTAGCTATATGTAAGATGATGCTTAGAAATTACCTTCACCCTAGCTGCCTAAAGGAAGAAAGGCCTGTAGTCCCTGGGAAATAAATAAATTAATGGGAAATAATATCTTCATCTATTTGTGTCTTAACTCCTCTAAGCACTATTTGATAGTTTTCAGTGTAGACTTAACCCATCTTTCATTAAATTTATTCCTAGATACTCATATCTTTTGAAAGTATTGTAAATGTCATTAAAAATATTTTTTCATTTTCTAATTGTTGCTAGTATTGCTTTGGTCTTAAGCAGTTTGACTGTTATATGCCTAGGTGTGCTTTGCTTTGTATGTATCTTGCTTGAGGTGCACTGAACTTTTTTGGAATGTGTGGGTTGACATTTACCAAATTTAGAAAATTTTTCATCTTTTTTCAAGTACTGTTTTATTATGGTAAAATACATGTAACAAAGCTTACATTTTAATCATTTTAAGTGTACAACTCAGTGGCATTAAGCATTCACTATGTTGTACAACCATCACCACTATCCATCTCCAGAACCTTTTCATCATCCCAATTAAACAATAAATTGGGCCGGGCGCGGGGGCTCACGCCTGTAATCCCAGCACTTTGGGAGGCCGAAGAGGGTGGATCGCCAGAGCTCAGGAGTTTGAGACCACCCTGGGCAACATGGTGAAACCACATCTCTACTAAAATACAAAAAATTAGCTGGGCGTGGTGGCATGCGCCTGTAGTCCCAGCTATTCGGGAGGCTGAGGCATGAGAATCACTTAAGCCTGGGAGGCAGAGGTTGCAGTGAGCCCAGATCATGCCACTGCACTCCAGCTTGGGCTACCGAGTGAGACTCCGTCTCAAAAAAAAAAAAAAAAAAAAAAAAAAAAAAAATCTTCCCTCCCACCAGCCCCTGATAACTTCTCTTCTATTTTCTGTCTCTATGAATTTGCCTCTTCTAGATATTGTTTATAAGCATTATCACTTGTCTGGCTTATTTCACTTTGCATACTGTTCAAGGTACATCATGTTGTAGCCTATATTGGAATTTCATTCCTTCACATGTACTCCATAAATATGTACAATTATTATGTATCAACTTTGAAAAGGAACTTCATCCTTTTTATAGCTAATATTCCATGGTATGTATATAGTACATTTTGTTTATCCATTCTGCTGCTGAGAGACACTTGGGTTGTTTCTACCTTCTGGCTATCATAAATAATGCTGCAATGAACACTGGCATTATAAGTATCGGTTTAAGTTCTTGCTTTTAATCATTTTGGGTATATACCTAGAAGCAGAATTGCTGATTCATATGGTAGTTCTATGTTTAACTTTTTGAGGAACTTGCACAGTAGCTGCACCATCTTACATTCCCACTATCCATGTACAAAGGTTCCAATTACTCCACATCCTCTTCAGCACTTGTTAATTTTTGTTTTTGTGGAGACAGAGTCTAATTCTGTCACCCAGGCTGGAGTGCAGTGGCGAGATCTTGGCTCACTGCAACCTCCACCTCTCGGGTTCAAGCAATTCTCCTGTCTCAGCCTCCTGAGTAGCTGGGACTACAGGTGTGCACCACCATACCTGGCTAACTTTTGTATTTTTAGTAGAGATGGGGTTTCGCCATGTTGCCCAAGCCGGTCTCGAACTCCTGAGCTCAGGCAGTCCAGCCACCTTGGCCTCCCGAAGTGCTAGGATTACAGGCATGAGCCACAGTGCCCGACCTGTTTTTGTTTTCATTGTTGTTTTTCAGACAGTGTCTTGCTCTATTGCCCAAGCTGGAGTGCTGTGGTGCAATCATGGCTCACTGCAGCCTCAACCTCTTGAGCTCAGGTGATCCTCCTGCCTCAGCCTCCTGAGTAGCTGAGACTACCAGCATGCACCACCGTGCCTGGATAATTTTTTATTTTTTGTAGAGACAGATTCTTGCTATGTTGCCTAGTCTGGTCTTTTTTCTTTTTCTTTCTTTTTTTTTTTTGAGATGGAGCCTCGCTCTGTCCCCCAGGCTGGAGTGCAGTGGCGCAATCTCGGCTCACTGCAAGCTCTGCCTCCTGGGTTCACGCCATTCTCTTGCCTCAGCCTCCCAAGTAGCTGGGATTACAAGCTCCCGCCACCACACCCAGCTAATTTTTGTATTTTTAGTAGAGATGGGGTTTCACCATGTTGGCCAGGCTGGTCTTGAACTCCTGACCTCAGGTGATCCACCCACCTCGGCCTCCCAAAGTGCTGGGATTACAGGCATGAGCCACCGTGCCTGGCCCCTAGTCTGGTCTTGAACTCCTGGGCTCAAATGATCCACCCACCTTGGCCTTCCAAAGTGCTGGGATTACAGGTATGAGCCACCTCACCCAGCCCATTTTGTTTTGTGATTATCATAAAGCCATTCTAGTAGTTGTGAAGTGGTATCTCATTGTGGTTTTGATTTGCATTTCTCTAATGCAAATCATGAAAATGATGTTAAGTATCTTTTCACTTTTTGAAAAAATATGTTTGCTCATTTAAAAATTGTTGTTGTTTTTGTTGCATTGTAAGAGTTATTTGTATATTCTGGATTTCAACCTGTTATCAGATACACAGTTTGAAAATATTTTTCCCATTCCATAGGTTGTCATTTTACTTTATTTATAATGTCCTTTGTGCACGAAAGTTTTAAATTTTGACGAAGTCCAATTTATCTGTTTTTTTCTTTTATTGCTGGTCCTTTTGGTGTCCTATCTAAGAATCCATTGCCAAATCCAAGGTCATGAAGATTAACTCCTATGTTTTTTCTAAGAGTTGTGTGATTTCAGCTTTTATATTTAGGTCGTTGATCCATTTTGAGTTGATTTTTTTTACATGGTGAGGGATAGGAATCCAACTTCATTCTTTCGCATGTGCAAATCCAGTTGTCCCCAACCGTTTGTTGAAGAGATGCTATATTTCTTTTCTCTTCTTTTTTTTTTTTTTTTTGAGACGGAGTCTCACACTGTAGCCTGGGCTGGAGTGCAATGGCGCGATCTTGGCTCACTGCAACCTCCGTCTCCCAGGTTTATGTGATTCTCCTGCCTCAGCCTCCTGAGTAGCTGGGATTACAGATGCACACCACCATACCCAGCTAATTTTTTTTTTTGTATTTTTAGTAGAGACGGGGTTTCACTATGTTGGCCAGACTGGTCTCAAACTCCTGACCTCGTGATCCGCCCGCCTCAGCCTCCCAAAGTGCTGGGATTACAGGCATGAGCCACTGCGCCTAGCCGAGATGCTGTATTTCTTTTTGTGAGTCTGAAGAGTAGCACAGGGCTTCCCATACAGTGCATAAGCTGCAAAAAGCAATATCTTCATATATGTATTCTTTAAAAAAAAAAAAGAATGTTTTATGGTATGTGGAAGGTTTGCATGTGAAAATAGCTGGATGAATCAAAATGACAGTTTTAAAATGTCCATTCAGAACTCTTTAGATTAATAATGGGAAACTGTGCTGCTTTCCAGACCAAATCTTTCCTAATCTGGATAAGTTCCTGTGCCTGAAAGAACTGTCTGTGGATCTGGAGGGCAATATAAATGTTTTTTCAGTCATTCCTGAAGAATTTCCAAACTTCCACCATATGGAGAAATTATTGATCCAAATTTCAGCTGAGTATGATCCTTCCAAACTAGGTAAGGATGGCACTTTAATATACTTGTTTTTACGTAAGTTGGAAAAGCTACTTGGCCAATAATTTATTTAAGAGTTAAAGTGCCTGTGGTTCTAAGGGTGTAGCCTGTATCCATGGTAAATTGTGAGGAATAGCACTCTTTCTCATTAAGAAAGCAGAGTGCTGTTTGTAATTATTGAGCCTTTACTACACACTAGGAAGTATCCTAAGCACTTCACAAATATGAACTCAGTCTTCATACCCACTCTATGAAGTACTATTATTATTATTATTATTTTTTTTTTTTTTTTTTTTTTGAGACAGTCTCGCGCTGTCGCCCAGGCTGGAGTGCAGTGGCACGATCTCGGCTCACTGCAAGCTCCTCCTCTCAGGTTCACCATTCTCCTGCCTCAGCCTCCCAAGTAGCTGGGACTACAGGTGCCTGCCACCACGCCCAGCTAATTTTTTGTATTTTTAGTAGAGACGGCGTTTCACCGTGTTAGCCAGGATGGTCTCGATCTCCTGACCTCATGATCTTCCCGCCTCGGCCTCCCAAAGTGCTGGGATTACAGGCATGAGCCACCGTGCCTGGCCAAAGTAAAGTACTATTATTAATGCTATTTTGTAGCTGGGAAAACTGAGACATAAAGAGATAAAGTAATTCGTAATATCCAGCTAAGGAAATGTATATCTGTGACTCAAATACAGGAATTTTGACTCCAAAATCTGAGTTCTTAATCCCTAATATAGGCCGGGCCTGGTGACTCACACCTGTAATCCCAGCACTTTGGGAGGCCGAGAAGGGCAGATCACCTGAGGTCAGGAGTTCGAGACCAGCCTGACCAACATGGTGAAACCCTGCCTCTACTAAAAATGCAAAAATTTGCTGGCATGGTGGCATATGCCTGTAATCCCAGCTACTTGAGAGGCTGAAGCAGGAGAATTACCTGAACCTGGGAGGCAGAGATTGCAATGTGAGCCGAGATCGCGCCATTGTACTCCAGCCTGGGGAACAAGAGTAAAACTCCATGGGGAACAAGAGCAAAACTCCATGGGGAACAAGAGCAAAACTCCATCTCAGAAAAAAAAAAAAAAAAAGAAAGAAATCCCTAATATAATGTTGCCACTCCAAAATAATTTGTAGGGTTATTTTATTTTGTTTTTGGTTAGGCTGGTCTTACATTGCAACTTACAGATCTGGCAGCTCAGCAGGAAGGAAATCTGCTAATCCGTAGTCATTGGAAGTATTTCCCTGTTTCTCACCAGCCTATCCTAATAGTTCATGGAAAATGGTGCAGCCATCTTTCTTAAATACATCATTTAGCTAAATGACTTAGGCACCATCATTCCTTAACTTAGTAAACACTGAACACTAAAGATTGAAGAAATATACAACTCTATGGAATTGACATAAAGACTTGCATGCAAAAGCTTCATTGTTGGCCAGGCACAGTGACTCACACCTGTAATCTTAGCACTTTGGGTGGCCGAGGCGGGAGGATCGCCTGAGAGCAGGAGTTCAGCACCAGGCTGGGCAATATAGCAAGACATCGTCTCTACTAAAAAAATAAAAAATTAGCCAAGTATGATGGTGTGCACCTATAGTCCCCAGCTACTCAGGAGGCTGGTAGGATCACTTGAGTCCAGAAGTTCAAGCTTGCAATAAGCTATGATCATGCCACTGCACTCCAGCCTAGGTGATAGAGCAAGACCCTGTCTCAAAAAAAAAAAAAAAAAAAATATATATATATATGTGTGTGTGTGTGTGTGTGCATACATATATACACCGAAGCTGGAGGTGGTAGTTATATTTGTCAGCAAATTTTGCAACAAATTTAGGTTTTGCTTCAGAGTTGTCATTCCTTTTATGTTTCTTTTTTTTTTTTGAGACAGAGTCTCAATCTGTCACCCAGGCTGGAGTGCAGTGGCACCGTTGTCAGCTCACTGCAACCTCCGTCTCCTGGGTTCAAGCAATTCTCCTGCCTCAGCCTCCCAAGTAGCTGGGATTACAGGCACCCATCACCATGCCCGGCTAATTTTTTAATATTTTTAGTAGAGACGGGGTTTCACCATGTTGGCCAGGCCAGTCTCAAACTCCTGACCTCAGGTGATCCGCCCACCTCAGCCTCCCAAAGTACTAGGATTACAGGCGTGAGCCACTATGCCCAGCTGTTTCTTTGTATAGTATTCTTTTTTTTTTTTTTTTTTTTTTTTTGGAGATGCAGTCTTGCTCTGTTGCCCAGGCTGGAGTTTGGTGGCGCAATATCCACTCACTGCAACCTCTGCCTCCTGGGTTCAAGCGATTCTCCTGCCTCGGCCTCCCGAGTAGCTGGGATTACAGCTGCCTGCCACCCACGCCTGGCAAATGTTTGTATTTTTAGTAGAGACAGGGTTTCACCATGTTGGCCAGGCTGGTCTCGAGCTCCTGAGCTCAGATGATCCACCTGCCTCGGCCTCCCAAAGTGCTGGGATTACAGGCATGAGCCACAGCACCTGGCCTCTTTGTATTCTTATTGTGTAAATGTCATGTACAAACTTAGAGTTATTAGGTGTTAAAGCTGAAGGTGATGCTACTGAGTCAATGCTTGTATTTTATAGAAGAGAAAACTGTTACCCAGAGAGGGTCAATAATGTGTCAAAATTCACATTACTTGCTAGTTGCAGAACCTGAACCCAAGCCCAGTGACCTGATTCTTAGATCATGAGATCGTGGTACCTGGTTTTAATTAAGTATTATTGAAACAAAATAATAAACTACTTGGCTAATTTTGATAGAAATTTGCAGTATTTTCTAATTTCTGAAAATCCTTGATCTTTTACAGTAAAATTAATTCAAAATTCTCCAAACCTTCATGTTTTCCATCTGAAGTGTAACTTCTTTTCGGATTTTGGGTCTCTCATGACTATGCTTGTTTCCTGTAAGAAACTCACAGAAATTAAGTTTTCGGATTCATTTTTTCAAGCCGTCCCATTTGGTAAGAGTTATAATATTACAATGGTGGTTTAAAATGTTTCTATGGACACAGAGTCATATTAAGCACTCTTTAAAAAGGGCCATATTTTGAGGCTGGGTGTGGTGGCTCATGCCTGTAATCCCAGCACTTTGGGAAGCTGAGGCAGGAGGCTTGCTTGAGGTCAGGGGTTTGAGACCAGTCTGGGCAACATAACAAGCCCTCCACCTCTAAAAAGCTTTAAAAAAATCAGTCGGGCACAGTGGTACCTATAGTCCCAGCTACTAGGGAAGCTAAGGCAGGAAGATTACTTGAGCCCAGAAGGTTGAAGCTGCAGCGAGCTGTGATGGTATCACTGCACTCCAGCCTGGGTGACACAGACCTTGTCTCTTTAAAAAAAGAAAGAAAGAAAAGAAAAATTGTTTCTCAAATAATAAAGTATAGGTGTTTCCAGAATTTTCTTTTTTACCTTTACGCTCAGTTGGATTTGAAATTTCTAGAATTTTAACAACATTTCTAGTTATCAGAATTATTTTCTGAGCAAAAATTTGTTTTATCTACTTAGTCATATGAATTCAATCTGAATTATTACATTAATTTCTAATTTCTTCATTTTAAAGATGTTACACTTTGCTGTGAGAGATGTAGCTGACATAACTAAATTTTTATTTTCCCTTTCATAGTTGCCAGTTTGCCAAATTTTATTTCTCTGAAGATATTAAATCTTGAAGGCCAGCAATTTCCTGATGAGGAAACATCAGAAAAATTTGGTATGTTTACAAAATAGTGCTTTTTACGTATTCTTATTCTCTTTCTGCCCAGAATCCTTTTTCTCCTATTCTGAATTAGCCACAAGGAAGCAAGATATGCATTAGCTACCCTTGCTTACCAGAACGAAGTGATAGTCATGCTCAACTTCTACCCACCAAATGCCTTCACTACAGTTTTACCTGCAGACTTGATCTCATTCAAAGCAGAATGACTTCTTAGAGTACATATTTGGTCATTATAGCACTATGCAATATAATTGTCAGGTATCTGTTCCAAATATAAGACCTCATAGTTTCAAAGGTTACTAGAATATAGGTAAAAATCTATCTTTTAAGGTTAGGAAAACTCAATACGTGAAAACGTGTATTTCATAAAATGATAGCTATAGAATTTAAATACTTTTTGATTTTTAAAAAACGATTATGAAAGTAATGTATGCTCATGGAAAACATTCTAACAGGAAAAAAAAAAAATAAAGGGAGGCAGTGGAGATAGGGACTGTAGAGCTGTGCTATTCAAAGTGCTTCTCAAACATAAGCGTACATAAAGATTGCCAGGATCCTCCTCTTCCCTTCCTTGGAGGCAGCTAGGTGGGTGGGGGCTGAGGTGGCAGAGGTAGGATCAGGGCCAAGGGGATGGCTGGCATACATCATAGGTTGATTAAGCAAATAATACAGTGAGTATAGCCAGATGCAGTGGCTCACACCTGTAATCCCAGCACTTTGGGAGGCCGAGGTGGGTGGATCACCTGAGGTCAGGAGTTCAAGACCAGCCTGGCCAACATGGTGAAACCCCATCTCTACTAAAAAATACAAAAATTTGCTGGGCGTGGTGGCACATGCCTGTAGTCCCAGCTACTTGGGAGGCTGAGGCAGGAGAATCTCTCGAACCTCGGAGGCAGAGATTGCAGTGAGCCAAGATCAGGTCACTGTACTCCAGCCTGGGTGGCAGAGCAAGACTCTGTCTCAAAAACAAACAAACGAACAAAACAGTGAGTATAATGAGAGCCACGTTTCCTCACAGTTGGAAAAGGAACTTACAAATATTGAAAGGTGAGGCTAGAAAGAGCTTTGAGGTGTTGGATTAGAATTGGAAATATTGGTCTGGCCTCATGGTTTTTTCTAACCTATGAACATACATAGAGATCTCCATATATATACATTGATCTCCACATGTCTATAGATACACACATACATATTTCTCAGCTCAATGGAGAGACTAGAAGGCACTGCAGTAATAATGAACACACCAAGTGCCTAGATACTGATTTCTAAATCCTGTCCTTCCGTAAAGGAACCAGGGTCCTTGCAAAATTGGCTGATTCAAGAACTGAGACAGGGAAAGAAAATGATAAGCCTGGGACATTGATTTATGCTAGAAATTATTCAATATATTTCCATGTGTGAGGCCTCAGAAGTTACCTTTCTAATGATCAAATGATCTATCGTGTGCCATGCTAGGAAGGAGTCGAAGTGAAAAGGAAGGTTCTAAGAGTGGTGGACTGTGAGGCTTTAGGGCCAGGAGGCCGGTGCAGAATCACTGAGCATGACAGCGGGAGGTGGAATGGGAAAGGAGGTGGCTGAAGGCATTGCAGAGCTGGGAAAGGAACCTGCAGGTCAGGAAAAGCTTCATTCTAAACGAGGAATGGAGATTTAATTGGCAGCCTGGACTTTAGTGCAGGAGAGATTGGTTGGTAGGGTGTGGTGGAGGAATTGTCTGGAGGAGCGAGGAAGACGGAAGCATGTGCTGGCCCTTCTCTTGCTTCCTGGACTGTGCATGATGTTTAGACCATACATGATTTTCAGATTACTGTTGCATAGGAACAAAAAGTACAAAGAGAATAGCTTTTTGGTCTTTTCTGACAGCCTACATTTTAGGTTCTCTTAGTAACCTGGAAGAATTGATCCTTCCTACTGGGGATGGAATTTATCGAGTGGCCAAACTGATCATCCAGCAGTGTCAGCAGCTTCATTGTCTCCGAGTCCTCTCATTTTTCAAGACTTTGAATGATGACAGCGTGGTGGAAATTGGTGAGCTAGTGTTTCAGCTTGCATGGAAGCCAGTGGTATAGCCAAGCTTTCTGCTGCAACATGTCTATGTAAACATTTGCCCCTCTAGAAATTTTCAACCCGCTTCCTCATTTTCACTATCATACTGTTCCTTCTAGTGTCCTTCTGTGGATTTAGGCGCATTCTGGTCAGATTTGGAAGTACAAAAAGGTCTCCCATTTGTGGATATACAAGCCCTCAAATCTGCGTTCTTGCCACCTGGTGTTTTAGACACCTGGCCACATACTCTCCTAAGTACTCCTTTTTAAAACTGAAGATGAATATACACACAGAAAAGTACAAAAATCATGTGTACTGCTCACTGAATTTTATTTTCTTATTTTCTTCTTTTTTTTTTTTTTGAGACAGAGTTTCGCTCGTGTTGCCCAGGCTGGAGTACAATGGCACGATCTCGGGTCACTGCAAACTCTGCCTCCTGGGTTCAAGCGATTCTCCTGCCTCAGCCTCCCAAGTAGCTAGGATTACAGGTGAACGCCACCACACCTGGCTAATTTTGTATTTTTAGTAAACACAGGGTTTCACCATGTTGGCCAGGCTAGTCTCGAACTCCTGACCTCAAGTGAGCCACAGTGCCTGGCCTGAGGAACTGAGATTTCTGTCGAGACCTGAAGGGAGAATGGCCCAGGCATAGTTGGTAGAGGAGGAATTGAGACATCATTTCAAACAGAGGTAATCACTTGTGTCATAGCCTGGAGTTAAAGAGAACCAGATATATTTGAAGAACTTGGGGGAAAAAAAGGAATGTCTGGAGCAAGAGGCAGGAGTGAGTTGTGAGAAGAAGACTGGAGAGGAAAGTAAAAGCCCAATTGGAGAGGCTTTGTCGGGTGTGTTACAAGGGCTGGATCTCATTTTCTTACTGCTCAGCACTGTTATTTTACGTTATTTAAAACAGCTGGGAGCGGTGGCTCAAGCTTGTAATCCCAGCACTTTGGGAGGCCGAGGCGGATGGATCACGAGGTCAGGAGATCGAGACCATCCTGGCTAACATGGTGAAACCCCGTCTCTACTAAAAATACAAAAAATTAGCCAGGCGTGATGGCGGGCACCTGTAGTCCCAGCTACTCGGGAGGCTGAGGCAGGAGAATGGTGTGAACCCGGGAGGTGGAGCTTGAAGTGAGCCAAGATCATGCCACTGCACTCCAGCCTGGGCAACAGAACGAGACTCCGTCTCAAAAAAAAAAACAAAAAACAAAAAACAATGACAACTTACAACGTTTTTCTTAAAGGCCTTGTTTCTTCCTCCTTATGAGGAAGAATTTAATAACATTAAATTTTGTGGTCTCTCTCATCCTCATTTACTATAAATTATTTGTGTTTTATTCTTCTCACTACATTAGGTCAAAGCCTTCCTTAGAACTTCAATCTCACACACAGATTTGAGCCAGTAACCCCTGTCGCTCTCCCTCCTGAGAGCAGGTGTTTTCTCTTCCCGGCGCCCAGCAGAGTATGCCTGGCCTATAGTGGGAACTCAGTAAATATTTGTTGACTGAATAAAGAAAACTTACTTTTCTGTAGCTTCTTCTGATGGACAGCTGAGAGGCCATTGTTTGCCTATAGTCAGTAATGCTTAAACTTTACCTGTAGGAGACAGCATTCAGACACATCACAGAACCGGCTAATCACACAATATGAAGTGGGAGTTATGCTGAAACAGGGGAAAGAAGGGAATGGATGTGAAAGACCTGAGTCTTTCTTCAAGTCCCTCCAGAAGTGTCTTTCATGTGGGGGAATGAGAAATATCTCTTGAATGTTACTGAAGATACCTATTCAGGACATAGCTGAAGACATTTTCTCAGTACCTCTGTTGTTTAACCTCAGTCAAGCTACAGCCATGGATTCTAGATTGAAACCAAACTTAACCTTTGCCCAAGTTAGAAAAAAAAAGAGGTTTAGCAATTAAAAACAAGGCTGGGCATGGTGGCTCATGCCTGTAATCCCAACACGTTGGGAGGCCAAGATAGAAGGACTGCTTGAGGCCAGGAGTTTGAGACAAGATTGGGCAACATAGCAAGACCTTGTCTCCATAAAAAATTGAAAAATTAGCCAAGCACGGTGGCTAGTCCTGAGTAGCTAGGACTCAGGAGGCTGAGGCGGGAGGATTGCTTGAGCCCAGAAATTCTAGGCTGCAGTGAGTTATAACTGAACCATTGCACTCCAGCCTAGGCAACCAAGTGACACCCTGTCTCAAAAAAAAAAATTTTTTTTTTTTTAAAAACCCCTAAACCAAACAACAAGAACTCTGCTTGGTACCCATTCCAAAGTCTAGTCAGCCTGTGTTCATTGAGAACACAGGGTGTGCCCGGCTTCCATTTCCTTCAGAGCCCTTAGTCTCAAAAACAGGAGGGTCCCTTCTGGGCAACAGAAATAGGGCATAGCAGTGGACAGTCGGATGACATGGCTTTAGGAATGTCACACCCCCTTCTCTATAAAAGGGGAAGACATAATTGCTACACTCTTTGAAGTCCCTTGTAATTTAGTCTGGATTTTTTTTTTTTTGTTTTCTCTTTTTGTTTTTTAGACGGAGTCTTGCTCTGTCACCCAGGCTGGAGTGCAGTGGTGGGATTTTGGCTCACTGCAACCTCTACCTCCCAGGTTCAAGCTGATTCTCCTGCCTCAGCCTCCCGAGTAGCTGGGATTACAGGCATGTACCACCATATCCGGCTGATTCTTGTATTTTTAGTAGAGATGGGGTTTCACCATGTTGGCCAGCCTGGTCTCGAACTCCTGACTTCAAGTGATCTACCCACCTCGGCCTCCCAAAATGCTGGGATTACAAGCGTGAGCCACTGTGACTTGCCAATTTAGTCTGGTTTGTAGGCATGATGTACCTTGGCATGTGACCTCCTGTGAGACCAAAAGAGAAGCTCATATTTGTCCAGGATGGTGAAACTCTCAGCACAATGGCGTCAGTGCTTTAGGCTTGGCTGTACTTCTTTGGTTTCTGCTTCTCCCTTAGATTTTTGCCAGGTGGTTCTTTATTAACCCATCAGCTCTTTGGGGTTTTTAAGGAGATATTTTCAAAATATTATATTAAGCTGGGCACAGTGACACGTGCTTGTAATCCCACCTACTTGGGAAGCTGAGGCAGGAGGATCACTTGAGTCCACGAGTTTGAGACCAGCCTGTGATGGCCAGGCGCGGTGGCTCACGCCTGTAATCCCAGCACTTTGGGAGGCCAAGGCGGGTGGATCACAAGGTCAGGAGATCGAGACCATCCTGGCTAACACAGTGAAACCCCGTCTCTACTAAAAATACAAAAAATTAGCTGGGCATGGTGGCGGGCGCCTGTAGTCCCAGCTACTCGGGAGGCTGAGGCAGGAGAATGGCATGAACCTGGGAGGCGGAGGTTGCAGTGAGCTGAGATCATGCCACTGCACTGCAGCCTGGGTAACAGAGCGAGACTCCATCTCAAAAAAAAAAAAAAAAAAAAAAAAAAAAGAAAGAAAGAAAAAGAGACCAGCCTGTGTTAACATAGCAAGACCCCATTTCAAAAAACAAAATTATATTGAGTACTTCCTACTAGCAGTAGTGGTGGGAGAGGAGGCTGGTTCAAATAACCTTGTCTACCATTATTGAAATGGAAGTCCTTATGATTCTATTTTCATGAATGTTTTGTTCTTGTAGCCAAAGTAGCAATCAGTGGAGGTTTCCAGAAACTTGAGAACCTAAAGCTTTCAATCAATCACAAGATTACAGAGGAAGGATACAGAAATTTCTTTCAAGCACTGGACAACATGCCAAACTTGCAGGAGTTGGACATCTCCAGGCATTTCACAGAGTGTATCAAAGCTCAGGCCACAACAGTCAAGTCTTTGAGTCAATGTGTGTTACGACTACCAAGGCTCATTAGACTGAACATGTTAAGTTGGCTCTTGGATGCAGATGATATTGCATTGCTTAATGTCATGAAAGAAAGACATCCTCAATCTAAGTACTTAACTATTCTCCAGAAATGGATACTGCCGTTCTCTCCAATCATTCAGAAATAAAAGATTCAGCTAAAAACTGCTGAATCAATAATTTGTCTTGGGGCATATTGAGGATGTAAAAAAAGTTGTTGATTAATGCTAAAAACCAAATTATCCAAAATTATTTTATTAAATATTGCATACAAAAGAAAATGTGTAAGGCTTGCTAAAAAACAAAACAAAACAAAACACAGTCCTGCATACTCACCACCAAGCTCAAGAAATAAATCATCACCAATACCTTTGAGGTCCCTGAGTAATCCACCCCAGCTAAAGGCAAACCCTTCAATCAAGTTTATACAGCAAACCCTCCATTGTCCATGGTCAACAGGGAAGGGGTTGGGGACAGGTCTGCCAATCTATCTAAAAGCCACAATATGGAAGAAGTATTCAATTTATATAATAAATGGCTAACTTAACGGTTGAATCACTTTCATACATGGATGAAACGGGTTTAACACAGGATCCACATGAATCTTCTGTGGGCCAAGAGATGTTCCTTAATCCTTGTAGAACCTGTTTTCTATATTGAACTAGCTTTGGTACAGTAGAGTTAACTTACTTTCCATTTATCCACTGCCAATATAAAGAGGAAACAGGGGTTAGGGAAAAATGACTTCATTCCAGAGGCTTCTCAGAGTTCAACATATGCTATAATTTAGAATTTTCTTATGAATCCACTCTACTTGGGTAGAAAATATTTTATCTCTAGTGATTGCATATTATTTCCATATCATAGTATTTCATAGTATTATATTTGATATGAGTGTCTATATCAATGTCAGTGTCCAGAATTTCGTTCCTACCAGTTAAGTAGTTTTCTGAACGGCCAGAAGACCATTCGAAATTCATGATACTACTATAAGTTGGTAAACAACCATACTTTTATCCTCATTTTTATTCTCACTAAGAAAAAAGTCAACTCCCCTCCCCTTGCCCAAGTATGAAATATAGGGACAGTATGTATGGTGTGGTCTCATTTGTTTAGAAAACCACTTATGACTGGGTGCGGTGGCTCACACCTGTAATCCCAGCACTTTGGGAGGCTGAGGCGGGCGAATCATTTGAGGTGAGGAATTCGAGACCAGCCTGGCCAGCATGGTGAAACCCCATCTCTACTAAAAATACAAAAATTAGCCAGGTGTGGTGGCACATGCCTGTAGTCCCAGCCACTAGGGCGGCTGAGACGCAAGACTTGCTTGAACCCGGGAGGCAGAGGTTGCAGTGAGCCAAGATGGCGCCACTGCATTCCAGCCTGGGCAACAGAGCAAGACCCTGTCTGTCTCAAAACAAAAAACAAAACCACTTATATTGCTAGCTACATTAAGAATTTCTGAATATGTTACTGAGCTTGCTTGTGGTAACCATTTATAATATCAGAAAGTATATGTACACCAAAACATGTTGAACATCCATGTTGTACAACTGAAATATAAATAATTTTGTCAATTATACCTAAATAAAACTGGAAAAAAA
This sequence comes from Homo sapiens, assembly GCF_000001405.40. Classification (NCBI taxonomy): domain Eukaryota; kingdom Metazoa; phylum Chordata; class Mammalia; order Primates; family Hominidae; genus Homo; species Homo sapiens. Next base: position 442,176 of record NW_003315917.2, read on the forward strand.
TTTCTGGAAGTTTATATCTAAAAATGTTAATAGTGCGTACCTCTAGGAAGTGGGCCTGGAAGCCATTCTTACTTTTCAGTCTCTCCCATTCTGTACTGTTTTTTGTTTTACTTTCGTGCCTGCATTATTTTTCTATTTAAAACAAAAATAAATCTAGTTTAGCACTAAAATATTAACTGGAGCTACCTCTGGAGGGCAAGAGTACTAGAAGGTGGGATGGATTGTCTTCTTGCTTGTCTGATTTTATATGTAATACCTTTGTAATTAGAAAGGTTGTTAAGCATTATATCAGAATCCAGTCAGGAGACAGAAACCACACAGAAATTTGAATGGGGAAAGTTTAATATACAGATGCTCGGCCTGACGCAGTGGCTCACGCCTGTAATTCCAGCACTTTGGGAGGCCGAGGTGGGCAGATCACTTGAGGTCAGGAGTTCGAGACCAGCCTGGCCAACATGGTGAAATCCTGTCTCTACTAAAAATACAAAAAAAAATTAAAAAAAAAAAAAAAAAGCCAGGCATGGTGGTGTGCACCTGTAGTCTCAGCTACTTGGGAGGCTGAGGCAGGAGAATTGCTTGAACCCAGGAGGCAGAGGTTGCAGTGAGCCAAGATCGTGCCACTGCACTCCAGCCTGGGTGACAGAGCAAGACTCCATTTCAAATAAATAAATAAATAAATAAAATAAGATGCTCCTCAACTTACAACAGGGTTATATCCTGAAAAACCCATTGTAAGTAGAAAATATTGTATGTCAGAAATGCATTTAATATACCTAAACTACCAAACATCATCGCTTAACCTGACCTACCTTAAACACGCTGAGAACACTTATATTAGCTTACAGTTGGGCAAAATCATAAACACAAAGCCTATTTTATAATAAAGTATTGAAAATCTCACGCAATTTATTGAATACTGTACAGAAAGTGAAAAATAGAGGTCGTATGAGTACTTGAGGAACAGTTTCTACTGAATGCGGATCACTTTTGCACCATTGCAAAGTAGAAAAATCCTAAGTCAAGTCATCATGAGTTGGGGACTGTCCGTAAGAGTTATTAACAGAGGATTGGAATGGGGATTGGGTAGTAAGGAATAAAGAGAAGCCTGGGCAGATGCAGGGAACAGCCGATATGGGCTTTTCACCCCAGGCTGAGACAGAACAACTCAAAGAAGAAAGCTCAGGGCTGAGATCCGGGCTGAGATCCAGACTTCGTGTGAGAGGACACAGCTGTGAAAGACAGAGGTTTGCTGAGGCTGTGGAGTTGCAGCTGGAGAAGGTGCTGGGCTTGGGGCACTTTGCAGAGAAGGGACCTTGTGCATGTCAAGGGAAGCCATTCATGTGGGGGTACTGTGCGCTGCTGACCATTGGGTGCTGCTGAAGTTAGGCACCGCCCAAGAAGTGTGCAGCCAGAACGAGGTGCTGCAGAGGCAGAGTGTATGTGCTACAGGAGCTGGTATTGCAGATGGCACAGGTGTTGCAGGTGTCTGCCTAGAGGAGCACAATGGAACCAGGAAAAGCAGCCCTTGCCCCTTCAGTGTGTCAGCAGCACCCTCGATTGACAAAGTTTCACTCTGTGCTTACTGTCATGGGAGAGGTATTTACAGGGCCCAGATCTATTATTACAGAACAGACAATGAAGACTGAATGTGGATATAAGAGGCAACAACTAGCATAACTCATTAAATCTAATAGTGCACACATAAACACAAAATAACCTAGTAATTTCTTAATATTGACTGACAGGATATATGCACGTGATGTATTTATAAATTCATGGAAAACTTATATAAAAAACAGGCAACCATAATTGAGTTTAGGGAGGAGAACAGGATGGCTGGTGGACAGAAAAGGGAGAGAGGGAAGTTTGCTTTTTTTCTCCTGCATACCCTTTTATACCAGTTGAGTTTTGTCCCATGTGTGCATACTATTAAAAAACCATAATACTTGACCAGGTGCAGTGGCTCACGCTGGTAATCCCAGCACTTTGGGAGGCCGAGGCGGGTGGATCACCTGAGGTTGGGAGTTCGAGACCAGCCTGACCAACATGGAGAAACCTTGTCTCTACTAAAAATACAAAATTAGCCACGCATGGTGGTGCCTTCCTGTAATCCCAGCTACTCGGGAGGCTGAGGCAGGAGAATTGCTTGAACCCAGGAGGCGGAGGTTGCAGTGAGCCAAGAACGCGCTATTGCACTCTAGCCTGGGCAACAAGAGCAAAATTCTGCCTCAAAAAAAAAAAAAAAAAAAAAAATCATAAGATTCCATGCAAATTATTTTTCCAGAGCTGCTTCTAACAGCGTTTAGTTCAAGCAGCGGTCAGTAAAGTATGGCCCTGGACTGTCCAGCCCTCAAGCTAAGAATGGTTTTCACATTTTTTAAAGCAACAGAGACTCAGTGGCCTACAAAGCTAAAATATTTACTGTGTTCTTTTACAGAAAACAAACTATTTCTATGACAAAATACTTTTGAATCATAAGCTCATCATGCCCTTTATTCTAGTTTACATCAGTCTTCATAGGACTCCCAAGTCATCCCTCATTGACCTAAAAACTGTCCTCATGGTTGTAAGCCCTCCCTCCCTTCCTCCATCCATCTCTCCCTCTCTCTTTTTCTCCTTCCCTCTCTCCCTTCCTTCCTTTTCTTTCATAAAGAAAAGAGGTTTAGTTGACTCACGGTTCTGCAGGCTTTACAGGAAGCATGGTGCTGGCATCTGCTCGGCTTTTAGGGAGGCCTCAGGAAACTAAAATCATGGCAGAAGGTGAGCACACATGTCACATGATGAAAGCAGAAACAAGTGAGAGACAGTGCGGGGGCAGGGGGCAGGTTTCATACACTTTTAAATGACCAGATCTCACGAGAACTCAGTAGCAACACAAAGGTAACACCAAGCCATGAGGGATCTGCCCCCATGATCCAAACACCTCCCACCATGCCCCATCTCCAACACTCGGGATAAAATTCAACATAAGTAGAGATAAATATCCAAACCACATCATTCCACCTCTGGCCCCTCCCAAATCTTATGTCCTTTTCACAATGCAAAATACAACCATGCCTTCCCAACAGTGCCGCAAAGTCTTAACTCATTCCAGCATTAACTCAGGAATCCAAAGTCTCATCTGAGACAAGGCAAATCCCTGCCACCTATGAGCCTATAAAATAAAAAACAAATTATTTACTTCCAACATACAATCAGGGTTCAGGGATTGGGGAAATATTCCCATTAGGGAAAAACCTGCCAAAAAAGGGGGCTATAGGCCCCATGCAAGTTCAAAACCCAGCATGGCAGTCATTAAATCATGAAACTCCACAATGATCTCCTTGGTTTCCATGTGGCACGCTGATATGAGGGTTGGGCTCCCAAGGCCTTGGGCAGCTCTGCTCCTATAGCTTTGCAGAGTTCAGCCTGCTGTCACAGGCTGGGTTGAGTGTCTGTGGCTTTTCCAAGTGCAGGGTACAAGCTGCCAGTGGCTCTACCATTCTGGAGAACAGTAGCCCTCTTCTCACAGCTCCACTAGGCAGTGCCCCAGTAGGGACTCTGCGTGGGGCCTTTAACCCCACATTTCCCCTCCACGCTGCCCTAGTAGAGGCTCTCTGTGAGGGCTCTGCTCCTGCAGCAGGGTTCTGCTTGGACACCCAGGCTTTTCCATACATCCTCTGAAATCCAGGCAGAGGCTACCAAGAATTCACCATTTTTGCATTCTGTGTGCCTGCAGGCTTACCACCTAATGGAAGCTGTGAAGGCTATGGCTTATGCCCTCCAAAGTAACAGCCCAAGCTGTACCTAGGCCCCTTTGAGCCCCTGCTGGAGTTGGAGCCATCTGGATGCAGGGAGCAGTGTTCTGAGGCTGCACAGGGCAACAGGGCCCTGGGCTCAGCCCAGGAAAATATTCAGTCTTCCTTGGCTTCAGGGCCTATGACAGGAGGGGCTGCCCCATAGGTCTCTGAAATGCCTTTGAGGCCTTTTCCCCATTGTCTTGGATATTACCACTTGGATCCCTTTCAGTTATGCAAATATCAGCAAGTGGTTGCTCCACAGCCTGCTTGAATTCCTTGGAGAAAATGGTTTTTTTTTTTACCACCTGGCTAGGCTGCAAAATTTCCCAACTTTTAGGCTCTGCTTCCTGTTTAAATGTAAGTTCCAAATTTAAGTCATTCATTTGCCCCCACATCTGAGCACAGGCTGTTAGTAGCAGAAGGCCACATCTTGAATGCTTTGCTGCTTAGAAATTTCTTCTGCCACATACGCTAGGTCATAGTTTTTAAGTTCAAACTTCCACAGATCCCTAGGACACAAGCAGAATGCAGCCAAGTTATTTGCTAAGGCATAACGTGTGACTTTTGCTCCAGTTCCCAATAAATTCGTTTCCTTTTGAGACCTTGTCAACCTGGACTTCACTGTCCCTATCACCATCAGCATTTTGGTCACAACCACTTATCTAGTCTCTAAGAAGTTCCAAACTTGCCGGGAGCAGTGGCTCACGCCTGTAAACCTAGCACTTTGGGAGGTCGAGGTGGGTGAATCACTTGAGGTCAGGAGTTCGAGACCAGCCTGGCCAACATGGTGAAACCCCATCCTTACTAAAAATACAAAAATATTAGCCAGGCATGGTGGTGCATGCCTGTAACCCCAGCTGCTTGGGAAGCTGAGGCAGAAAATCACTTGAACCCGGGAGGCAGAGGTTGCAGTGAGCCAAGATCACGCCACTGCACTCCAGCCTGGGCGACAGAGCAAGACTCCGTCTCAAAAAAAAAAAAAAAAAAAAAAAAGTTTGAAACTTACCCTCATTTTCCTGTCTTCTTCTGAGCCCTGTAAACTCTTCCAACCACTACTCATTACCCAGTTCCAAAGCTGTTTCCACATTTTCAGGTATCTTTATAGCAATGCCCAACTTCTCGGTACCAATTTTCTGTATTGGGGCATTCTTGCACTGCTATAAAGAAATACCTCAAACTGGGTAATTTACAAAGAGGTTTAATTGGCTCATGGTTCTGCAGGCTTTACAGGAAGCATGGTGCTGGCATCTGCTTGGCTTCTAGGGAGACCTCAGGAAGCTTACAGTCATGGTGGAAGGTGAAGGGGTAGCAGACACATCACATGGTAAAAGCAGGGGCAAGTGAGAGAGCTAAACTCCCGCTTTCTGATCACATATCCCAACCTGCTCCAACTCCCTAAATCCTTCCACTGTGTCTACATGGTAGAATCTCCTACATCCACAACTTCTTATGTCAACTTTCCTTCTATTTCTTGATCTAACTCCTCATTCTCAAGCTTTTTTTTTAACCATGACCCACAATAATAAATTTTACATCAAAACACCATACGCACATACATACACACACATATTATATGTGTATACACAACTGAAGTCCCACAAAAACAAACCTTACTAAAATAAAACTATATCAGATATGATTTTATTAATAGCCAAATAAACAAAAATTCAGAAATACAAAGTTCCGTGAAAGAGTTGTTTACATGCACTGTCAACTGTTCTCTCATTCTTATGTTCTCTCCCTCCAGGATTTTACCTCCTCCATTCCACCAACACAGCTCTTATGAGGGTCACCAATGAGCTCCACATTGCTAAATTGGTGAATACTTCTCAGTCCTCACTTTAGTTGACCCATTAGCAGCATGTGACCTATTGGCTTTCACATGGCCCATCACCCCTCTTCCTCAAAACACTGCCTTCATTTGGCTTCCAGGGCATCCCTCTTGATTTTCCTAACTCAATGAGAGCTCCTCCTTAGTCTCCTGCACTGTTTTTCCTCATATCCTATCTCTAACCACTGAGAGAACCCCAAAGTTCTCCTCTGACATCTTCTCTATTTGAATGCACTTCCTCAGCTATCTCCTCTAGTTCAACAGCTTTAAATTTACTAACTTCTACATTTCCATCTCTAGCCCAGACCTCTCCTCTGAACTATTTTTTTATTTTATAATATAGACGGGGTCTCACTTTGTTGCCCAGTCTGGTCTTGAACTCCTGGGCTCACATGATTCTCCTGCCTTGGCCTCCCAAAGTGCTGAGATTACAGGCATGAGGCATTGCACCTGGCCTGGACTCTTTATTCACATCCAACTTCTACTAATGGGCATCTCAATTTTCACATGTTCAAAACCCAATTTCTTTCCTGCCACAAAAGTACTCCTTATGCAGACCTCCATCTCATTAAATTCTAACTTTATTTTTCCAGTTGCATAAGCCAAAAATCTCGGAGTTACACTTGACACTCCTCTTTCATACACCACATGTAATCAATCTACTGAAAAATCCTGGTGGCTCCACTTGGAAAATATACTCAGATCCAACCACCACTACCCACACTGGCTCTAACTAGTCAGCCTGTTTCCTCCCTTCAAACCTATGGTGTATTTTCAACACAGCAATCAGAAGTCTCTTTCTGTAAGTCAGATCATGCTATACCTTGGGTTCAAAACCTTTCCATGGACTCCCAGCTTAAAAAAGTAAATGCTGAAGACCTTACTATCGCTGACATATGGCCTGGCCCTTGACTACCTCTCTTAGCTCCATCTCCTTAATCTCTCCTCCTTACTTCCACTCCAGCCACGATTAACTCCTTGTTGTTCCCCAAACATGTTAAATACACTTGTGTCTTAGGGCCTTTCTATTTGTTATCTCCCTTGCCTGGGATACTCTCCCTCTAGTTGTACCTAGAACAGTTGAATCATCGCATAATTGCTAAAAGGACAAGTGACCATGTGACAACGTTCTTTCATCTTTTATGCTTGTAACACCAGAATTTACTTGAAAAAGTTTGTAAGTGGACAAGTATGAAAGACAGATATGTACACAAAGTAACAGGAAGGTAAAGATGATGTGAAAAATGAAAACCAATCCACTGAAAGTCATTCTAATTGGTATTTATAAATGTAAAAACAAAAATGTTTTGCTGTTATGTAACAAAGAATATAGCCATCATCTATCACTTCAACAAAACTATGAGCCCTAAAGTTTTCAGAAGTATTGCAGTTTGGACAGGTGTGGTGGCTCATGCCTACCGTCCCCAGCACTTTGGAAGGCAGGAAGATCACTTGAGGCCAGGTGTTCAAGGCCAGCCTGGGCAACACAGTGAGACCCTATTTCTACAAAAAATAAAAATAAATTAAAAAACAAAAAGTATTGCATTTTGACAAAGTGAGTTCATGAAGAATACAAATAATAAGGTAGAACATAGTAGAGATGCATTTGAAATCCAAAATCCGTATTTAAAGGTAGGTATGTTCCAGATTCATGCATAATGACAGCTGCTTTCAAAGGATGTAATGCCTTTTAGGTATACATAAACATTCAAAACTGGGAAAATATGGGAAAAAATGTGGGTCTCCTATATTTGGATTCTCATTAAAATTGCTAACAAAGTTAATTTTCACCATCCCTTTATTCTTCTGTAAATTGTTTATAAAATGACTTGAAAAAGAATGCAGTCAATTCTCATTACTTGAGGTAGTTATGTTCTATGAAGTTGCCACAAACACGCAAATTAGTGAATACTGAGCCATTGCTCCTAACAGAAATACAGGGTTAGGTTCTTGTAAGCCTTTGGTCACATTTTCACCAACTTATAAATACGTAAGCTTGTTTTATATCTGTTTCTGTTTAAAGACACATTATTTAATAAATATAGACCTGGCATGGTGGCTCATATCTGTAATCCCAGCACTCTGGGATGCCAAGGTGGGTGGATCACTTGAGGTCAGGAGTTCAAGACTGGCCTACCCAACATGGTAAAACCCCACCTCTACTAAAAATACAAAAATTATGCTGGGTGCAGTGGCGGGTGCCTATAATCCCAGCTACTGAGAAGACTGAGGCAGGAGAATCGTTTGAACCCGGGAGGAGGAGGTTGCAGTGAGCCGAGATTATGCCATTGCACTCCAGCCTGGGTGACAGAGTGAGACTCCATCTCAAAAAATATAATAATAAATAGTGATGACTCATCATCATCTAACTCCCACTCAACAGCACTATAACTCATGACTAAACAAAGGTTATCTAACACATGTATTCTCTAAGGCACCTCACAGCCCGCATGCACCTTGGAATACCACTATATAGCACTTCAGCACAATGCTTGGGAATCACTTTAAACAGTAAAATCACAAACAGAAGGCACAAAAATGTGAAAAATGTAGAACTATATAAACTGCTTTCGAAAAGGACACTTGTTTATAGTAAGAAAGCTACACAAAAAACTGAGCACTGTTCAACCCCAGCTGGGAATATCTGGATAAGGTTCTCAAATTTTTCACCTCTGTGTATGTCCATGAAAAACCATGAAACTGCCATGAGTATTGATGTTAGGTTACAAATAAATTTTAGCAAGTAGGTGCCTTTACAAATACAGATTCTACAAATAAAGAGAATTGACTGTAAATAAAATTTTATAAGCAAAAACTCTGAAAATAAAAACAAATAGTTAAAATGGTAATGGGAAGACGATATAAACAACAGAAAATTAAAAGTTCTTAAACACATGAAAAGGTGCTGAACTTCACAATAAAATAAAAATGTACAAATATGAGATAATCATTTTTAACTATTCAATTGACAAAGATTCAAAGGTTTGATAAATTATTGGCTATTTTGCAGGAAACAAACTCTCCATGTTGGTATAAATATAGATTAATATAACCTCTACTGAAAACAATTTAGCAAACTTTTATTTAAAATTTAAATGTAGGTCGGGCACGGTGGCTCATGCCTGTAATCCCAGCACTTTGGGAGGCCAAGGCGAGCAGATCACAAGGTCAGGAGTTCAAGATCAGCCTGGCCAACATGGTGAAACCCCGTCTCTACTAAAAAAATACAAAAATTAGCCGGGCATGGTGGCGTGTGCCTGTAATCCTAGCTACTCAGGAGGCTGAGGCAGGAGCACTGCTTGAACCTGGGAGGCGGAGGTTGCGGTGAGCTGAGATCACGCCATTGCACTCCAGCCTGGGCAACAGAGCAAGACTCCGTATCAAAAAAAAAAAAAAACAATTTAAATGCAATAGCCTCTTCAACACAGTAGTTCTAATTCTAGATACTTAATCCTAAAGATGCTGACTGTACTATTAAATAACAAATGATTAGAAACAAATTAAACTCTCATCCACAAGAGCTCAATTCATTAAGCGTGGTACACATCTGTAAGAATATCCTGTAAGTGCTTAAAAGAATGAGAGCTTTTTTTTAAATTTTTAATTTTTGCATTTTTCTTATTTTATTTTATTATTATACTTTAAGTTTTAGGGTACATGTGCACAATGTGCAGGTTAGTTACATATGTATACATGTGCCATGCTGGTGTGCTGCACCCATTAACTCGTCATTTAGCATTAGATATATCTCCTAATGCTATCCCTCCCCATTCCCCCCACCCCACAACAGTCCCCAGAGTGTGATGTTCCCCTTCCTGTGTCCATGTGTTCTCATTGTTCAATTCCCACCTATGAGTGAGAACATGCGGTGTTTGGTTTTTTGTCCTTGCGATAGTTTACTGAGAATGATGATTTCCAATTTCATCCATGTCCCTACAAAGGACATGAACTCATCATTTCTTATGGTTGCACAGTATTCCATGGTGTATATGTGCCATATTTTCTTAATCCAGTCTATCATTGTTGGACATTTGGGTTCGTTCCAAGTCTTTGCTATTGTGAATAGTGCCGCAATAAACATACGTGTGCATGTGTCTTCATAGCAGCATGATTTATAGTCCTTTGGGTATATACCCAGTAATGGGATGGCTGGGTCAAATGGTATTTCTAGTTCTAGATCCCTGAGGAATCACCACACTGACTTCCACAATGGTTGAACCAGTTTACAGAACTCTCCACCCCACATCAACAGAATATACATTTTTTTCAGCACCACACCACACCTATTCCAAAATTGACCACATAGTTGGAAGTAAAGCTCTCCTCAGCAAACGTAAAAGAACAGAAATTATAACAAACTGTCTCTCAGACCACAGTGCAATCAAACTAGAACTCAGGAATAAGAAACTCACTCAAAACCACTCAACTACATGGAAACTGAACAACCTGCTCCTGAATGACTACTGGGTACATAACGAAATGAAGGCAGAAATAAAGATGTTCTTTGAAACCAACGAGAACAAAGACACAACATACCAGAATTTCTGGGACACATTCAAAGCAGTGTGTAGAGGGAAATTTATAGCACTAAATGCCCACAAGAGAAAGCAGGAAAGATCCAAAATTGACACCCTAACATCACAATTAAAAGAACTAGAAAAGCAAGAGCAAACACATTCAAAAGCTAGCAGAAGGCAAGAAATAACTAAAATCAGAGCAGAGCTGAAGGAAATAGAGACACAAAAAACCCTTCAAAAAATTAATCCAGGAGCTGGTTTTTGGAAAGGATCAACAAAATTGATAGACCGCTAGCAAGACTAATAAAGAAGAAAAGAGAGAAGAATCAAATAGACGCAATAAAAAATGATAAAGGGGATATCACCACCGATCCCACAGAAATACAAACTACCATCAGAGAATACTATAAACACTTCTACGCAAATAAACTAGAAAATCTAGAAGAAATGGATAAATTCCTCGACACATACACCCTCCCAAGACTAAACCAGGAAGAAGTTGAATCTCTAAATGGACCAATAACAGGCTCTGAAATTGTGGCAATAATCAATAGCTTACCAACCAAAAAGAGTCCACGACCAGATGGATTCACAGCCGAATTCTACCAGAGGTACAAGGAGGAACTGGTACCATTCCTTCTGAAATTATTCCAATCAATAGAAAAAGAGGGAATCCTCCCTAACTCATTTTATGAGGCCAGCATCATCCTGATACCAAAGCCAGGCAGAGACACAACCAAAAAAGAGAATTTTAGACTAATATCCTTGATGAACATTGATGCAAAAATCATCAATAAAATACTGGCAAACCGAATCCAGCAGCACATCAAAAAGCTTATCCAGCATGATCAAGTGGGCTTCATCCCTGGGATGCAAGGCTGGTTCAACATACGCAAATCAATAAATGTAATCCAGCATATAAACAGAACCAAAGACAAAAACCACATGATTATCTCAATAGATGCAGAAAAGGCCTTTGACAAAATTCAACAATCCTTCATGCTAAAAACTCTCAATAAATGAGGTATTGATGGGACGTATCTCAAAATAATAAGAGCTATCTATGACAAACCCACAGCCAATATCATACTGAATGGGCAAAAACTGGAAGCATTCCCTTTGAAAACACGCACAAGACAGGGATGCCCTCTCTCACCACTCCTATTCAACATAGTGTTGGAAGTTCTGGCCAGGGCAATTAGGCAGGAGAAAGAAATAACGGGTATTCAATTAGGAAAAGAGGAAGCCAAATTGTCCCTGTTTGCAGATTACATGATTGTATATCTAGAAAACCCCATTGTCTCAGCCCAAAATCTCCTTAAGCTGATAAGCAACTTCAGCAAAGTCTCAGGATACAAAATCAATGTACAAAAATCACAAGCATTCTTATACAGCAATAACAGACAAACAGAGAGCCAAATCATGAGTGAACTCCCATTCACAATTGCTTCAAAGAGAATAAAATACCTAGGAATCCAACTTACAAGGGATGTGAAGGACCTCTTCAAGGAGAACTACAAACCACTGCTCAATGAAATAAAAGAGGATACAAACAAATGGAAGAACATTCCATGCTCATGGGTAGGAAGAATCAATATCATGAAAATGGCCATACTGCCCAAGGTAATTTACAGATTCAATGCCATCCCCATCAAGCTACCAATGACTTTCTTCACAGAATTGGAAAAAACTACTTTAAAGTTCATATGGAACCAAAAAAAAGCCCGCATCGCCAAGTCAATCCTAAGCCAAAAGAACAAAGCTGGAGGCATCACGCTACCTGACTTCAAACTATACTACAAGGCTACAGTGACCAAAACAGCATGGTACTGGTACCAAAACAGAGATATAGACCAATGGAACAGAACAGAGCTCTCAGAAATAACGCCGCATATCTACAACTATCTGATCTTTGACAAACCTGAGAAAAACAAGCAATGGGGAAAGGATTCCCTATTTAATAAATGGTGCTGGGAAACTGGCTAGCCATATGTAGAAAGCTGAAACTGGATCCCTTCCTTACACCTTATACAAAAATTAATTCAAGATGGATTAAAGACTTAAATGTTAGACCTAAAACCATAAAAACCCTAGAAGAAAACCTAGGCATTACCATTCAGGACATAGGCATGGGCAAGGACTTCATGTCTAAAACACCAAAAGCAACGGCAACAAAAGCCAAAACTGGGATCTAATTAAACTAAAGAGCTTCTGCACAGCAAAAGAAACTACCATCAGAGTGAACAGGCAACCTACAAAATGGGAGAAAATTTTTGCAATCTACTCATCTGACAAAGGGCTAATATCCAGAATCTACAACGAACTCAAACAAATTTACAAGAAAAAAACAGACAACCCCATCAAAAAGTGGGCGAAGGACATGAACAGACACTTCTCAAAAGAAGACATTTATGCAGCTAAAAAACACATGAAAAAATGCTCACCATCACTGGCCATCAGAGAAATGCAAATCAAAACCACAATAAGATACCATCTCACACCAGTTAGAATGGCAATCATTAAAAAGTCAGGAAACAACGGGTGCTGGAGAGGATGTGGAGAAATAGGAAGAATGAGAGTTTTAAATACTGATATGGTGTGTTCTCCAAGATATATTGACAGAAAAGCACTTATCTATTGAAGAACATTATATGAATTACCTCTAAAGATAAAAAATTTTAAAAGTTCAAAAAGGGTAATGATGATATATCATGACAGAACTTAATTACTTTTTTTCTTTTTGAGACAGTCACTGAGTCACCCAGGCTGGAGTGTAGTGGCATGATCTTGGCTCACTGCAACCTCCGCCTCCTGGGTTCAAGTGATTCTCATGCTTCAGCCTCTCCAGTAGCTGGGATTACAGGCGCCCACCACCATGCCGAGCTAATTTTTTTTTTGTATTTTTAGTAGAGATGGGGTTTCACCATGTTGGGCCAGGCTGGTCTCGAACTACCGACCTCAGGTGATCCACCCACCTCAGCCTCTCAAAGTGCTAGGATTACAGGTATGAGCCACCATGCCTGGCCTTAATTACATGTTTTTTAAAAATTCACAATAAATGTATACACAAACATTTTAAAAAACACAAAAGGGTACACTGTGAAAAGTGTACAGAAGGGCTGGGCATGGTGATTCATGCCTGTAATCCTAGCACTTTGGGAGCCCGAGGTGGGAGAATGGCTTGAACCCAGGAACTCGAGACCAGCTTGGGCAACATAGATCATGTCACTACCAAAAAAAAAAAAAAAGTGTACAGAAGCAGAGTTGCTCTTGTTTTTTGTTTGTTGCTTTGGTTTGGTTTTTTTTTTTGAGACAGGGTCTCAGTCTGTTGCCCAGGCTGAAGTGCAATGGTGTGAACATGGCTCATTATACAGCCTCAACCTCCTGTACTCAAGTGATCCTTTTGCCTCAGCCTCTCCAGTAGCTGGGACTACAGGCATGCACCACCATGCCTTGCTAATTCTTTCATTTTTTGTAGAGTCAGGGGTTTTGCGTTGTTGCTTATGCTGGTCTTGAACTCCTGGGCTCAAGTGATCCGCCTGTCTCGTCCTCCCAAAATGCTGGGATTACAGGTGTAAGCCACCGTGCCTGGCCCAGAGTTGCTCTTAGTAACGTGTTTTTTTTTTTTTTTTTTTTTGAGACGGAGTCTCGCTTTTTAGCCCAGGCTTGAGTACAGCGGCACAATCTCGGCTCACCACAACCTCCACCTCCCGGGTTCAAGCAATTCTCCTGCCTCAGCCTCCCAAGTAGCTGGGACTACAGGGCGTGCCACCATGCCGGGCTAATTTTTGTATTTTTAGTAGAGACAGGGTTTTACTATGTTGGCCAGGCTGGTCTGGAACTCCTGATCTCAGGTGATCCACCCGCCTCGGCCTCCCAAAGTGCTGGGATTACAGGTGTGAGCTGCCGCGCCCAGCTGCTCTTAGTAACTTCTGGAATTTGATGTCTAAATTGAATCCATTATTTCAAACATCACAAGACTTAAGTTCATAAAAACTTTTTTAAAAAGTTAACTCTGGGTCAGGCGTAGTGGCTCAAGCTTGTAATCCCAGCACTTTGGGAGGCCGAGGCAGGTGGATTACCTGGGGTCAGGAGTTCCAGACCAGCCTGGCCAACGTGGCGAAACCACGTCTCTACTACTAAAAATACAAAAATTAGCCAGGCATAGTGGCACATGCCTGTAGTCCCAGCTGCTCGGGAGGCTGAGGCAGGAGAATTGCTTGAACCTGGGAGGCAGAGGTTGCAGTGAGCTGAAATTGCGCCACTGCACTCCAGCTTGGGTGAGAGTTAGACTGTATCAAAAACAAAAAGAAATTAACTGTGTAGTTTATTTCTGTTAATGGCAACCCTGCAGAAAAGTTAAACTTAGAATATGTCTCAAAGTAATCTCTGTCTGATCCCTTAATGAAGGATCTCTTCAAACACAGCAACTTTTGTCTGTCTTCTGAACGTAGGTACAGCTGTGGCTGTAGAACAGACCATGTAATTTTCATCTAGATTCCTTACAACCACAAGGACAATTATTACAATGAAAGCCAGAGAACTAGCTCAGTTTTGATTTTATTACTAGGATAAATCCAGCCAGGTAGTGTGGTGGCTTTGATGTTTTCTGTCTATATCTAAGGGGGAAGCTGCTTCATTATTCGATATTAAGATAAATAGGGCCTAAAAATAGTCCTAGGTCAAACACCATTATGATTAACTCAACTTTCAAAACCATTTACCTAATGTAGGATTTGTTAATAAGTCTTCTTCAAAATTAGCAAGAAATACAACTAATGCCTAACCCGTCATGATGAATTAAAGACTGATCCAAAAATAACTGACAGTTCTCTTCCAGTTGCCCTCTTCTTTGACAATCCCACCAGTCTATGCTCTAAGCTCACGCTTGACTTCCAAAAACTGCCAGATATTGTAGACACCATGAAGAATAAGATGTACTACCTTTTCTCTAATGAAAGAGGAAATACAGATATAAACAATATATAAACATAATATAATGTGAAAAGCTATGTATAGAAATAAATAGAGAGGCCGTGTGCGGTGGCTCACGGCTGTAATCCCAGCACTTTGGGAGGCCAGGGTGGTCGAATCACTTGAGGGCAGGAGTTTGAGACCAGCCTGGCCAACATGGTGAAACTCCATCTCTACTAAAAATACAAAACTTAGTGGGGCATGGTGCCACATGCCTGTAATCCCAACTACTCACGTGGGTGAGGCACGAGAACCGCTTGAACCCGGATAGCAGAGGTTGCAGTGAGCTGAGATTGCACCACTGCACTCCAGCGTGGGCAGCAGAGCGAGACTCTGTCTCAAAAACAAACAAAAATAAGAATATGTAAAGACATGAAAAATGTGACATTAAGTGGGAATACACATGCACATACACAAAATGCTATGGTGGCATCGATATCAAAATATGGGCCAAAGGGCAAAATAATATGCAAAAAAGAAATACAATCACAGATACAGCTAATTTAAAAAAAAATTAAATATTTTTATTATATACTTTTAAACATATAGAAGATAGAAAAAAACAGTACAATGAACAGCCATGTCCACCAGTTAGATTCTGTAACATTTTGCCACATACGCCTCACATACATTTTGTTAAACCATTTGAAACATTTTAAGACACTCTAACACTTCATTCCTAAATGCTTAAGTATGCAAATTAAGACAGTCTTTTATAAACTACAACACCCTTCTCACAGCTCATAAAATTACCAATAATTATCCAATATCATTCAAAATCTAATCCACATTCAAATTTTCTCAACTGCCTCACCACCGTGCTGGCCTCCCACCCCCACCCCAGTCTTTTACAGATGGTTTTTCAAAATAGAGTCCAGTAAAATATTTCACATTGCATTTGGTTATTACATAACTTTTAATCAAGAAGAGTTACCCATTCCACTTCCTTTTTTCTTTCCCAACACTTGATATTTTGAAGAAATGAGGCCAGTTATCTTCTATAACGC
Source organism: Homo sapiens (assembly GCF_000001405.40). Taxonomy (NCBI): domain Eukaryota; kingdom Metazoa; phylum Chordata; class Mammalia; order Primates; family Hominidae; genus Homo; species Homo sapiens. Next base: position 458,284 of record NW_003315917.2, read on the forward strand.
TTCACATTCCAGATCTGTCTGATCGTTTCTTTAGTGGTGTCATTTAGTGCTGCTCTATGCCAGCATTTCCTGCAAATGAGAAATTAGAACCAGAGGCTTGACGAATTCCAGTTAAACCATGTCCTCTGTGGACACCAGTTAAACTTGACTAGAGCACTTCATATGTCAGAGTGTACAGTGCAGTATGCCTAGGTTATCCCATATCACAATAAAAAAAAGTCTGCTGGTCTGCCTACTAGTGATATAAAATGGCATCATATCCTAAAGCTCTTTATTGTGAAAGTATGTTTCTTCCACATAACCAACCAGTTAAGTATGAGAATTCTAGTAGGGATGTAGATTAACCTTTTATCTAATAGTTTTGGCATCAAAATTCTTTAATATTGATTGTTTTACATTAACCTTTCAACTTTTTAACATCTGAACTTTTTAAATGTTCAAAAACATTTGTTTTCCACAAACCATAAAGTTTTACAAAAGTAAGATTCACTTTCATAATGCTGGCAGACTTACTCCTTAATTTAAGGAATGTGAGCACCTTCCTTCTTTTTGATTTTGTCTGAAACCCTGTAAGGAAAATAAAGGAAGTTAAAAAAAATAGCTATATAGACATAGATAGCTATATATAGATAGCTTTATATGGATGTTAAAAAGCATTTTGTTTCACAAGACATTTTACTTATTTTATTCAACAAAATATGATCAGAAATTAAGTTGATAGTCTTTTAATGTACTTTAAAAGTTATCCCAAAGAAAACAATTATTAGGCTGCAGTTAAGGTTTTCTTGCAGTGGCTCATGCCTACAATCCCACAACTTTGGGAGGCAGAGGTAGGGGGATCACTTGAGACCTGGAGCTTGACACCACCCTGGGCAACATAATGAGACCCTGTCTCTACAAAAAATTTAAAAATTAGGCCGGCGTGGTGGCTCAGGCTAGGCACAGTGGCTCACGCCTGTAATCCCAGCACTTTGGGAGGCCGAGACAGTTGGATCACCTGAGCTCAGGAGTTCGAGAACAGCCTGGCCAACATGGCAAAACCCCATTTCTACTGAAAGTACAAAAAATTAGCCAGGCATGGTGGTGGGGACCTCTAATCCCAGCTACTTGGGAGGCTGAGGCAGGAGAATCACTTGAACCCAGGAGGCGGAGGCTGCAGTGAGCTGAGATTTACACCACTGCACTCCAGCCTGGGTGACAGAGCAAGACTCTGTCTCAAAAAAAAATAAATAAATAAAAATAAAAATTAGCCAGGTGCAGTGGCATTATCACTGTAGTCCCAGCTACTCGGGAAACTGAGGTGAGAGGACTGCTTGAGCCCTGGAGGTCAAGGCTGCAGTGAGCTGTGAATGTGCCCTTGCACTCCAGCCTGAGCAATAGAGTGAGACCTGGTCTCTAAAAAATAAAATTTAAATTTAAAAAATTTAAAAACATTGCCGGTCACAGTGGCTCATGCCTGTAATGCCTTGCACTTTTGGAGGCCAAGGCGGGCGGATCACCTGAGGTCGGATTTGGAGAACAGCCTGACCAACATGGAGAAACCCCGACTCTACTAAAAATACAAGACTAGGCCGGGCACAGTGGCTCACGCCTATAATCCCAGCACTTGGGGAGGCTGAGGCGGGTGGATCAAAAGGTCAGGAGATCGAGACCATCCTGGCTAACACAGTGAAACCCCATCTCTACTAAAAACACAAAAAAATTAGCCGGGTGTGGTGGCGGGCACCTGTAGTCCCAGCTACTCGGGAGGCTGAGGCAAGAGAATGGTGTGAACCTGGGAGGCAGAGCTTGCAGTGAGCCAAGATCGCGCCGCTGCACTCCAGCTTGGGGGACAGAGCAAGACACCATCTCAAAAAAAAAAAACAAAAAACAAAACAAAACACAAAACTGGCTGGGCGTGGTGGCATATGGCTGTAATCACAGCTACTCGGGAAGCTGAGGCAGGAGAATCACTTGAACCCAGGAGGCGGAGGTTGCAGTGAGCCGAGATTGCACCATTGCACCCCAGCCTGGGCGACAGGGCAAAACTCCATCTTAAAAAATAAATAAACTAATTAATTTAAAAAAATATTTTTCTTCCTTTTTTTTTTGAGACGGAGTTTCGCTCTTGTTGCCCAGGCTGGAGTGCAATGGTGCAATCTTGGCTCACCGCAACCTCCGCCTTCTCAGTTCAAGCAACTCTCCTGCCTCAGCCTCCCAAGTAGCTGGGATTACAGGCATGCGCCACCATGCCCGGCTAGTTTTGTATTTTTAGTAGAGACAGGGTTTCTCCATGTTGGTCAGGCTGATCTGGAACTCCCGACTTCAGGTGATTCACCCGCCTTGGCCTCCCAAAGTGTTGGGATTACCGGCGTGAGCCACTGCGCCCAGCTGATTTTTCTTCTTTCAGTATGTCCAATGATGTTCCTGAGCCCGCTTATACCTTATTTTTTTTTTTTTGAGATGGAGTTTTGCTCTTATTGCCCAGGCTGGAGTGCAATGAGGTGATCTCGGCTCACCGCAACCTCCACCTCCCAGGTTCAAGCAATTCTCCTGCCTCAGCCTCCTGAGTAGCTGGGATTACAGGCATGCACCACCACGCCCGCCTAATTTTGTATTTTTTTTAGTAGAGACGGGGTTTCTCCATGTTGAGGCTAGTCTCTAACTCCCGACCTCAGGTGATCCGCCTGCCTCGGCCTCCCAAAGTGCTGGGATTACAGGTGTGAGCCACCGTGCCCGGCCTATACCTTATTTTCATCAAATAAAATATATGACCTTAAACTACCTGTGTCATACTTATTAAAATGAGACCATTAAACACCAGTATTCACTAAATAAAAAAAAAATTTAAAGTCAAAAATTAATACTAAAACATTTGTTTTTCTTGTCAGATCTAGCCCAAATGTCCTCTGTCTCTCTTCTGGCTTCAATGCTTTCTATCTTTCCCTACATGTATACTAGCTTGCAGTGGCTTCCCACTTCATTACTAATCTACACCTAACAGACCGTAAGATGTATTGAAAGATTTGTTACTAATGAGTATCAAAGTTATAACCTATTTTATGTTATTTCAACAACATTATTCTTAGTCATTTGCATTCTGCTTAGATTTCTAAGACAAAAAGATAGAGGTTAAAAGCTAGACTCAGAGCCTATCTCAACCACGTGGCTTCAGTAGAACAAAGGTTAAGAATTGTTAGCTTAAGGCAATGACGTATTAAAAACACTTAAGGCCAGGTGCAGTGGCTCACGCCTGTAATCCCAGCACTTTGGGAGGCCTAGGCAGGCAGATCACGAGGTCAGGAGATCGAGACCATCCTGGCTAACACGGTGAAACCCCATCTCTACTAAAAATACAAAAAATTAGCCGTGCATGGTGGCACACGCCTGTAGTCCCAGCTACTTGTCGGGCTGAGGCAGGAGAATGGTGTGAACCCGGGAGGCAGAGCTTGCAGTAAGCCAAGATCATGCCACTGCACTCCAGCTTAGGAGACAGAGCAAGACTGTCTCAAAAACAAAAACAAAACAAAAAAAACCCAAAAAACCAAAAAAACAAAAAGAACACAAACGAATGTTCATAGCAACATTATTCATTATAGCCCAAAAATAAAAACAACCTAAATGTCCATGAACTGATGAATGGATAAAATGTGATATAACCAAACAACAGAATATTCAGCAATAAGAAGGAATGCAGTACTGGTGCATTCTACAGCATGGATGAATCTTGAAAATAGCATGCTAAGTGAAAGAAGCCAGACACAAAAGACCACATATCGTATAATTCCGTTTATATATAATATCTAAAATAGACAAATTCATAGAGACAGAAAGTGTACTGACTGCCTAGGGCTGGGGAAAATGAAGGTAACAGGGTTTCTTTTTGGGGTGATGAAAATGTTCTTAAATTGTAGTGATGGTTGCATAACTGAAAACCAAAACCACTGACTTGTATACTTTCTTTTTTATTTTATTTTTTGAGACAGAGTCTCGCTCTGTCGCCCAGGCTGGAGTGCACTGGCACAATCTCGGCTCACTGCAAGCTCCACCTCCTGGGTTCACGCCACTCTCCTGCCTCAGCCTCCCGAGCAGCTGGGACAAAAGGTGCCCGCCAACATGCCCGGCTAATTTGTTTTTGTACTTTTAGTAGAGACGGGGTTTCACCATGTTAGCCAGGATGGTCTCGATCTCCTGACCTCGTGATCCACCTGCCTTGGCCTCCCAAAGTGCTGGGATTACAGGCGTGAGCCATTGTGCCCAGCCAACTTGTATACTTTCAAAGGTAAACTGCACACCATGTGAATTATTTCTCAAGAAAGTTATTTAGAACATAAATTATACCAATACTTTATATATACATTATGTATTTTTTTCAAATATTTCATAATTTAAAAAACACAAAAGCCTACAGTGTTACAGTCAGATAACTGATCTCAAAACAAATTACAAGCTGTTGATTTATTACTTTTTGGTCATTAAAATGAGGAATTCATGATACATACAATATACCAAGGTTATACTACAACAACTGAAGCGTGACTTTTTTTTCCCTCCGCAAATTCTCACTCTGTTGGCCAGGCTAGAGTGCAGCGGTGTGATCTCGGCTCACTGCAACCTCTGCCTCCCAGGTTCAAGTGATTCTCCTGCCTCAACCTCTCAAGTAGCTGGGATTACAACTGCCCGCCACTGGGCTAAGTTTTGTGTATTTAGTAGAAATGGAGTAGTCACCATGTTGGCCAGGCTGGTCCTGAACTCCTAACCTCAAGTGATCCACCTGCCTCTACCTCCCAAAGTACTGGGATTATAGGTGTGAGCCACCGTGCCAGGCCTTTTTCTTTTTTTGAGATGGAATCTCACTCTGTCACCAAGGGTGGAGTGCAGTGGCACAATCTCAACTCACTGCAACCTCTGCCTCCCAGATTAAAGCAATTTTCCTGCCACAGCCTCCCAAGTAGCTCGGATTACAGGCATGTGCCACCATGCCTGGCTAAATTTTTTTTGGTATTTTTAGTAGAGACAAGGTTTCATCATGTTGGCCAGGCTGGTCTCAAACTCCTGACCTCAAGTGATCTGCCTGCCTCGGCCTCACAAACTGTTGGGATTACAGTTGTAAGCCACCATGTCTGGCCTTAACTTTTAAATAAGAATATTAATGGGGGCACACACAGATGATACATTTAAAAACATACACCTTTAAGTCAGTTGTTTCTTCTATATTAATTTACTAAAAATACAAGTGCCTACAATATCACATCATAATTTTAGCAGGGCACAAGAGCTTACTTTTAAAAATAATTTTAGGCCGGGCGCGGTGGCTCACGCTTGTAATCCCAGCACTTTGGGAGGCCGAGGCGGGTGGATCACGAGGTCAGGAGATCGAGACCACGGTGAAACCCCGTCTCTACTAAAAATAAAAAAAAATTAGCCGGGCGTGGTGGCGGGCGCCTGTAGTCCCAGCTACTCGGAGAGGCTGAGGCAGGAGAATGGCGTGAACCCGGGAGGCGGAGCTTGCAGTGAGCCGAGACTGCGCCACTGTACTCCAGCCTGGGTGACAGAGCGAGACTCCGTCTCAAAAAAAAAAAAAAAATAAAATAAAATAAAATAATTTTAAATGTTCTGACTAAAATACAATAGAACATGTCCGTAGGAGACTAACGTATAAAGTGACAAGTTTGAAGCCATACTCCCCAAGGTTCAATGTGGTACACATTACCCCAGATCTTTGTGCATTAAAAAAATTTCATTTCTCTTGGAAGGCCGAGGCGGGTGGATCACGGGGTCAGGAGATTGAGACCATCCTGGCTAACACAGTGAAACCCTGTCTTTACAAAAAAATACAAAAAATTAGACAGGCGTGGTGGCAGGCACCTGTAGTCCCAGCTACCTCTGAGGCTGAGGCAGGAGAATGGCGTGAATCCAGGAGGCAGAGCTTGCTGTGAGCCAAGATCACGCCATTGCACTCCAGCCTGGGCAACAGAGCAAGACTCCGTCTCAAAAAAAAAAAAAAAAAAAAAGAATTTCATTTTTCATTTATGAAAAATTATCCCATCTTTTCCATTCCCTACAATCAATTTCAAATCAGAGATTAAAACATTATTTAGAAAAAGTATAATTTCAATTCAAAAGTGTATAATCAAAATAATCTAACAATAGCATGAAAGCTTTTTAAAATTAACTAAAATTATACTTAGGGACAATGCAAGAGTAATTTAAGCCTCAGACAGTTGTATTTTTTTATTTTTATTTTTTAGTAATATAAAGAGAGAAGCAAGTAGTATTTTATAAATTTACAAAACAAAGTCACATAACTACAAAAAAATTGTCAGGAAAAGATGCTGAGTGATTACTTACCATATAATAGCCAGTATGATAGCCACTCATGTACCATGAAATTAACATACTTCCCAAAGCATCAGCATCATCAAGAGAATCTGGACATATGGGAGGTGGTGGGGGAATTATCTGGAGACAGAAAAAGATATTGTTTATATCCAGTAAACAAAAAAGTAAAGTCTGGAGATTTATATTATATAGTGAATGCTGGAAATTAATTGTATTTTTGCTTATATAATCTCCTACTTAAATTTCTTTTTTTTCCCCTAAACAAAGACGAGGTCTTGCTATGTTGCCCAGACTGGTCTCAAACTCCTGAGCTCAAGTGATCCTCCTGCCTCAGCCTTCTAAAATGCCGGGATTACAGGCATGAGCCACTGTACCTGGCCTTAAATTTCTTAACATAGCTAGCATTTGGAGAAAACCAACCAATAACAACAAAAGACCAACAAAATTAAATTTAACGAGGACGAAAAGACAGCAAGTGACATAAAAAGTTTAAACATTTTGATTTAGACTATGTATCTGTTCCACTATGAAGCTATGAGTAAAAAAAAAAAATCAAGCATAAATACTTTCATGCTTTTCCTTAATACACACACACACACACACACACACACAGCTCACATAGCATTTCGAGGGCGATTTTAAGTAAATGTCTTGGGTAGAACACCTGTTCTAACCCCATCCCAATACACAGTATGCCAAAAAGTATCTTTTTATCTATTGTTAATACCTAAAAATCTACCATTAGAAATCCAGTTTACAGCTGGGTGCGGCAGCTCACGCCTGTAATCCCAGCGCTTTGGGAGGCCAAGGCGGGTGGATCACCTGAGGTCAGGAGTTCAAGATCAGTCTGGCCAACATGGTGAAACCCCATCTCTACTAATAAAACAAAAATTAGCCGGGTGTGGTGGCAGTCGCCTGTAATCCCAGCTACTTGGGAGGCCGAGGCAGAATTGCTTGAACCCAGGAGGCGGAGGTTGCTGTGAGCTGAGATCACACCACTGCACTCCAGCCTGGGGTACAAGGGCAAAACTCTGCCTCCAAAACAAAAAAAAAAAAAGAGAGAGAAAGAAAAAGAAATCCAGTTTACATCAGAAGCTAACATCCAACTATACCTAGAAGGGCAAACACTAATTCCTTATATAAGGTATAATTAAATCCCTTCTAACAGGAACTACCTCCTTATGGCATAGACACCAACTTCTGCCAGGAAAGAAGGCAACCTAGAGCTTAGACTTGGGACTACAAGAGCACTGCATCTGGGTAACAGAAAGGCATTAAAAACAAACAAAACCCAGAGGTTTAGTTCAAATTTCTACCCATTAGAATCTGGCCCAAGGGATGTTCTACAATGACATTTTACAATCCTCTATTCTGCTAATTATCAAATTGTATGTGAAAGCAAAATCTAACCTATACTCTTTTTTACTTACTGGTGGTCCAGAAGGAAATGGAGGCAGCCAGCATGATAGTAAGTGGGGTGGTGGTGGTGGCGGTGGCGGTGGTGGGCCATTGAATTTTAGACCTGGCTATAAGGAATATTTCAAAGGAAAATTAACTTACCAATTTCAATATGATAGGAATAAAAAGGACTCAAAACCAAAAGGATAAAAATAATTACCCAGAATATTTGTTTTATACATATCAAAAAGATTAAGTGAAATTTCATGTACCAAATCCTGAAGTCAAACAGACTCATAAGTCAAATGACAACCTCTGGATTTTTCTCATTTCCTTTCTATGTAGACATTAAGGAAGTAAAACAAAATAAGAGTGGTGATTACCTAATAAATCAGAGACAGTCTATTTAGCAAAATTATTTCAATCATAAAAGACTATATCCCAAATTTCATTAACTAAATTGTATATTTTTATGAAAGCCTGTTTAGCTATACATGCCAACTTAGAGGACATATTGTGAAAACTAGCAAATCTCTCCTTATAAAAATCAGCCCCCTGAGACCAATGAAGCATGATGTATATATCCTAAGAGGGTACATCATTTTAGATTCAAGAAACTGTAATATAATGTAAGCCTCAATAAGAACATTATCACAGAAAATCTTAAAACTTTTGGTGAGTCATGCTTGTTTTTTGAAAATGACTGCCTAGGCTAGGCGCCTGTAATCCTAGCACTTTGGAAGGCCAAGGTGGGGAGATCACTTGAGGTCAGGAGTTCAAGACCAGCCTGGCCAACATGGTGAAACCCCATCTCTACTAAAAATACAAAATAAGCCGGGTGTGGTGGCGGGTGCCTGTAATCTCAGCTACTTGGGAGGCTGAAGCAGGAGAATCACTTGAACCCAGGAGGTGGAAGTTGCAGTGAGCTGAAATGGTGCCACTGCACTCCAGCCTGAGCGACAGAGCAAGACTCCATCTCGAAAAAAAAAAAAAATTGCCTAAATACCATTCCCTCCATGGAAGAAATCACCGCTTTACACAAAAGAACTAGAAAGGGACAAGCCTTAAGGTTCCATGACATAATCTAACCTATAATAAAAATCTTTTTAGAGTTGATTTCTGTTACTTATAACCAAAAGGACCATAAATGAAAACAATATTTACATTTGAACTCTACAAAACAATCTGAGAGCGCCTCAGGATTTTATCTATATTAGATGTAAATAATGTGTTCTTATTTTACATATCTTATACAGGTGACATGGGAAACAACAGCATATCATCCAGCTAATGATAAATTATTATTACACTTTTTTTTGTTTTGTTTTGTTTTTTTGTTTGAGATGGAGTCTCATTCTGTCGCCCAGGTTGGAGTGCAGTGGCACGATCTTGACTCACTGCAAGCTCTGCCTCCGGGGTTCACACCATCCTCCTGCCTCAGCCTCCCGAGTAGCTGGGACTACAGGTGCCCACCATCACGCCCGGCAAATTTTTTTGTATTTTCAGTAGAGATGGGGTTTCACCGTGTTAGCCAGGATGGTCTCGATCTCCTGACCTTGTGATCCGCCCACCTTGGCCTCCCAAAGTGCTGGGATTACAGGCGTGAGCTACCGCGTCCGGCGCATTATTATACTTTCTAACTTAAGTAAGTGTGCTAATTATTAGTCTAATACCTAATACTCCACAAAAGTTAACTGGATAAATCTTTCATATAAAGTATTTTGTTGCATCCACTGCAGTGTCTAACATTTTTTTAAAAAATTAACTATTTTGCATCATTATCTTATTTCCTTTTCAAAAAATTCTTGTGTATTTAAGCTACAAAAGTTTCATGGGAGAGCTACAAATTAGTTAACAGAGAGGTTAAATGTCCCGACATTAACTATTTTCTGGAAAACTTTCATAGAAGGTTTACCTTTCCTGGTCCCAGTCTTGGCCCTGGCATGGGGGGTGGTGGAGGGAGAAAAGAGTTCCATGGAGCAGATTTGGGCTTGATGTTATCTGATTTATTTCCAGGAGACCTGGAGTTCTCACTTTCATCTGTTGAAACTTGGCTTTCATTTTCATTCTTTAAAAAGAAAAAATATGCAGGTTTTTGTTATAAGGGTGTGATTAAGAAAAAATTAATGCCTCGGTGGATCAAACTGACAACTGTGTATACTGTTTAACAGTTTCTCATCTAGTCTCTGCTTCCAGAAATTGAATTTTTTTTTTTTTGTATCCTTACCTCTTGAGCATTCTGTTCTATATTATTAGCTACTTCACAGATTGGGGAAAGTAGATCGGACAGATTTTGCTCCTCTCTATTTCCATATCCAGTGTAAACCACAACACAGGTTTCTCTCTTAAAATCAATTGAAGCAATGGTAGCTGGGTAAATGCAACCGTCTTCTGACCAAATGGCAGAACATTTGTCCCCAACTTTCCACTACAAAAGAAATCAAAGATATATACATGCACACATTTCTTTTGAAGAGGGCAAACTATCATCTCGTTTTGATCAGTGGGGAGGTGAAGGATAGAGGGTAGAGATTTGGAAGGCAAAATGATGTAATGAGAAAGGCTTGGGGTCTAAATACATAAATCTGAATTCCAACTCTCTTACATTTATAATCATGGACAAGTTTCTGAATCTCTTTGAGTCTTAGTTTCCCCATCTTATTAGATGGCTATAATATAAACTACCTCCCATATTTGTTGTGAATAGCGGGAGGGAGATAAAATGCGTATGGTGCCCAGCACTCTGGACTGGCCTAGAGCAAGTGCTCATCAACTGTTAGCTCTCTTCCCCCTTGGTAATGATGAAACTAAAGTTGGCTCAAAAGACACCAAAATATTCAGCTTTCAGGACTACTGCTTTTAACTAGCAGAAATAATCTACCTAGACTTCTGGGTTCCTTGGAATTAACAGTTTTAGAGTTTTTAAAGAAAAAGGGGAAAAAAAAATCTATCTCTCAGCTTAAGATGTAAAACACTGCCAATTCAGCTTACGGCTCTTGGGTACTCCTTCCAAACGGCACCTTCTCCCTGCCTTCCATTCACAAATGGAACACATGTCCTGATTTTAGCATTTATCATTCCCATCTAATTCTTTATACTTTCATGACTAATATGCATGTTCCTAAATAACAGAAAATTTAATAGTTGTTTTTGAAGTTGTATAAGTATATGTCAATAGAAACACTGTACTAATCACTTAAGTTAAAGACATTTTACACTATTAAATAAGGACTAATGAGACATCCTTTGAAGTTAAATCTCAACATTTTAAAATAACCTGTTGTAAGGAAGCTGCAGTATTCTTCTTTTGGCTTTTATTCTTCTTAGCAGGTTTTCTTTTAGGTGTGGTTTTTGGTTTACCCGAAGTTTCACAAATGTCACCATTCTTTAGAGCATGCTACGAAAATAGGAATAAAAATGTACATGTTACAGGGTGGTGCACAGAATAAAAGTCACGACATAACCCAGTTACTACTATAAGCTAGTCTCAAGGCTCCGTCACCTCAGAAAGCACCTATTTTCTCTTTTGACCACCCCCTGCACTATAAAAACTGCTCTTAAAGGCATCATACACCTGACATCAGCTCTAAAGACCCTTTTAATCAAATCTCCTTGCTCTCAACCTCTCTGTAACATTAGACCCTGTTAATTATCTTTCTTCCTGATATTCATGGCCCTTTGGATGTCATAGCAATGTAGGGCCCCAACGGTTTCATTACTTCTGATCAAGCCTTAGATTTAGGCATTCCCAATAAGAGCTGGCCATCCTTCTTTACTTGCTTACGGCCATTATTTTATTTATTTTATTTTTTTACACAGAGTCTCACTCTGTCACCGGGCTGGAGTGCAGTCACACTGATCTCAGCTCACTGCAACCTCCACCTCCCAGGTTCAAGCGATTCTCCTGTCTCAGCCTCCCGAGTAGCTGGGATTACAGGCGTGCACCACTGTGCACAGCTAATTTTTGTATTTTTAATAAAGACGGGGTTTCACCATGTGGGCCAGGCTGGTCTTGAACTCCTGACCTCGTGATTTGCTCGCCTCAGCCTCCCAAAGTACTGGGATTACAGGCGTGAGCCACCGCGCCCGGCCAAGGCCATCTATTCTTATTACTTTAGTTGCAACTGTCTGCAAACACACTTCTGAAGCTATTAATCCAGCTGTGACTTTTCTCAATCTAACATTTCCAATGATCAATTTCACATCTTAATTCATACCTCAAACTCAACCTCAACTTAATTCATATTCAACCTCAACTTAATTCAAATTCAATCTCAACTTAATTCATACTCAAACTCACTACTAAAACTATCGTTTTCCCAAATCAGTTCTTTTCCTCCTTTACTCAGATTACTTCTCCCTGCAATATCACCAACCCATCCCACATCGAGCCCCATTTCAATCTCTATTTTATAGAATTCTCTTGGTAATTCTTTAGTCGACTTCTAGTTTCAGTGTATACTGGAAAGCACATTTAAAAATCTAGGCCGGGTGCAGTGGTTCATGCTTGTAATCCCAGCACTTTGGAAGGTCAAGGCGGAGGGATCTTTTGAGCTCAGGAGTTCCAGGCCAGCGTGGGCAACAGGGTGAGACTGCATCTCTACAAAGAATACAAAAATGAGCTGGGTGTGGTGGCACACACCTGTGGTCCCAACTACTCAGGAAGCTGAGGTAGGAGGATTGTTTGAGCTCATGAGTTGAAGGCTCCAATGAGGCATGATCACGCCACTACACTCCAGCCTGGGTGACAGGGCAAGACCCCATCTCAAAAAAAAAAAAAAATCTAGAAATCAGTTACAAAGGTGACATAGAGGTCTGATCTTTAGCTCATGTTACAAGAGTAACTATGAGAAAGACATGAAATCTGTATGCTTGGTGCTCTTTATACACTGTATGAGTATATGCTCTGTTTGCTCAAGGTAGTCTGGACTATTGTTTGCTCAAGGTAGTCTGGACTATTGATGACCCATATTTAGTGCTCAGTAAGACTAAACATCTCAGAGAATGGAGAAGGTGATGATGTTGGCCAACTGTGTAAGTGTCCTGTTTGAGACACAGAACCATACTACATTTCCTAAAAGAACTGTATATTCCTACCCAATAGGAACACTTGAATTGATACCCAACTTACAGGATTTGGGATGATTAGAGTAATTTAATATATGAAACGCACACAGAGCACTGTCAGCATGCTACAAATATTAATTGCTGTACTAATGCTATTTATCTTCATCATTATTTTACTACATGCTTGTTAAATGTTTAAAATTATAATTCAGATTGTCTTTTTCTTATTAATCTCAATTAGAGGACTTCCATAGTTTGATACAATGTAAAAATACTAAAAGGAATACATTGTTTGTTCGTTTTCTGAGATGGAGTCTCACTCTATCGCCCAGGCTGGAGTGCAGTGGTGCAATCATTGCAACCTCTGCCCCCCAGGTTCAAGCAATTCTCCTGCCTCAGTGTCCCAAGCAGCTGGGATTACAGGCACGTGCCACCATGCTTGGCTAATTTTTGTATTTTTAGTAAAGACGGGGTTTCACCATGTTGGCCAGGCTGGTCTCAAACTCCTGACCTCAGGTGATCCACCCGCCTCAGCCTCTCAAAGTGCTGGGATTACAGGAGTGAGCCACCATACCCAGCCAGGAATAAATGTTTTAAATTTTATTTAAATTGCCTCCACAAAGGATGACATATATAGGCTATCAACTTCTAAAGGAGGATATCACCTGATTTAACTAACTCATACTACCATCTAATCTTCAAAATGAAAACTGAATAACATGTACTTTAACACTTTATCGTATGTTATCAATTCCTTTCCAAATGAATAACGAGAAAATAAGAAAACGACTAAGCAAGCATTTCATACCTTAAATGAAGCCACAGCTTTATCATATGCTTTTATCAGTGCTGTATCATCCCAAATGTCAGAATCATCGCTCTGGAAAGGGTAAGAAATAAAAACAACTCATGTTCAGATAGGTTTAATCAGAAAATGTATGTTAGTACCAAGAGTCATCTTAATCCACACATAACAAAATTACACTGAAAATGAGTATTTAAAATCCTAAATAAAGCCACAGGAAACTTACCTGGTTAGAGGTTATGTGACTTTACTCCAAAAGCTAGACATAGGTAAATGTTCTAAGAATGAATGCCATCAAGTGAATGCCCCTACAATTTAATTCCTATCCACATACCATGAGTAGATTTGTTCAAGGCCAGCTATATTTATTTCAATTAAGATCAGATAAAACTTGACTTCATCTAGACTACGGGAATGCTGTTCTGACCTCAGAACCTATGATCCAAAGAATATTTTTTCTTTTGAAATTATAATGTTTCCAGATTATAAGGATACAAATTGTTAATAGTGACTAACCAATTTTCATTTTATTATTATTATTATTTTTTTACTTCCATTTCCCTTTCCTGCTTTCCTGGTACCAATTTTCTTTCCTTCCTTTTCTTTTCCTTTCTTTCGTTTCTTTCTTCTCTCCCTCCCTCCTTCCTTTCTTCCTTCCTTCACTTCTCTTTCTCTCTTCTTTTTTTCTCCCCTCAAATTCCTGTGTTCAAACGACCCTCCCACCTCAGCCCACTGAGTAGTTGGGAATATAGGTGCATGCCACCATGCCTGGCTAGTTTTTAAAATTTTTTGTAGGGACGGGGTCTCGCCATCTTAGCCAAGCTGGTCTTGAACTCCTAGGCTCAAGTGATCCTCCAGCCTCGCTCGGCCTCCCAAGTGTGGGAATTACAGGCATGAGCCACTGCACCTGGAAATATTTTTGTCCAGACATGGTGGCTCATGCCTGTAATCCCAGCTACTTGGGAAGCTGAGGCAGGAGAATTACATGAGCCCAGTTGTTGGAGGCTGCAGTAAGCTATGATCATCCCATTGCCCTCTAGCCTGGGTGACAGAGGAAGACCCTGTCTAACAACAACAACAACAATAACAAAATAATAATAATAATAAATAATTTTTTAGCACTATCTGCTAGCACTGTGCAAGTCACTGAGAGATATATAGAAACATGGTACTCTCCAGTTATTATCTAACTAGGGATTTAAGACTATCACACAAGACAAAACAAAAAACAATATAAAACAAATCTTAACAAACATCAAAATGTGAAATACAAACAGTATTTTAATTAAAAAGGAAAGAAATTAATGTCTACTGCAAGATCATATGGAGGAAACCGGCCTAAGAAATAAAAACCACTCACGCCTGTAATCCCAGCACTTTGGGTGGCCGAGGTGGGTGGATCACGAGGTCAGGAGTTCGAGACCAGCCTGGCCAACATGGTGAAACCCTGTCTCTACTAAAAATACAAAAATTAGCCGGACATAGTAGCACATGCCTGTAATCCCAGCTACTTGGGAGGCTGAGGCAGGAGAATCACTTGAACCTGGGAGGCAGAGGTGGCAGTGAGCCAAGATCGCGCCACTGCACTACAGCCTGAGAGACATAGCGAGACTCTGTCTCAAAAAACAAACAAAACAAAACAAAACAAAATAAAACAAAACAAAACAACAGGATTTAGGCCGGGCATGGTGGCTTGTAATCCCAGCATTTTGGGAGGCCAAGGCAGGTGAATTGCTTGAGTCCAGGACTTCCAGACCAGCCTAGGCAACAGGGTAAGAACCTTGTGTCTACTAAAAATACAAAAATTCTGGCCGGGCGTGGTGGCTCATGCCTGTAATTCCAGCACTTTGGGAGGCAGAAGCAGGCAGATCACGAGGTCAGGAGTTCGAGACCAGCATGGCCAACAAGGTGAAACCCCATCTCTACTAAAACTACAAAACTTAGCTGGCGTGGTGGCAGTCACCTGTAATCCCAGCTGCTTGGGAGGCTGAGGCAGGAGAATCACTTGAACCCGGGCGGCAGAGATTGCAGTGAGCTGAGATTGTGCCACTGCACTCCAGCCTGGGTGACACAGTGAGACTCTGTCTCAAAAACAAACAAACAAAAAAACCAAATTTAGCTGGGCATGGTGGCACATGCCTATAGTCCCAGCTACCTGCAGGGGCTGAGGCGAGAGGATCACCTGGGCCCAGGAAGTTGAGGATGCAGTGAGTGGAGATGGCGCCGCTGCACTCCAGCCTGGGTAACAAATTGAGACCTTGTCTGGGAAAAAAAAACAAAAAAAAACAAAAAAAACCCCCCCAAAAAAAAAAAAACCCAACAGGATGTGCATAGGTAGACAAAATAGAACGCATTCCAAGTAAGAGCATGAACAACAACAAAAAAGGCATGGAAGCAAAAATAACACTAACTATAAGAATTTATTTATGTAAGGTAACTAAGTAGTCAAATTTATAGAATTAGAAAGAATGGGCCAGGCGCAGTGGCTCACGCCTGTAATCCCAGCACTTTGGGAGGCCGAGGTGGGCAGATCACCTGAGGTCAGGAGTTCGAGACCAGCCTCAACATGGAGAAACCCCTTCTCTACTAAAAATACAAAATTAGCCGGGCGTGGTGGTGCATGACTGTAATCCCAGCTACTCGGGAGGCTGAGGTAGAATTGCTTGAACCTGGGAGGCGGAGGTTGTGGTGAGTCGAGATTGCACCATTGCACTCCAGCCTGGGCAACAAGAGTAAAACTCCATCTCAAAAAAAAAAAAAAAAAAAAAAGAATGATGATTACCAAGGGCTAAGTGTAAGGAGAAATGGGAATTTGCTAATGGGTAGAGTTTCAGGTTGCAAGACGAAAAACTTCCGAAGATCTATTGCGCAACAACATGAACATACTTAATATTACTGAACTATATACTTAAAAATGGTTAAAATGACAAATTTTTTTACTTCAATAAAAAATAAAACACACTGTATGAGGGATTAGTGAGACAAGTCCAAATAGAATCCAATTTATACTATAGGGTAGAGTTGGATTTGGTATACTAGAGAGTATTTTGGATTTGGTATAGTATTAGTCAATGAATTCCAAAAAAGTTTGTTATAAAATTCACTGAGTTGTAATATTACTTTTTGTCATTTTCCTGTTTTTTTTTTGTTTTGTTTTGTTTTCTCTTGAGACAAGAGTCTCGCTATGCCACCCAGGCTGGAGTGCAGTGGCATGATCTCGGCTCACTGCAACCTCTGCCGCCCAGGTTCAAGTGATTCTCCTGCCTCAGTCTCTCAAATAGCTGGGATTATAGGCGCCCACCATCAAGCTGGGCTAATTTTTGTATTTTTAGTAGACATGGGCTTTCATCATCTTGGCAAAACTGGTCTCGAACTCCTGACCTCAAGTGATCCTCCCACCTCAGCCTCCCAAAGTGCTGGGATTACAGGCATGAGCCACCGCACCCAGGCTTGTCATTTTCCTGTTAATCTCCGTTATATAGAGACAAATGTATTCCAATATAAAATGTCAATCTTGCTGTATGATAAAAAGTACTTAATAATCCCAGCCTGGGCAACATGGCAAAACCCCATCTCTACAAAAAGTACAAAAATTAGCTGGGCGTGGTGGTTCACATCTGTAGTCCCAGCTACCCAGAAGGCTAAGGTGGGAGGGCCGCTTGAACCAGGGAAGAGGAGATTGCAGTGAGTGGAGATCAGAGATCGTGCCACTGCACTCCAGCCAGGGTGACAGTGAGACCCTGTCTCAAAAAAAAAAAGTACTTAAGATCATTAAGTCACTTTGCAGATAAGAAAAGTAATCACAAAGAGGTTAACTGACTTAAGGTTACATTCGCACTTGGAAGGGAAGATATTCCTTGGAGATTTGGTAAAAGGAATAAAAACAGGCTGGGTCCAGTGGCTCACACCTATAATCTCTGTCTCGAAAGAAAAAAAGGGGGGTAGGGGGGAGGCTGGGCACGGCAGCTCATTCCTGTAATCCCAGCACTTTGGGATGCAGAGGTGGGTGGGGTGGGTGGATCACTTGACATCAGGAGTTTGAGACCAGCCTGCCAATGTGGCAAAACCCCGTCTCTATTAAAAATACAAAACTTAGCCGGGCATGGTGGTGCACACCTGTAGTCCCAGATACTTGGGAGGCTGAGGCAGGAGAATTGCTGGAACCCGGGAGGCAGAGGTTGCAATGAGCCAAGATCACTGCACTCCAGCCTGAGTGACAGAGTGAGACTCCATCTCAAAAAAAAAGGAAGCAAACAGTAGAAAATGAAGGGTGGTCCTGAAGAAATAAAGAAATCACAAAATCAAGGCCAGTGATATCAATAGAAGAGTGCAGTCTTAAAGCAAGATACACAGACAGATGGCAGCTCAAACTCCTCATATCTCAACTGTTATTGCCAGACCAGGAAACAAGTAATTTCAAAACGAACAGAAAACAAAGCGACAGAAGAAAAGGTAATACTGATTACAAGGTACCCAAGGACAAATACATCTGACTGAAAATCTAAGGAGCACCAAAGCAAAGCCATGAAAAAGAACCAAAGGAACAAAAATAAATAAGAAGCAAAATGGTTGATACATTGGCAAACAGTATTTATTTAACGTATGTATAAATGGGGTCCCTGAAGAATAAAAACAAAACAAAACAAACAATCTTCCTGGTGGTCTAGTGATTAGGAATTTAAAAAAAAGAAAAATTCCTAGGGATGGGAGGAAGAACCCCCTCCCATCCTCAGAGAGCCTCTAAGCAAAAAGACTAAGTTACAAAATAAAGAAAATCAGTTATCATTAGACTTTCTCATAGAAATTTATGGGGAAAAAGTATGAGCCAAGAATTTTATATGCAGCCTAGCTGTCCTTGAAGTAGCAAGACTAAGAAAAGTCTAAAATGTAGAAGAATACCGTACTCACTAGCCTTTCCAGGGTAATCTATTGAAAATACGCTTCATCCAACCAAGATATGACCAGGGAAACTTGGGTTTTAAAAATAACAGAACTGGCCAGGCATGGTGGTTCACGCCTGTAATCCCAACACTTTGGGAGGCCGAGGTGGGTGGATCACCTGAGGTCAGGAGTTCAAGACCAGCCTGATCAACATGGTGAAACCCCGTCTCTACTAAAAATACAAAATTAGCCGGGCGTGGTGGCGCATGCCTGTAATCCCAGCTACTCGGGAGGCTGAGGCAGAAGAATTGCTTGAACCTGGGAGGTGGAGGTTGTGGTGAGCCAAGATCGCGCCACTGCACTCCAGCCTGGGCAACAAGAGCGAAACTCTTGTCTCAAAAAAAAAAAACGAAAAACATAAAACAGAATTGTTAGCATCAAATATATTTAATTGTGGATCTAAGAGGAAAGTAGTGTATTAAATTGAAAAGCTGATTCTAAAATTTATATGGAACTACTAAGGACAAAAATAAACCAAAGCTGGACAATTTACATTATCTAACTTTAAGACTGTAAACCAGAAGTAGCTAAGACAGGTTTCAATCAATTTAGAAAGTTTATTTTGCCAAAGTTAAAGACGCTCCTATGACACAGCCACAGGAGGTCCTGATGACATGTCCCCAAGGTGGTGGGGTACAGCTTTGTTTTATACATTTTAGGGAGACATGAGGCATCAATCAATATATGTAAGATGTACATGAGTTCTGTCAGGAAAGGCAGGACAACTCAAAGTGGGGGTAGGGAGGTTTCTAGGTCATAGGAAGATTTAAAGATTTTCTAATTGGCAACTAGTTGAAAGAGTTATTATCAACAGAAAGGAATGTTTGGGTTACCATAAGGGGTTGTGGAGACCAAGGTTTTATCATGCAGATGAAGCTCCCAGGTAGCAGGCTTCAGAGAGGGTAGGTTGTAAATGTTTCTTTTCAGACTTTAAGAGTCTGTTCTATCAGTAATTCCAAAAGGTAGTAGGGTGTGATGAGACATGTCCAACTCCCCCTTCCCATCATGGCTTGAACTAGTTTTTCAGGTTAATTTTGGAATGCCCTTGGCTGAGAGGATGGGTCCATTCAGTTGGTTGTGCAGGGGCGGGGGGGGCCTATAATTTTATTTTTGGTTTACAAGACATACCCTGAAGCAATAGTAATTAAAAGTGTAGTACTGACATCAATATACACTAATAGACAATGTAACAGAATTGAGAGTCAGAAATAGCCCTGTGATATATGTGACTGATTTTAACTAAAGTTACAAATGTGGTTTAATAGAGAAAGCATAGTAGTTTCAAGAAATGGTGGTAAAACTATTGGAAATCCTTATGCAAAAACAAACCAAATTTCCACCTACACTGAGCCACATATAAGAATTAATACAAAATGGATTACAGACCTAAGTGTAAAACTAAAACTCTAAACTGTGTAAAAAAAAAAAAGAGAGAAAAATCTGTGATCATGGATTGCCTATAACAAAAGAACAAACTGAAATGGCCTTGTTGCCTGGGGTGGCACCCGAGGTTCTTGGTCTCACGCTGAGGAAATCAAGGACGCTGACACACCAAGGGTGTGAGGCTAGAGCAGAAGTTTAATAGGCAAAAGAAAGAGACTAGCTCTCTCCTGCAGAGAGAGGTCCTGAAAAGAGTTCCCATTCCACAGTGAAATGCAAGCATTTTTATAAATGAGCTAATGGGAAGGGGGTAGCTTATCTACACATAGGGAGCAAAAAACCAGTTAGGACCAGGTGTTGCCATCTGCACAGAGCGTGAATCTCTGGCATCCCCCACCCCAACCTTTTATTATGCAGGCAGGTCCTTGGCCTGAGCTACTCCACATTGCTTATCTCTTTCCTATTGTGCATGTGCTAAATAAGGGGAGGTGGAGCCACCATGGTGGACATGCCTGGCCCCAGGTACCCCTTTCTCTCCGTGCAGCTGCAGGCAACCCCAACAACTCACAACATGCAAGCTTCCAGCTTCCTTATCTGAGTATGTACTAAGGTCCACTGTGTTTACTTCACATACTGTGTTTACTTCACATACCCACCTTACGTATGTGAAGCTTGCTGATTACCCAGGAAGCTCCCCCTCTGTGCCAGAGCTGCTTCCTTATACATGTTTACAGCCCGATCTTCCAGGCTGCTCCTTGTTAGAAGAGAAGTGATTTCTTGGGCTGCTTTTTGTTAGAAGGGAAGTTCTACCGAGGACTCTGTCTAACTATCGGCTTACCTAGTCTTTTTTTACCTCCTCTCTCAAAACCATCAAAGAAAAAACTGAAAAATTAGATTTCAGCAAAATTAAGATTTTCTGTTCTTAAAAAGACGTTGTTAACAAAATGAAAAACCAAAGTGTAAACCGGGAGAAAATACATGCAAGTTACCTATCTGATAAAGATATTGTACCCAGCAAACATGAAGAACTCTCAAACCTCAACAACAAAAAAATTCAATTAAAAGATGGGTAAGTTGGCCGGGTGCAGTGGCTCATACTTGCAATCCCAATCTTTGGGAGGCTGAGGCAGGAAGATTGCTTGAGCCCAGGAGTTCACGACAAGCCCAGGCAACATAATGAGACCTTGTTTCTACAAAATTTTAAAAAATTAGCCAGGCATTGTGGCGTGTGCTCGTAATTTCAGCTACTCAGAAGGCTGAGACAAGAAGACTGAGCGCAGGAGGTGGAGGCTGCAGTAGGCTGTGTGATTGCACCACTGCACAACAGCCTGGGTGACAGAGTGAGACACTGTCTCCAAAAAAAAAAAACAAACAAAAAAAAAACCCAAATGATTTGAATAGACACTTCACCAAAAAAGATATACGGATGGCAAATACACTCATGAAATGATCAACAGCAGCACTGGTCATTAGGAAATGCTAATTAAAATCACAAGAAGCCACTATATCTATTATAATGCCTAAAATTAAAAAGACTGACCATACCAGGTGTTTGCAGGGACACTGAGCAAATGGAACTTTCATACATTGCTGGTCAAAATGCAAAATGGGGGAGCTGTTCTGAACCTATTTAGTTGTGGGGGCTGTCCAACTTTTGAATTTTTCTTTGCTCAATTAATCTCTGTTATATTAAAAAGTAACATGGTACAACCACCACTTTGAGGAAGAGTTTGACAGCTCCTTAAAGACTTAAAATACATCTACCCTGAGACCTAAGTATTCACTCAAGAAAAATGAAAGCGTATGTCTATACAAAGTCTTCTTTAAAATTTTTTATAGAAAATTTTTAATTTTTGATTTTAAAATAAAAATAGAGGTTTCACCATGTTTCCCAGGCTGGTCTCAAACTCCTGGGCTCAAGCGATCTGCCAGCCTTGGCTATATGAAGTCTTATACACTAATATTCATAGTGGCTCTACTTGTTAACAGTCCCAAACTGGAAAAAGCCCAAATGTTCACAAGCAAGCGAATGAATACAGTATAGTATATACATGCAATGGGATACTACTCAGCAATAAAATGGATGAAAATCAAAATAGCTATGATAAATAAAAGAAACGTGACAAAAAAGGTACTCTATCATTCCACGTTTATAAAAATTCTTAAAAATGCAGGCTAATCTATGGTGACAGAAAGTAGATCAGTGGTTGTCTGGGGACAGGACAAGGAGGGATGAAAAGGATCACAAAACAGCAATCCAACTGAGGCCACCATGCTATAAGGAAATCCAAACCAGCCCACACATTGAAACCACATAAAGAAATCTTCATGAGACTACATGAAAAAAAGAGATAGCCTGCCAATCCCTAGCTGCTCAGTCCCCAGCTACTGTAGCTCTAGCAACTATGTAGGTGCAACCACGAGACAGCCGCACGAAAACTGCCCAGCACGGCTCTCACAAATTCCTAACCCACAGAAACAATGAGAGATAATAAAATGTTCTTTGTTGTTTCAAGCCACTAAGTTTTGGCAGATTCGTTACACAGCAACGGCAGCCAGAACGGACCACCAGGACTGCCTTTATATCTGATTCTCAGTCATTTCCAGTAGCTCAGATTTCTCAAATTATTCCCAACACCCTGCCATCTTCTACCTTCTCCTACCACTTCCTGAAACTTCCACTGTGCTCCCTTGAGTAATTCATAAAATCCACTCTTTAACCTCTGAATCATCCCTTCATTTCTTGCTCTAAGTAAAATCTAGCTCCCTGAGGATGCCTTTTCCTTTCGCAGCCATCTCAAATGATAGATGTTTCCTCTTTTCTCCTCCACACACTTCATATCACTGTACCTACTGGAGATGTGGGGAAGAAATCTTCCCTGCTCTGGCTGGCGCGGTGGCTCACGCCTGTAATCCCAAGCGCTTTGGGAGGCCGGGGTGGGCGGATCACAAAGTCAGGAGATTGAGACCATCCTGGCTAACACGGTGAAACCCCGTCTCTACTAAAAATACAAAAAAACAATTAGCTGGGCGTGGTGGCGGGCGCCTGTAGTCCCAGCTACTCGGGAGGCTGAAGGAGGAGAATGGCGTGAACACGGGAGGCGGAGCTTGCAGTGAGCGGAGATCTCGCCACTGCACTCCAGCCTGGGCGACTGAGCCAGACTCCGACTCAAAAAAAAAAAAAAAAAGAAAAAAGAAATCTTCCCTGCTCCTTACTTGCACTTTCAGATTATTCTCCTCCATTCCCCTCTCAAAATTCCCAGCCTTGAAAATCCTGACAAAAAGTAGCCAGGCATGGTGGTCAGCACCTGTAGTTCCAGCTACTTGAGAGGCTGAAGTGGGAGAATCCCTTGAGCTTGGGAGGAGGTTGTAGTGAGCCGTGATCGCGCCACTGCACTCCCACCTGGGCAACAAAAAGAGGCCCTGTCTCGGGGGGGGGGAAAAAAAGAAAGAAGGAAAATCTTGTCACCAGACTCACAGTCTATTATCGTTTCCTATTGCAGTCACCTACAGCCTACCGAGTCACTCTTCCTCATTCCTTAATGTTTACATCGCAGTTCTCTCTCCAACACTACTCCTGTCATAATTTTTGGTGATTTAAATATCCATGTAGATGATCCCTTCAATTACCCTATATTTGCAGGTCTCTAAACTCCTCTCCACCACAATCTTGTACATCCTCTGATGTGGTGCAGCTCTGTGTTCCTACCCAAATCTCATGCTGAATTGTGATCCCCAGTGTTGGAGGTGGGCATGGTAGGAGGCGACTGGATCATGGGGGTGATTTCTAATGATTTAGCACCATCCCCAAGTGCTGTTTCCTGATAAGCGTTCTCACAAGATCTGGTTGTTTTAAAGTATGTAGCACTTCCCCCTTCTCTCTCTCTCCTGCTGGCCATGTGAAGACTGTGCTTGTTTCCCCTTCACCTTCCACCATGACTGTAAGTTTCCTTAGGCCTCCACAAGAGAAGCCTGTACAGGCAGCAGAACTGTGAGCTGATTAAACCTCTTATCTTTATAAATACCTGGTCTCAGGTATGTCTTTGTAGCAGTGTAAGAATGAACTGATACATCCCCAAATCTCAGCTACTCACTCACTTCAACTGTATTTATTTATTATAACCAATAACCACAACCTCTCCATAAATGCAGTTTCAAGAATCCCACTCTCTTAACCATCACCTTCTAGGCTCTGCAACTTACTCCTACTAGTGATTTGATGGGGACAATCATTCCACTTCATTAGGACTGGCAGTACATTGATCCTCCCACTTTTTTTTTTTTTTTTTTTTGAGGCAGAGTCTCATTTTGTCGCCCAGGATGGAGTACAGTGGCACGATCTCGGGTCACTGCAAACTCCACATCCCGGGTTCAAGTGATTTTCCTGCCTCAGCCTCCCTAGTAGCTGAGACTACAGGCACCTGCCACCATGCCCAGCTAATTTTTTTTTTCCAAGAGGAGTCCTGCTCTGTCGCCCAGGCTGGAGTGCAGTGGCGCAATCTCGGCTCACTGCAAACCTCGCCTCCCGTGTTCAACTGATTCTCCTGCCTCAGCCTCCCAAGTAGCTGGGATTATAGGCACGCGCCACCACGCCCGGCTAATTTTTGTATTCTTTTTTTTTTTTTTTTTTTAAAGACAAAGTTTTGCTCTTGTTGCCCAGGCTGGAGTGCAATGGAGTGATCTCAGCTGTCTGCAACCTCTGCCTCCCAGGTTCAAGCAATTTTTCTGCCTCAGCCTCCCGAGTAGCTGGGATTATAGACACGTGACACCATGCCCGGCTAATTTTTGTATTTTTAGTAGAGACAAGGTTTCACCATATTGGCCAGGCTGGTCTCGAACTCCTGACCTTGTGATCTGCCCAACTCGGCCTCCCAAAGTGCTGGGATTACAGGTGTCAGCCACAGCGCCCGGCCGATCCTCCCACTTTTTAAACTGTCTCTCAGGGTCTTAAAATCCTCACTTCCTTTCTTTTTTTTTTTTTTTGAGGTGAAGTCTCACTATATCGTCCAGGCTGGAGTACAGTGGCGTGATCTCGGCTCACTGCAACCTCCACCTCCTGGGTCCAAGGGATACTCCTGCCACAGCCTCTTGAGTAGCTGGGATTACAGGCACCTGCCACCATTCCCGGCTAATTTTTCTGTATTTTTATTAGAGATGGGGTTTCGCCATATCGGCCAGGTTGGTCTCAAACTCCTGACCTCAGGTAATCCACCCACCTCAGTCTCCCAAAGTGCTGGGATTACAGGCGTGAGCCACCGCGCCCGGCCTCTCACTTCCTTTCTTAGCCAGCTTAAATTCCATGGTCAATCATTAAGAGAACTCCTTTGTACTTCTCCCCCTCACTTCTTCATATCCACGTGGTAAAATCACAACTGCATTAATTTCAACTCTCCATTTACTCTGTGGGTGCCCTCATACACAATCTTGCTGTCTGGTCTCCTTCAACTCATGACCACGAATCTCAAGTAGGCTCTTTATGTTGCCTAGCAATATTTCCACTAAACTTCCCTAGTCCAACCCTTGCCCACTCTTCTAAAGAACTATCTACTTCCCATCTTCTCTTTCCTCTCCCATCCCAGCTTCTAGCTGATAACCTTGCTTCTTTCACTAAGAGAACAGTAAGAATCAAGAGAACTTTCAAAATCTCCTGCCATCCTATCTGCCCATTCACGTATCATAGATGTGTTAACTATATAGCTGTCACCAAAAGAACCGCTAATGTTTCCAACAAAGGCCAAATCCATCCCTTCTTACCTACTCTAGGACATTGCTCTAGCCATTGTCTTCTTTCCGACATCAACTTTCCCATTCTCATCTTTCCTATCAACCCACAAACATGCTGAAACATGTTGCTCCTATCTTAGTGCAGTGGCTCACACTAGTAATCCCAGTACTTTGGGAGGCAGAGGTGGGAGGATAGCTTGAGGCCAGGAGTCCAAGGCTGTAGTGATTCATGATTGCGCCACTGGCACCCCAGCAGCCTGGGCAACAGAGCAAGACCCCCCTCTTTTAAAACCACACACACATAATTAAAATTCCTCTTAACTCACTTCCCCCTCCATTTATTGCCCAATTTCTCTACCCTCCATTTATAATAAAATTTCGTGGTGGCTCACTCCTTTAGGCCCAGCGACTCCAAAGGAGGGTCGCTTGAGGCCAAGAGATCAACGCTGCCATGGGCTAGGATCATGCCACTGTACTCCAGCCTGGGCCACAGAGAGCGAACTTGTCTCTAAAAAAATTTTTTTTAAATAGAATTCCTTGAAATATGCCTACCGATGTTTTTATTATTTATTTATTTATTTATTTATTTATTTGAGACGGAGTCTTGCTCTATCGCCCAGGCTGGAGTGCAGTGGCGCGATCTCGGCTCACTGCAAGCTCCGCCTCCCGGCTTCATGACATTCTCCTGCCTCAGCCTCCCGAGTAGCTGGGACTACAGGCGCCCGTCACCACGCCCGGCTAATTTTTTGTATTTGTAGTAGAGACGGGGTTTCACCGTGTTAGCCAGGATGGTCTCGATCTCCTGACCTTGTGATCCGGCCGCCTCGGCCTCCCAAAGTGCTGGGATTACAGGCTTGAGCCACCGCGCCCGGCCGTTTATTTTGTTTTAAGACAGGGTCTGGCTCTGTCGCCCAGGCTGGAGTGCAGAGGCGCAATCACAGATCACTGCAGCCTCCACCTCCCTGAGCCTTCCAAGGCCTGAACCTTCCAGGTAGCTGAGACCACAGACGCGCACCACAACACCCGTCTAATTTTTGCAGACTCGGAGTCACACTATGTTGCCCAGGCTGGTCAAATGTTGCCTTGGATTTCTCTTCTCCTACTCTCCAACTCACTCCAGCCAAATTCACCCCTACCATGCTATGCCCAAGACTGAACTCCTGAGAAACCTGCTCTACTGGCAATCTTCTCTTTCCCACCTCAGCAAAAGGCAACTTTATCTTTTCAACTATTCAGGATAACCTCCGTTATCGAATCTATCTGAAAAACCTGTTGCCTCCGATTTCAAAATATACCCAGAATCCAAATACTTTCACTCTGTTAATAACATCTTGTTCTGAAGTTCAGATCATCTTAACAGACTCCTAAGTGGTTCCCCTGCTTCACCCTGGCCTAATGCCCCCACCTCCCCCACACCAGCCAGAGAGGAGTGAACAAAATAAGCTACTGCCAAGTCGCGGCAGGGCCTCCACTCAACGCTATCAAGGAGCCCAAACTGCTCGAGGAAGGAGCTTGCGGATGTGGTTCGCAGGGAACGGAGTGGGAAAAGACGTAGAAAAACGCGGACCACAACTCCAGTGAGCGGATCGACTTGATGCTGTCCCGAGGCTGCGGAAGGAGAGTTGGGCCGGAAGAAGGGTGCTGAGAGCGCTAATAGGGAGACTGCACTGGCTGCGACCTCACCTGGCCTGTGCCGCGCCGGAACAGCACGGAATCCTCCTGCTCCGGGACGCCGCCACCACTGCCGCCGCTGCTCATCGCCATAGCAAACCCGCGGGTGCGCAGCGTGGGGCCCCGTCCCTTCTTAAGAGTGACGACTTCCGCCGCCCGGGGCTTCTGGGAGCGGAACAGTACGGTGGCCGGGAGGACCGCTTGTAGTAACTTCTCACGCTTTCTACGAGTGGTTATCGCCCTCCCACATTTGTGGCGTGTATATTTTTCATTTCTCTCAATCCTTTCATTTCACTGTGTTATATTTCCTTTCCTTTTTTTTTTGTTTGTTTGTTTTGAGACAGAGCCTCGCCCTGTCGCTCAGGCTGGAGTGCAGCGGCGCGATCTCGGCTCACTGCAGCCTCGACTTCTTGGGCTCAAGCGATCCTCCCACCTCAGCCTCCCCAGTAGCTAGGACTATAGGCGTGCGCCACCAAGCTCAGCTATTTTTTGTATTTAGTAGAGACGGGGTTTCGGCATGTTGCTTAGGCCTCGTCTCGAACTCCAGTGTGTGTGTGTGTGTGTGTGTGTGTGTGTGTGTGTGTGTGTGTGTAGATATTTATTCCCCCTCCCCCTTGGAAAAGTAAATGTAAGCTCCTACTAGGAATTTAAAACCTGCTTGATCTATATAAAGACAAACAAGGAAAGACAAACATGGGGGCAGGAAGGAAGGCAGATCCTTAAACACTAGAAGATATTTGATCCCCCAACCTTATTTGTTGTTTGTTTTGAGACGGAGTCTCGCTCTGTCGTCAGAGTGCAGTGGCACCATCTCGGCTCATTGCAGCCTCGACCTCCCGAGCTCAAGCGATCCTCCCGCCTCAACCTCCCAAGTAGCTAGGACCACAGGGGCACGCCACCACACCCGGCTAGTTTCTGTATGTTTTGTAGAGGCGGCGTTTGGAGCATATTGTGTAGGCTGGTCTCGAACTCCTGAGCTCAAGATATTCCGCCCGCCTCTGGCATCCCAAAATGCTGGGATTACAGGTGTGAGCCACCTCGCCCAGCCTCCAGTATTCTTTTTTTTTTTTGCGACAGAGTATTGCTCTGTCACCCAGGCTGGAATGCAGTGGCGTGATCTCAGCTCACTGCAACCTCTGCCTCCCAGGTTCAAGCAATTCTGCCTCAGCCCCCCGAGTAGCTGGGATTACAGGCGCCCACCACCACACCCGGCTAATTTTTGTATTTTTAGTAAAGATGGGGTTTCACCATGTTGGCCAGGCTGGTCTTGAACTCCTGACCTCGTAATCCGACCGCCTCGGCCTCCCAAAGTGCTGGGATTACAGGTGTGAGCCACCACACCGGGCCTCCAGTATTCTTTATTAAGCATCTAGGGTTGCTAAATGGCTTATATGTACATAGTATATATATATTTTTAACTCCACGAAAGGAACTTTGAGCTCTTCCCCCAAAATACCCTTGGCTTCTATATAGTATACAAGAAATATCTGTGGAGGAAGGGGAGAATGGGATGATGTTGACCAAGTGTACAAAAATGGTAACTCTGTAGAGGTAATATGTGGAATGTAATCATTTCACAATGTATATCTAAACATCAAATGGTACACCTTAAATATATACAATTTTTAGGGGTCTGGTACGGTGGCTCATGCCTATAATCCCAGCACTTTGGGAGGCCAAGGTGGGTGGATCACTTGAGGTCAGGACTTCAAGACCAGCCTGGCCAACATGGTGAAACCCTGTTTCTCCTAAAAATACAAAAATCAGCCGGGTGTGGTGGTGCAGGCCTGTAATGACAGCTGCTTGGGAGGCTGAGCCAGGAGAATCACTTGAACTCGGGAGGCGGAGGTTGCAGTGAGCCAAGATCACGCCACTGCACTCCAGCCTGAGTGACAGAGTGCGACTCCATCTCAAACAAATAAATATGTACAATTTTTATGTGTCAAAAAAGTTAAATTGTCACAAGATAAAAAAAAAAATTTAAATCTCATGTCAGGAAAGTAATGTGCCAAAGGTACATCTCACAGATAAACATGAAAACCTGCACTCCAGCCTGGGCGACAGAGTGAGGCTGTGTCTCAGAAAAAAAAAAAAAAGTAAAAAAAAAAGTATGTTTTTATAAAGCTTGCTTAGATTTTTCTGAATCATAAAAATTCTCACAATTGCATTTGATGTCAAAATTTAAACAAATTACCTGGACATATTACATGATGGTTAAAAAAATAAATTTAAACAAAATATAGAACCAGGTTTCTTTTTGTTTTTTAATTTTTTTCTTTTTGAGACGGAGTCTCGCTCTGCCACCCAGACTGGAGTGCAGTGGCTCACTGCAACCTCTGCCTCCCGGGTTCAAGTGATTCTCCTGTCTCAGCTTCCCGAGTACCTAGGATTACAGGCGTGTGCCACCACACCCAGCTAATTTTTGTATTTTTAGTAGAGACTGGGTTTTGCCATGTTGGTCAGGTTGGTCTCAAACTCCTGACCTTGTGATCCGCCCGCCTCAGCCTCCCAAAGTGCTGCGATTACAGGCATGAGCCACCGCACCCAGCCATTTCTTTTTGTTTTTATTATTTAGAGATATAATTGATATACTATAGAATTAATCGTTTTAGAGAGTACAATTGAATGGTAGATAGAGCGGAAACCTTAATATATTCACAAGGTTGTGCAACCATCACTACTATCTAACTCCAGAACATTTTAATCACCCACCAAAGAAACTCTGTTTCCTTTAGCAGTGCGCTGCCATGCTCAGCTATTTTTTGGGAGAGAAGGGGTCTCCCCATGTTGTCCACGCTGGTCTCAAACTCGGTTGCTTAAGCAGTCCTCCCACTTGAGCCGCTGTGCCCAGGCCTGAGTTACTATATTTATAAAAGTTATTTCATATGATAGACAAATCATTCAAAACATAATGAGGTAAACTGCCAAAAGAAACCATTTTACCATATTTGAAGGCATTTAATGTAAATGTTGAATTTAATTTCATGTACTGGAATCAGTCTTTTTGCATATGTAATTTTCATACCAAAAATCTCTCTTCAGTTGACTCCTGGAACTCTCTCATGATAAAATAAAAGTTTCAAATAATGTCGGGGTGGTGGCTAACACCTGTAATCCCAGCACTGTGGGAGTCCGAGGCAGGTGGATCACATGAGGTCAGGAGTTTGAGACCAGCCTAGCCAACATGGCAACACTAAAGATATGAAAGTCAGCCAGGCATGGTGGTGCATGCCTGTAATCTCAGCTACTAGGGAGGCTGAGGCACAAAAATCACTTGAAACTGGGAGGTGGAGGTTGCAATGAGCTGAGATCGTGCCACTGCACACCAGCCTGTGAGACAGAGCAAGACTCTGTCTCAAAAAAAAAAAAAAAAAAAAAAAAAAAAGGGCCAAGTATGGTGGCTCATGCCTGTAATCCTAGCACTTTGGGAGGCTGAGTGGGAGAGGATCATTTGAGCCCAAGTAACATGGTCAGGCCCCATCTCTACAAAAATAAATTAGCTGGGCATGGTGGTATGGGCTTGTGGTACCAGCTACTCAGGAGGCTGAGACAGGAGGAGTACTTGAGCCAAGGAGGTCAAAGGCTGCAGTAAGCCATGTTTTTGCCACCGTGCTCCAGCCTGGGCAACAGAGCAATATGCTGTTTCAAAAACAAACTAAAAAAATGGTAGTACCTACATGTGAAGATTGCATATAATAAAGATTGTAAAGCAGAGAGAAAAACTGGACAGTTCACCAAAAAGAAAATCCAAATGTCCACTAGAGATCTGAGAAGATGCCCAACCTCTAGAGCCAAGGAATTGCAAATTAATAACTAAGATAACATTTCAGGGCCTGGCACGGTGGCTCATGCCAGTAATCCCAGCACTTTGGGAGGCTGAGGCAGGCGGATCACTTGAGGTCAGGATTTGAGATCACCCTGGCCAACATGGTGAAATCCTGTCTCTACTAAAAATACAAAAATTAGCTGAGCATGGTTGCGGCGCCTATAATCCTAGCTACTTTGAAGACTGAGGCAGGAGAATCGCTTGAACCTAGGAAGCGGAGGTTGCAGTGAGCTGAGATCGTGCCAGTGCACTCCAGTCTGAGTGACAGGGTGAGACTTCATCTCAAAAAAAAAACAAAAAAACAAAAAATTTCAGGAATATACCTGCCTTTGGTAAAAACAAAAAGAAATTGTGAACCAGGCGTGGTGACTCATGCCTGTAATCCTAGCACTTTGGGAGGCTGAGGCAGGAGGATCCTTTGAGCCCAGGGGTACAAGACCAGCCTGGGCAACATAGGGAGACCTTGTCTCAAAAAAAAATAAATAAATAAATAAAATAAAAAATAAAAAAATCGTGAATAGTGTTGCGATGAATAAAAAAGAAAAAAAATTAAAAAGAAAGAAAACCCAGAAAAACTAACATACCATTTTCCTCTCAGTTTGGCAAAACTATTAGGAATTAATAACATTTGATGTTAGCAAAGTATGGGGAAATGAACTTTTATCCTCTTATTGAAAATATCTGTTTGTAGCCAGGCATGATGACTTATGCCTGTAATCCCAGCAATTTGGGAGGCCAAGGTGGGAAGATTCCTTGAGGCCAGAAGTTTGAGACCAGCCTGAGTAATAAAGTAAGACCCCATGTCATTAAAAAAAAAAAAAAAAAAAAAAAAAAAGAAGGAAAGACTGCCGGGCGCAGTGGCTCACGCCTGTAATCCCAGCACTTTCAGAGGCTGAGGTGAGCAGAACACTTGATGTCAGGAGTTCAAGACCAGCCTGGCCAACATGGTGAAACCCCACCCCATCTCTACTAAAAATACAAAAATTAGCTGGGCGTGGTGGCGGGCGCCTGTAATCCCAGCTATTCAGGAGGCTGAGGCTGGAGAATCACTTGACCCTGGAGGCGGAGGTTGCAGTGAGCCGAGATCACACCACTACACTCCAGCTTGGACAACAGAGTGAGACTCCGTCTCAAAAACAACAACAACAAAACCCAAAACATCTGTTTAAAGTTTAAGACATGTATACCTGTGAAAGTTGATTACATAAATTGGGTCATTCTTGAAATACTCAACTAAATCAGAGTTGAAGGGCCAGGGGGAAGAAGCATTCGGGGCACACAGCATCTGCTTCAAGAATTAAATTTTCCACAAGTCCAACTGCTGAACCAGCCTTCTGTATCCCTAAGACCAGTTTTACCTAATAGCTGCTAAAATGAACTGCCATGACTCTAAGACTGGTTTTACCTACCACCATCGCTCACCAATCAGAGCTTGCTAGCTCCCACAAGCTCTAGTGTGAATGAGCTTTCTTCCAAAACAGTATGTAATACTGTTCTTTCTCATAAAACCCGGAACCTTCTCTTTTTTTTTTTTGAGATGGAATTTTGCTCTTGTTGCCCAGGCTGGAGTGCAATGGCGCGATCTCGGCTCACTGCAACCTTCACCTCCCGGGTTCAAGCATTTCTCCTGTGTCAGCCTCCTGAGTAGCTGGGATTCAGGCATGCGCCACTATGCCCAACTAATTTTGTATTTTTAGTAGAGACGGAGTTTCTCCATGTTGGTCAGGCTGGTCTCAAACTCCTGACCTCAGGTGATCTGCCCGCCTCGGCCTCCCAAAGTGCTGGGATTACAGGCATGAGCTATCACACCTGGCCGCAACCTTCCCTTTATTCTCCTGATCATACCAATGATCAGCCCGGTCTGTGTGTATGCCATGAATTGCAGCTCTTGCTTACCAAATAAAATGTTTTTAGAGATTTGTCTCTATATTATATTTGGCTTTGACATAACTATTCCCAAGGAATTCTATCTTTAAAAATCCATTCTTATAGAAATGAAAGCACCAATAAATGGGAATAAGTACGATAATCCACATCGCAGAATTGTTTGTAGTGGCAAAAGTTGCAACATCCTAATTGTCTATGAGTAAGGAAATGATTGAATAAATTACTGTACATCTATACTAAAGTTAAATTTGTAAGTACTGAAGTACAGGCACGGCTATTTTTTTTTTCTTTTTGTGGAAACAGGGTCTCACTCTGTCACCCAGGCTGGAGTGCAGCGGCACCATCTTGGGTCACTGCAACCTCTGCCTCCTGAGTTCAAGTGATCCTCACACCTCAGCCTCCCAAGTAGCTGGGACTACAGGCACGTGCCACCACACCTGGCTAATTTTGGTTTTTGGCTTCTTTCTTAATTGGTATGTTTACTTAAAAATATAGACTAACGGGCTGGGCATGGTGACTTACACCTATAATCCCAGCACTTTGGGAGGCCAAGGCGGGTGGATCATGAGGTCAGGAGATCGAGACCATCCTGGCTAAAACAGTGAAACCCCATCTCTACTAAAAGTACAAAAAATTAGCCGGGTGTGGTGGTGGGCACCTGTAGTCCCAGCTACTCGGGAGGCTGAGGCAGGAGAATGGCGTGAACCTGGGAAGCAGAGCTTGCAGTGAGCCGAGATTGTGCCACTGCACTCCAGCCTGGGCGACAGAGCAAGACTCCATCTCAAAAATAAATAAATAAATAAATAAAATAATAAAATAAAATATAGACTAATGATCCTGTGCTTCAATGTCATTGTGGTTATGTGCTGATGTCCATAAAACATAAGTTATAAGGGACTCTTCACAAATACACTCCAGACAGAAGGGTAAACAGAAATGACTGACAAGACAGTGCCATTTCAGACATACTTCCCTTAATTATTAATACTTGCTAGAAAATGGAGTTTGACATTATTTACAATTATACCAATATTCACAGAGGCCAACTGTCACAGGCATTAAGGGCACACCAGGGCCAGGAGACCTCATTTCAGACTTCCCAAATATTTTTATATTTTAGCTATTAAGATCAGTTACCAGAGCTCAACTTGTTCTTAACAAGCAGAATTTTTATGTCCATTCAAAGAGTCTCTTATACCTTTCTGGGCCTATTTACTTGCAGAGAACAGTAGAAACTGTAACCAGGCTCTTCATATCATGCATTCACATGTGATGTCCAATCTTCATATGCTGTCCAATTTCTTTAAGATAAATGGAGTGACTCGCAGCAGGGCCACGTAGATGAGAAAGTTCTGTATGGAGATCATATCCTCGTGCATCTTCCGTTTCATCTCCGTGAGGTCCAGCTTCCGGGCAAGGCCCCCAATCCGGAAGATCAGCTGCCTCACTCTGCTCTCCCTAATGGCCCCCTTACACCCGGAACTCGGCCTATCCCCTCGCCCCAGCTAATTTTTGTATTTTTAGTAGAAATGGGGTTTCGCCATGTTGCCCAGGCTGGTCTTGAACTCCTGGGCACAAGGGATCTACCCGCCTTGGTCTCCCAAAGTGCTCAGATTACAGGCATGAGCCACCACGCCTGGCCCAACATGGCTATTATTTTTTAAAGTGCTAAATTATGGCCGGGGGCTGTGACTCACGCCTGTAATCCCAGCACTTTGGGAGGCCGAGGCGGGTGAATCACGAGGTCAGGAGATGGAGACCAGCCTGGCCAACATGGTGAAACCCCATCTCTACTAAGAATACAAAAAATTAGCTGGGCGTGGTGGCAGGCGCCTGTAATCCCATCTACTCAGGAAGCTGAGGCTGGAGAATCGCTTGAACCCGGGAGGCGGAGGTTGCAGTGAGCAGAGATCACGCCACTGCAGTCCAGCCTGGGCAACAGTGCGAGACTCTGTCTCAAAAAAAAAATAAATAAATTACCTGGGTGTGGCAGCGCGTGCCTGTAATCCCAGCTACCCAGGAGGCTGAGGCAAGAGAACTGCTTGAACCCAGGAGGCAGAGGTTGCATGGAGCTGAGATGGCGCCACTGCACTCCAGTCTGGTGACAGAGTGAGACTCCATCTCAAAAAAAAAAAAAAAAAGTGCTAAGTTACATCTAAGTTTCCTATTTTTGTTTAAAAAACTCCTTGTAGTGGGTTGAATGGTGGACCCCAAAATGATACATCTGTCCATCTGATATGCGTGAATGTGACCTATTTGGGAAAACAGTTTTTGTAGATGAAATTAAGGATTTCCAAATGAGATCATCCTAGGTTAGAATGGAACCTAAATCCAACAGCAAAAGTCCTCATAAAAAGAAGGGAAGAAGACAGAAAAGAAGACCACAAAGACAAAGGCAGAGATAGGAGTTATGCTGCCATAAGCCAAGTAATACCTGGAGCCACCAGCAGCTGGAAGAGGAAAGCAAGGATTCTCCCTTGGAGCCTTCAGAGGGAGGTGTGGCCCAGCTGACATCTTGCTCTCAGATTTCTGGCCTCCAGAACTGTGAACAGAAATATTTCTGTTGTTTTAAGCCACTAAGTTTGTGGTAATTTGTTACAGCAGCTCTCAGAATCAAATACATTCCCACACCCCTTATTTATGTGTATGTGTGTGTATGCATGTTTGCATGAGCACTGAGAGAAGTATACCATTATTAACATTGGTTAGTTCAGGGGAATGGGACTGGCTTACTGAAGGCTGAGAGAGTATACGTGTGTGTATATAAATTGAGTGTATTTAAATTAAGTATATGGAAGTAAATTAAGACTACAATGAGATACCACTACCTCCCACCAATATGGTTAAAGATAAAAGGACTGATAATACCTAATGCTGGTATGGAGCAATGGAACCTTCCTTTATTGCTGGTGGTAAAATGGTATGGTCATTAAAAACAAACTAAAACAAAAACAACAAAAATGCAATTGTTTGATGGTACCTACTAAAAAATGTGTGTATGTGTGTGTATAGACACACACCCTATGACCCAGCAATTCCATTCCTGGCATATACTCAGTAGATAGCGTGTTTAAGACCATCATAAGATATATAAAAATGTTACGGTAGCATTATTCATAACAGCCCCAAAGTGGGAGCAATTCAAAGGTCCATGAAATGTAGAGTAACTAAATTATGGTATATTCATATAACAGAATGCTACACAACAGTGAAAAAGGCTGAACTGCTGCATAGCAGCAAAATAGAGAATTCTTTTAGACGTAACGTTGAGCAAATCAAGCTAGGCTCACTACAGCACATACCGTGTGATCCCATTTACAAAAAATTCAAAAACAGGCAAAACTAATCTATGGTGATAATCAGATGGGAGGCATTATCTAAGAGGGTGCTGGAAATGTCCTTTATTGTGATCTGAACATAGTATTCATATACGAGTCATTGAAATATACATTTCAAATGCTGGCTGTTTATTATCATTTCACTGGGATAAATGCCCAAGGAGTTAGTTTTCAAAGAGATGCTATTTAGAATTTATGGAAATTTAGAACTTACTGTATTTTCCCAGATTTTCTATAATGAGCAAGCATTGCAGTTTGAGGGTTTGAAAGATTGGTAGAGACAAAAACTGCATAAGCTGCATGATTATTTCTCACACTTCAGATGCTTACCACCTTTATGATTTGCCATATCATGTATTTTAAAAAATACATTTTTTTCTTTTTTTAGATGGAGTCTCATTCTGTCACCCAGGCTGCAGTGCAGTGGTGTGATCTCAGCTCACTGCAACCTCCTGGGTTCAAGTGACTCTCCGGCCTCTGCCTCCCGAGTAGCTGAGATTACAGGCACCCATCACAATACCTGGCAAATTTTTGTATTTAAAAATACAGCCAGGCTCGGTGGCTCACGCCTGTAATCCCAGCACTTTGGGAGGCCAAGGCTGGCGGATCACCTGAGGTCAGGAGTTCGAGACCAGCCTGACCAACATGGTGAAACCCCGTCTCTACTTAAAATACAGAATTAGCTGGGCGTGGTGGCTCATGTCTGTAATCCCAGCACTTTGGGAGGCCAAGGTGGGTAGATTGCCTGAGGTCAGTTCGAGACCAGCCTGACCAATATGGTGAAACCTCATCTCTACTAAAAATACAAAAATTAGCTGGGCATGGTGGTATGCTCCTGTAGTCCCAGCTACTCAGGAGGCTGAGGTGGGAGAATTGTTTGAATTCGGGAGGTGGATGTTGCAGTGAGCTGAGATCGCGCCACTGCACTCCAGCCGGGCGACAGAGCGACACTCCGTCTCAAAAAAACAAAAACATACAATTTTAAAAATTTAGTCTTAGCTTTTCAATAAGAGGGATTAAAATATATTATTTTAGTCTGCTCAGCATCCATTCTCCCTTCCTTTTGGCAAAGAACCCTAAATTTTTTGGGGGATGATATAGTTTGGCTGTGTCCCCAACCCAAATCTCATCCTGAATTGTAGCTCCTATAATTCCCATGTGTCATGGGAGGGACCTGGTGGGAGGTAATTGAATCATGGGGGTGGTTACCTTCATGCTGTTCTCATGATAGTGAGTGAGTTCTCAGGAGATCTGATGGTTTCATAAGGGGCTTTTCCCCTTTTGCTTTGCACTTCTCCTTCCTGCCATCATGTGAAGAAGGATGTATTTGCTTCCCCTTCTGCCATGATTGTAAGCTTCCTGAGGCCTCCCCAGCCATACACAACTGTGAGTCAATTAAACCTCTTTCCTTTATAAATTATCCAGTCTCGAGTATGTCTTTATTATCAGCATGAGAACGGACTAATACAGGGGACCACCTACTCCTTACTAGAGTTGGTTTTACCATCAACTTGCCCTCCTCTTGCTGAGGGATGGGTACCTAACCCATGTAACTTCAGTTGGAGGCACTCCAAGTGACATAAAAACTAAATATACATGTCAGAAGTTCAACCTGATATCAGCACTGTAAGAAAAAAAAACAAAAACAAACACCTCATAACACCTACTCTTAAGATACCTGAAACTGTTACAATTCTTGACCTTTCCAAAGCCTTGAGTCCTCAACTTTTCCATGACTCTGGAGTCTCTCATTCTTTCAAATAAGATTTTTATCAGTAAGTTCATTAATCTGATCCTGTTGCTTGCAACCAAAAATTCCAATATATCATGAAATCAGGTTAGATGTGGTTATATTACTTCAAGTATATACTAACCCATTTCCCGTTTGCCCCAAGAATACTCTTGCCTCTAATCCTAATGTAACATTATATACATTTCCATTATATTAGGATTAGAGACAAGTTCTGTTTAGAAATAACTCTAAGAACAGTTTGTGTATTTTCACATTGAAAATTAATTTGCGTCAACCTCAGAGTGTGTTTATGTAAAATTAAATGAGCGCTGGCAGCCAGCTGCACTTTTTTTTTCTTTTTTTCTTTTTTTTTTTTTGAGACGGAGTCTCACTCTGTCGCCCAGGCTGGAGTGCATGGAGTGCAGTGGCATGATCTCGGCTCACTGCAAGCTCCGCCTCTCGGGTCTATGCCTTTCTCCTGCCTCAGCCTCCCGAGTAGCTGGGACTACAGGCGCCTGCCACCATGCCCGGCTAATGTTTTGTATTTTTAGTAGAGACGGGGTTTCACCATGTTAGCCAGGACGGTCTCGATCTCCTGACCTCGTGATCCACCCACCTCGGCCTCCCAAAGTGCTAGGATTACAGGCGTGAGCCACGGCGCCTGGCCACTTTTATTTTCTAAACAGGAAATGGGTTAAATACGTAACTCTGTATGAAATATCCATTCATAAGCTACCCTAACAGCCCCCTTGAGTGGTATAAGGCTACAGTCTTTGACCAAAAAAAAAAGTATTTGACAAAAACTTATGTCATGTGATATATGTTCATAAAAGGCAAGTATTTAATAGGATTATGTCAATTATAGCCAGGCTGGTAGGTAAATTTCTTTTAAATACCAAGGCTCAGCCAGACTGCTGCAAGGAAGTGTTCCAGAACTTATGTACCAGCAAGCAGTCTTGTCCAAGTGGTAAAACAGCAAGAGTAGTATGTGGAATGGAAATTCGGTTTGTATGTTTTTTTTTTTTTTTTTTTTTTTGAGACAGAGTCTTGTTCTGTTGCTCAGGCTAGAGTGCAGTGGTGCAGTCTCGGCTCACTGCAACCTTTGCCTCCCAGAGTCAAGAAATTCTCTTGCCTCAGCCTCCCAAGTAGTTGGGATTACAGGCGCCCACCACCACGCTTGGCTAATTTTTGTATTTTTAGTAGAGACGGGGTTTCACCATGTTGGCCAGGCTGGTCTTGAACTCCTGACCTCAGGTGATCTGCCCACCTCAGCCTCAGCCTCCCAAAGTGCTGGATTACAGGCATGAGCCACCATGCCCGGCCTTGTTTTTTATTTATTTATTTCTTTGAGATGAAGTCTTGCTCTGTCACCCAGACTGGAGTGCAGTGGTGCAATCTCGGCTCACTGAAATCTCCACCTCCCGGGTTCAAGCGATTCTCCTGCCTCAGCCTCCCAAGTAGCTGGTATTACAGGCACACACCACCATACCTGGCTAATTTTTGTATTTTTAGTAGAGACGGGTTTCACCATATTGGCCAGGCTGGTCTTGAACTCCCGACTTCGTGATCCGCCCGCCTTGGCCTCCCAAAGTGCTAGGATTACAGGCACCTTTTTAAAATTATTATATTGAGACAGGGTGTCACTTTGTCACCCTGGCTGGAGTGCAGTGGCATGACCTTGGCTCACTGCATCCTCAACTTCCCAGACTCAAACCATCCTTCCACCTCAGTCCCCCAAGTAGCTGGGACTACAGGTGTGCACCACCACATCTGGCTAATTTTTGTGCTTTTTGAGGAGATGGGGTTTTGTCATGTTGCCCAGGCTGGTCTCAAACTCCTGGCCTCAAGCGATCCTCCCACCTCAGCCTCCCAAAGTGCTGAGATTACAAATGTGAGCTACTGCACCTGGCCGTGTATTTCTACAAAAGTTATGTTATAATCAAATTTGAAAATCTCAACTT
Organism: Homo sapiens; assembly: GCF_000001405.40. Classification (NCBI taxonomy): domain Eukaryota; kingdom Metazoa; phylum Chordata; class Mammalia; order Primates; family Hominidae; genus Homo; species Homo sapiens. The sequence goes on from NW_003315917.2 coordinate 498,335, forward strand.
TTCCAAGCAAATGATCCAATAGCAGGCTATTTATAAACTTTTAATGTGCATTAGTTACTGCTATGTAAAAGTTTTTTTGTTTTTAAGAAGTGAAGGTGTGAAAAAAACAAACCTGTAGTAAGTTTCATGTCTTTTGGAAATTTATAGGGAAGTACATTTGAGCATACACATTGTCATTCTCCTTTTCTCAGTGACAGTTTTATGACTTGGCCATCTCTAAAGATAATATATTCCAATATGTAATTGCTATATAGCAAATACATTAGCTGATGAAGTTGTAGGAGGCAATGTAATAAATGTTCTTACTCAGCTTTGGTCTAACAGATAACTATGACTGACAATTTCGTAAAAATAACAGACCAAGTGTTTTTGAGAGAGAGAGAGAGAGAGAGAGAGAGAGAGAGAGAGAGAGAGTGTGTGTGTGTGTGTGTGTGTGTGTGTGTGTGTGTGTATGTTTTGAGACAGGGTCCCACTCTTATCACCCAGGGTGGAGGGCAGTGGTGCAATCTCGGCTCACTGCAGCCTTGACCTTCTGGGTTCAGGTGATCCTCCCACTTTAGCCTCCCAAGTAGCTGGGACTACAGGCGTGCACCACCACACCCACCTAATTTTTTTTTTTTTGGTAGAGATGAGGTTTTTCTGTGTTGCCCAGGCTGGTCTCAAACTCCTGAGCTCAAATGACCCACCTGCCTCGGCCTCCCAAAATGCTGGGATTACAGGCGTGAGCTATTGTGCCCAGCCTATATAAAAATTTTTTAAGTTTTTGGAAAATGTCAGAAATCAACGTTTCCTTTTAGCCCTATTTTCAAAAACTGGCTAGTTTGATAAATGGATCACAATTTCTTACACATGCTACTAATAGAAGAGGCATTCAAAAATAAATGACTGATGGCCAGCGAGTGGATAACTTGAGATCAGGAGTTCGAGACCAGCCTAGCCAAGATGGTGAAACCCCATCCCTACTAAAACTACAAAAAATTAGCCAGGCACGGAAGTGGAGGTTGCAGTGAGCGGAGATCGCACCATTGCACTCCAGCCTGGATGACAAAGCGAGACTCTGTTTAAAAAAAAAAAAAAAGTAACTGATAAAACTGACCACAGTGTATCTTGGGCAGTAATGGCTGCTGCTTCTCATTTTCAGCAGGACTTAATGAAAATTGCTAATGATAACGCACTACCTCCTAAGAATGATGCAAAATACGATTTTTGATGTTTAAAGGGAGGGTTCCATGGAGTTTGGTATTTTCCAAATTATATTCTAAATCTGGTACTATCTCACCTAATAATTTTATCTTTCTTTAGCAACAAGCCCTAACAATATCCAAACTAAATAAAATCATTACATGAATTTACTTTTTACAATCATTCTCCTAAGGCTGGGCGTGGTGGCTCATGCCTGTAATCCCAGCACTTTGGGAGGCCGAGGTGGGCGGATCACCTGAGGTCAGAAGTTCGAGACCAGCCTGACCAACATGGAGAAACCCCGTCTCTACTAAAAACACAAAATTAGTCGGGCGTGGTGGCTCATGCCTGTAATCCTAGCTACTCGGGAGGCTGAGGTGGGAGAACCCGGGAGGCAGAGGTTGCGGTGAGCCAGTATCACGCCACTGCACTCCAGTCTGGGCAACAAGAGCGAAACTCCGTCTCAAAAAAAAAAAAAAAAAATAATAATAATAATAATAATTAAAATTATTCTCCAGGGATGGGCATGGTGGCTCATATCTGTAATCCCAGCACTTTGGGAGGCCGAAGCAGGCAGATCATTTGAGATCAGGAGTTTGAGACCAGGTTGGCTAACATGGTGAAACCCTGTCTCTACTAAAAATACAAAAAAACTAGCTGGGTGTGGTAGTGCACGCCTGTAATCCCAGCTACTTGGGAGGCTGAGGCAGGAGAATTGCTTGAACCCGGGATGCAGAGGTTGCAGTCAGCCGAGATTGTGCCACTGTACTCCAGCCTCAGCAACAGAGCAAGCAAGACACAGTCTCAAAAAAAAAAAAAAAAAAAAAAAAAAAAAAGCTATTCACCTGTATTTTCCCTTAGTATCCTATAATTGACCTGTTTCCCTCTTTATAAGTTCAGCTACTTTTAGTTACCTTAACTATACCACATGGTGGTGTCATGATTGGTGTCAATGTATTGCATATATATATATATTACAATATACCACATGATAGGTGTCAATATACTCCAACAATTAGACTTAATTTTCTTCCTCTCCGATAATTTTTCCGCCTGCTTTGAGGAAACATCTGGTCATATTGCAGTTAAAAATCAAACCTCTTAACAATAAATTTATTTAATTAAATGCCATAAAAATTAATCAAGAATGGCCAGGCATGGTGGCTCACGCCTGTAATCCCAGCACTTTGGGCAGAGGTGGAAGGTGGCTCACTTGAGCTCAGGAGTTGGAGACCAGCCTGGGCAACATGGCAAAACCCCTATCTCTACCAAAAATATAAAAATCAGCCTGACGTGGTGGCATGCGCCTGTAGTCCCAACTGCTTGGGAGACGAGACTGAGGCAGGAGGATCACTTGAGCCCAGGAGGTTGAGGCTGCAGTGAGCCACGTTCGTGCCACTGCACTCAGCCGGGGTGACAAGGCGAGATCCTGCCTCAAAAAAAAAAAAAAAAAAGTACTAATGATTGATTACAAACTAGAGATCTTCCTTATTCTAATATCCATTTTATTTTGGAAACGTAGCTTTCCCTCGATTTATAAGAATTAAAAGGTCTAAAGTTCTTCCATTCCACAGGATAAACTAAAGAAATTATTCATTTAAAAAAAAAGGCAAAGAAAAGAGCTTAAAGCATGAAAAGTTTTTTTGTACTTATGGCTTATTAGTCTGTGTAGAAATTCTGGAGACAGAATTACAGAAACCAGGCCCACAAAGAATCTTTGTGGTACAATCAGATTTCTTTATTATTTCTTTTATTAGAATGTAACTTAAGCTACTTAATTTTTGCCTTTGTGACTACCATCATAGAATATTCTGAAGACTAAAGTTAACCAAAGATCCAGAACAATGTTTTAATTTAATGAAAAATCTAGGCTAATATGAAGATAGAAACTCAGGCTAAAAAACTTCAGCCGGGTGGGATGGCTCACGCCTGTAATCCCAGCTCTATGGGAGGCCAAGAAGGGTGGATCACCTGAGGTTAGTAGTTTGAGACCAGCCTGGCCAAAATGGTGAAACCCCATCTCTTCTAAAAACACAAAAATTAGCCGGGCGTGGTGGCGGGCGCCTGTAGTCCCAGCTCCTCAGGAGGCTGAGGCAGGAGAATCGCTTGAACTCAGGTGGCGGAGGTTGCAGTGAACCGAGATGGCACTGCTGCGCTCTAGCCTGGGCGAGAGAGCAAGACTCTGTCTCAAAAAAAAAAAAAACACCCCACAAAAACCCAAAAAACTTCCTGGTTGTCGAATTCAGTATTAGACACAAAAAATTCTAGCCTATTTATGGGTGGTACCACTGGTAAGAGACAAATCACAAGATATTGTGTTAGGCTAACTTCAAGATCTGTCCATTCAGATAGTGGTTGACATATTGGGTGATCAGAAAAATTTGTTAAATTGCATTATGTGAAAAATCAAGTATTTGTAGAATACTTTAAGTTATTCTATTTACTACTACAATGGCATTTTTATTCTCTCTGACATAGTTTTGTGTTTACTTCAGAGTGCAGCAAGGTCTCAAACCTTAATTTCTCTAGGTTACATATTTCCAAATTTATAACTACCATCAAGACTCAAGTTTTAGAAGAGGCTGAGAACAGAAAATATGGTACTCATTCCAAAAAATGTTAAAGCTATAAGTAGAACTGAGACCTCAGTTTACATCCACTTAGTTTCTATTCCAGTGGTTTGAAGTATCTGTTGTAAATTGTTCAAGCAAGCTTTGTAAGTTGATTTTTTTTTTTTTTTGAGGCAGAGTCTTGCTTTGTTGCCCAGGCTGGAGTGCAGTGGTGCAATATCTGCTGACTGCAACCTCTGCCTTGGGTTCAAGCGATTTTCCTGCCTCAGCCTCCCGAGTAGCTGAGATTACAGGCATGTGCCACCACACACCTGGCTATTTTTTTTTTTTTTTTTTTTTGTATTTTTAGTAAAGATGAGGTTTCATCATGTTGGTCAGGCTGGTCTCAAACTCCTGACCTCAAGTGATCCGCCCGCCTCGGCCTCCCAAAGTGCTGGGATTGTGGGCATAAGCCACCGCACCTGGCCCTTTAACTTGATTTCAAAGCAAAATTATACAAATGGACCCTAACTTCTATTATATATTTAAGTTTACTTCAAAGATCTATTTTATCCTTATCCTTAGAAACTGTGAGGAAAAAAAAACTATGTTAACAAAGCTGATGACAAAGATTCTTTATTATATAAGAGATCCTATTATCTGATCATATTACCTAATAAATTATATATGAATGTTCAATAATAAAAATAATGTTCACCAATATGTCACATGCATGGTTAGTGTTTTATTCTTTGAAGACTGCTTCTAAAACATCGCACTAAGTAAAGCTGAAAGGATAAAGTTTAAAATAGTTTTTAAAGGATAAGTTATAACATATGTAATGACTGTCCACTCTACAAAATCTTGATCTTAGAGCTTATGATACACCCAGTTGGCAGTAGCACCCAGGTTTTCCAAATAGCCAGTCATCACTTTTCTCTTGTCTGCATAGACTTCTTCTCATTAGCTGCCTTCTGCTTTTCTTGCATGATCTCAGAGTCCCTACAATGAGGGAAAAGTCTATAAGTTGTTACAGAAAAACCAATTATATATTCTCACTTGGTTTCTACACATAACCCATTCAGTGTATTAGAAGACAATTTAAAAGAGGATATAAACTTTTTTGTCTTTCCATTTTCATGGCTGGAGACAAAATGGAAAGACAGACTGGAAAGGCTTTGAAGTCAGATCTTATTCTGAATACCATCTCTGTTATCATGACCTTGGGCAAATAACCTCAAAGCCCTTTCAAAATCCGGGCAATATGTATCAAGGTTGTTACAAGGAATCACTATGAATATATAAAAGTGTGTGACATTAGGCAGCTACATGTAGAAATAATAGCTATTACTCTTGGTTGTTAACTAGTTAATTCATTCTAATTTTTTTCCTTGAAAGAAGAGGCATTTAAGAACTCTCCTAGGTATCCTAACTGGTATCTACGACTAGAACATAGATATTATGAAGGATTTCAGTTTCTTACAAGCAAAAAAGCCCAAAAGCTAGTCACTAAAACTGGATTACAATAAAGAAAAGCTGGATGTTCAGGGTACTTTTTTTTTTTTTTGAGACGGAGTCTCGCTTTGTCCCCCAGGCTGGAGTGCGGTGGAACGATCTTGGCTCACTGCAACCTCCACTTCCTGCTTGCAGTTCTTCTGCCTCAGCCTCCTGAGTAGCTGGGACTACAGGCATGCGCCACCACACCCGACTAATTTTTGCATTTTAAGTAGAGACGAGGTTTCACCATATTGGCCAGGCTGGTCTCGAACTCCTGACCTTGTGATCCGCCTGCCTCAGTCTCCCAAAGTGCTGGGATTACAGGTGTGAGCCACTGCGCCCAGCCCTTAACCCTTCTCATCTCCAGTCAAACTGACACATGCCATATAAACTGTGAACTATGACCAGACTACCTGGGTTAGGTGATTCATGAGTCCATGGACCCATATTTTAAAAACAGACTAAACGGCCATGCATTCAACATCTACTGTGTGTCAAGCACTCTACCAGCTCTGGTTAAAGTCCCACAACTCTGACTTATTAACCTCATGTTTCAAACTTTTTAATTTTTTATTTATTTTTTTGAGACAGAGTCTTGCTCTGTTGCCCAGGCTGCAGTGCAGTGGCACAATCTTTGCTCACTGCAACCTCCACCTCCCTGGTTCAAGCGAGTCTCCTGCCTCAGTTTCCCAAGTAGCTGGGATTACAGGCATGTGCAACCAAGCCCACCTAATTTTTGTATTTTTAGTAGAGACAGGGTTTCACCATGTTGGCCAGGCTTGTCTCGAACTCCTGGCCTCAAGTTGATCCGCTCGCCTCGGCCTCCCAAAGTGCTGGATTTACAAGTGTAAGCCACTGAGCCTGGCCTGTTTTAACTTTTTGAGGAAATGCTAAACTGATTTCCACAGCCATGATGGTAAGATATTTCTGTAAAGCCAATAGCAAAAACAAGGGAATAGAAGAAAGGCAAAATAGGCCAGTGGCTCACATCTGTAACCCCAGCACTTTGGGAGGCTGAGATAGGCGGACCACCTGAGGTCGAGAGTTTGAGACCAGACTGAGCAACATGGAGAAACCCTATCTCTACTAAAAATACAAAATTAGCCAGGCATGGTGGTGCATGCCTGTAATCCCAGCTACTTGGGAGGCTGAGGCAGGAGAATCACTTGCACCCGAGAGGTGGAGGTTGCGGTGAGCTGAGATTGCGCCATTGTACTCCGCCTGGGCAACAAGAGCGAAACTCCGTCTCAAAAACATAAAATAAAATAAAATAAAATAAAAATAAAGAAGAAAGGCAAAATAACACAGCTACAGGCTGTTCTGCCTATAAAGTAGCCAATATTTATTTCTTTACTTTCCTAATAAACTTGCTTTCACTAAAACAAAAACAAAAACATAGCTATAAAGAAATGAAGTACAGTGGAAAAAGAACCATGACAGTTACTTCTCTATTTGAAACCAAGCTCTGTTGTGCTTGCTGTGTAACTTTAGTAATGTTACTGAAGTTCAGAGCCTCAGTTTCCTATTCTACAGATTAGTGCTAATACCATTTTTCAGAGTTATGATGAATAAAGAATAATGTATATAGAATGTCTAGCATAGAATTTTATAAGGAGTGCATATCTGGTAAACAATGACAATTTCTGAACCAAGCTAGACTAGGTTCTCCAATAAAAATACTATTGCAGGGTCACTGATTCATACCATGTTCATTTTTACTCTAATGTGAGTCAACAGAAATTGAAGACAAAGCTTATCACTTTAATAATAAATGTTAGGGCCGGGCATAGTGGCTCACACCTGTAATTCCAGCACTTTGGGGGACTGAGGTGGGCAAATCACTTGACCCCAGAAGTTCAAGACCTGCCTGGACAACATGATGAAACCCCGTTTCTACAAAAAATATAAAAACTATCTGGGCTTGGTGGTGTGCCCTTGTAGTCCCAGCTACTCAGAAGGCTGAGGTGGGAGGGTCACTTGAGCCTGGGAGGCAGAGCTTGCAGTGAACCGAGACTGTGGCACTGCACTCCAGTCTGGGTCACAGAGTAAGACGCCATATCTGGGAAAAAAAAAAAAAAGGTGTCAGGACCTTTGCCTTAAATTAAGGTCTTTAATCTCATTTATCAATGACTCTTAATAGTGGCTGCACATTAGAATCACCTGGGAGCTGTTTTAAGTTCAGTTTAAGGTATAACTGGGTGTGCTGGGAGGCTGGGGGAGGGATAGCATCAGGAGAAATACCTAATGTAAATGATGAGTTGATGGGTGCAGCAAACCAACATGGCACATGTATATCTATGTAACAAACCTGCACGTTGTGCATATATACCCTAGAACTTAAAGCGTAATAATAAAAAAAAAATTCAAAAAAAAAAAAAAAGGTATAACTGGGCCAGCGTGGTGGCTCACGCCTGTAATCCCAGCACTTTGGGAGGCCGAGGCGGGTGGATCACTTGAGGTCAGTAGTTTGAGACCAGCCTGGCCAACACGGTGAAACCCAGTCTCTACTAAAAATACAAAAATTAGCTGGGCATGGTGGCGGACGCCTGCAATTCCAGCTACTTGGATTGCTGACGCAGGAGAATCGCTTAAGCCCAGGAGGTGGAGGTTGCAGTGAGCCGAGATCACGCCACTGCCCTCCAGCATGGGCAACAGAGTAAGACTCTGCCTTTAAAAAAAAAAAAAAGGCATAACCTAAGTACAGTAAAATTTACCTAGGGTGCTTTTTAATGCTCGACCTCTGACCAATTAAATCAGAACTGGATGAAAGATAAATGTTTGAGCATAGAGATATCCCAATTACCCCGATTTGATCATTACACATTGTACACATAAAGGTTTTTTTTTTTTGACGGAGTCTCGCTCTGTCGCCCAGGCTGGAGTGCGGTGGCGCGATCTCAGCTCACTGCAAGCTCCGCCTCCCGGGTTCACGCCAGTCTCCTGCCTCAGCCTCCCGAGTAGCTGGGACTACAGGCGCCCGCCACTGCGCCCGACTAATTTTTTGTATTTTTAGTACGGACAGGGATTCACCGTGGTCTCGATCTCCTGACCTCGTGATCTTCCTGCCTTGGCCTCCCAAAGTGCTGGGATTACAGGCATGAGCCATCGCGCCCGGCCGGAGTTTCACTCTTGTTGTCCAGGCTGGAGTGCAATGGCGAGATCTCAGCTCACCGCAACCTCCGCCTCCCAGGTTCAAGTGATTCTCCTGTCTCAGCCTGCCGAGTAGCTAGGATTACAGGTGTTCGCCACCACAGTTGGCTTTTTTTTTTTTTTTGAGACGGAGTCTCGCTCTGTCACCCAGGCTGGAGGGCAGTGGCACGATCTCGGCTCGCTGCAAGCTCCGCCTCCCGGGTTCACGCCATTCTCCTGCCTCAGCCTCCCAAGTAGCTGGGACTACAGGCGCCTGCCACCTCGCCCGGCTAAGTTTTGTATTATTAGTAGAGACGGGGTTTCACCGTGTTAACCAGGATGGTCTCGATCTCCTGACCTCGTGATCCGCCCGCCTGGGCCTCCCAAAGTGCTGGGGTTACAGGCGTGAACCACCGCGCCCGGCCACACACTTGGCTAATTTTGTATTTTTAGTAGAGATGGGGTTTCTCCATGTTGGTCAGAATGGTCTTGAGCTCCCAACCTCAGGTAATCCACCCGCTTCGGCCTCCCAAAGTGCTGGGCTAACAGGTATGAGCCACCACGCCAAGCCAGTTTCTTTTTGTTGTTGTTTTTTTGAGACAGGGTCTCACTCTGTCACCCAGGCTGGAATGCAATGGCAGGATCTCGGCTCACTGCAACCTCCGCCTCCCAGGTTCAAGTGATTCTCCTGCCTTAGCCTCCCAAGTGGCTGGGACTACCCAGCCCACATACAGGTATTAAAAGATCACATGTACCCCCAAAATATGTACAACTATTGTAATTCAATTTTTTAAAAAAACAAAAAATCAAAACTGAGCATAACGCAAGGCTTGAGTAGCTGTCAAGGTTTCCCAGGTGATTCTAATGTGCAGCCAGGATTGAGAACCCCTAACAAGCCACACTGAAGCACATGCAGTCAGTTATTCGCTTAACCTCCAAGTTCCATATGGACAAAATCATTTGAGAATAAAATTAAGCTTTGATTAGCTCTTTTAGAAACATGAGTGTACTTTTTTTTACTTAAGCTGCAGTCTAAAGTATTTCTGTAGCAGTTTTACATTGGCACATATAGTCATATATTAAGGCTATGTACATGAATTCTCTCCAATGCAATGGATCTTCAGAAATCAGCACAGCTAGCTATTATGCATATACTTTTTTGTATCTTCTTGAGAACTATTATCATTATATATTAATAATTGAGTCCCTTGTCATTCAGAGTAGTTTGGGTAGGCTGTCTACTTTGAAAATGTTGTAACTCTAGCACCTCACAGTGTTTTGCATATAGAAGATGTTATTTTGCTGAATAAAGTTGTTTTTTTTTTTTTGTTTTGTTTTTTTGATACAGAGTTTCCCGCTCAGTACCCAGGCTGGATTGCAATGGCACAATCTTCACTCGCTGCAACCTCCCCCTCCCGGTTTCAAGCGATTCTCCTGCCTCAGCCTCCCAAGTAACTGGGATTACAGGCATGTGCCACTGCACCCAGCTAATTTTGTATTTTTAGTAGAGATAGGGTTTCACTATGTTGGTCAGGCTGATCTCGATCTCCTGACCCCAGGTGATCCACCCACCTTGGCCTTCCAAAGTGCTGAGATTACAGGCGTGAGCCACCGCACCCAGCCTATAAAAAGTTCTTATGGTTGTGGAGGAGCTGCATGAGTCTCTGTGAAACAAATAATAGCTTCAGAGCTTTACGTTTTTATCTATATGTTGGGATGTCTACCCCACGTGGTTTTAGTCCGCCTGGCACAAATCATTAGGCCCTGTTCTACCAAGGGCTTAACAAAATGCTTTCTGTTCCCCAAAATGAGGCCTTCTTTTTTTTTTTTTTTTTTTTTTTTTTTGAGACAGGGTCTAACTCTGCCATCCAGGCTGGAGTGCAGTGGTGCAATCGCAGCTTACTGCGGCCTTAACCTCCTGGGCTCAAGCGATTCTCCCGCCTCAGCCTCCAGAGTAGCCGAGACCACAGCCATGTGCTACCATGCCTGGCCAATTTAAAAAAATATTTTGTAGATACAGGGGCTGGCTATGTTGTCCAAGTTGGTCTCAAACTCTTGGCTTCAAGCAGTTCTCCCGACTCTCCCAAACTGCCGGGATTACAGGCATGAGGCAACACACCCAGCCCAAAATGTTGCTTCAATCACAACGTCAGTGACTTTAGAATTAAATTAGTACCACGTACCTCTGCTTTCTCTGAGAGGCAGTCAAGCTATCCTCTTTCCTCTTTCCCTTGCTAATTTCCTGGGTTTTCTTCATGTTTTTCTGGCGGGCAAGTTCTCGTTGATTTCCACCTACAAAGTCAAACAGTCATGCTCTTTTCCCATCTCCAAAATTATTAATAATTCCAATAAACAGGCCTTATTTAAATGCATCTTTAGTTTGTGTTTTCATAGATAAACTAGCAGAGTAACAGATTGATGGTGCTCCTAGATCTGACAATAAGGAAGTGGCTTAAACACTTAAAGACTTAAGAGTATTATCATACCAATCTAGGTGGTCACTAGCTATAAATACCAGATATTTTAAAACAGATATTCGAATCTTGGGCCGGTATCCCAAAATAAGTTCTGGCTTTTGAGGGGAGTGGGTGGAAGAGAAAGCTAGATACAGAGATCACAAGTTCAGCCCATCACTTGAGAGTTACCTTTATCCCCATGCAGAGGCGGAGAGGGGTGGATGGAGACTGAACAGATTGAAGGTAAGTCTGCGAAAGGCAGTGTGGGCCTTTACATCCTTATTCTAGCCACAACCCTGCAAGGTAGGCTTCATTGTTTTCATTTTGCAGAACAGACTGACCTAACACCTAGGACTGGTACAAACGAACATCAAATTTAGGACCGGCTCTAAAGCCTCCTGTTTATTCGGCTACTACCTGCGAGCGCCAAACAAAAGAACTAGGGAGGCGACTCACTGGAGTTCCCGGTCCTCATTAGGCCTTAAGACTTGAGGTATCAGCTATAAAGTACCTCCAAACAAGGACCCTCCTGGGGCGGCCGTGTCCACATCTCCGGGGTGTGTTCTTTACCGCACAAACTCGCACCTGAGGGGCAGGCACCCGTCCGGCCTGAAAAGCCGGACCGGAACCACCCGCGAGCTCTCTCTCTGCCGACTGAAGCGGGGATCCCCGCACTGCGCGACCCAGGGGGATTCTCCAGCCGGACTCCGCCTCCCCCGCCCGCCGCGCCTCAGCGCTAGGCTCCCACGCCGGACGCTCGCCGCCGCTTCCCACCCCCACTCACGGGCCATGCCGACCACCAACGGAGCCTGGAAGAAGAGCAACTCGGAAAAGCAACGGTTCTCTGGCACTCTGGGATACCGTCACCACCGCTGACCGGGAAGGCTGAGCCCTCGTGGGCCCTCCGCCCGGCTGCGCCTCCGCTCTGCTCCGCCAACGGCCCCGCCCGCTGGAGGCCCGACAACAGCCGCCGGCATGGCCGGCGCGTCACTGCGCGTGCGCGGCCGGGGCTGGGCCGGGGCTCCGAAGCTCGGCCGGGGCTCCGAGCTTGTTGAATTACATTTCCCTCATGCTACATTAGCACTAATTTTAAAAGGGATATACAATATGTATATCTCTATTATGTGATAAGTTAAGCTGTTGTATTCTGAAATTTAAAAGCATTATTTTCAGTGAAAAAAACCACACAAATAGAAATGTGTACAAAAAACTCACTGAATGATATTTCTTTAATAGTAAAGGCACAATATGTCAAAACCTCCTCTTTCCTTTTTGCAACGATGTAGAACTGCAAAGTTAGCTAATGTCATCTCCTAATTAAACAAAATCAACTGTGAGAAAATTAAACTGATTGCTTCACAATTACGGTTGAGCAAACACTCAGTTTGTCCCTATTTCATCTCCTGCTTTAGATCTTTGAGAAATTTCCCATTGTTTTGCTTCCTTAGATTTACAGGGAAGAATATCTTAATATTCTTTAATGAACTTGCATTTGTAGCATCTATACTAATGTTACATCAACTAGGCCTTATGCATACATATTTATAACTTAAAATATTCTGCACAAATATGATATATTTTAAAGTCTATACCTCTTATAAGTATTATCTTTTCTGCTGAAATTCAAGGCTATCAAATAAGTGTATGTTTTTAGAGTTGTACAGTGAGATTTGAAAGCAGTCATGATATAATCACTGTAATTTTTTTAATTAAATGGTGGCAGATAGGCCAGATAAATTGCGGGAAAGGGTCAGATAAATGATGTTATGAATGAGGTAAACTTTTATCATATTTTGTATTATTTGTTATCTATGCTTCTGTTTACATAGCAGGATGACTCTATTGCATTCTGTCATTAACACTGATTTGTCCATATCAGTGCAAGTGAAATCTGCCCTACCCTAAATGAACCAGTTATTTCTAACCTACACCATCAAGAAAAGGTTATGTCTATCAACCTCCATTACATATTATATAGAATATACACAATATACATTCTAGATATATGAAGTCTTTGCATACATCTGAGTTATGCGTATGAGTATACATTTATATATACTTATATATATGTTTAAGATATATATTTCTGAGGATCCATATATGTCAGTGAACATGTACTCAATGAACTTTCATTATTGTGCAAACATAAACAGTGCAGTGTTATGGGATATTCCAACCAATTATAAGATCAAATCTCTTCACTTATTCTATTTGTTTTTGTTGTTATTGTTGTTGCTTTTTGAGACGGAGGAGTCTTGCTCTGTCACCCAGGCTGGATGGAGTGCAGTGGCGTGATCTCAGTGCACTGCAGCATCCGCCTCCTGGGTTCAAGCAATTCTTCTTCTTCAGCCTCCCAAGTAGCTGAAATTACAGGTGCGTGCCACCACACTTGGCTAATTTTTGCATTTTTAGTAGAGATGGGTTTTCACCATGTGGGCCAGGCTGGGTTTGAACTCCTGACCTAAAGTGATCTGCCTGCCTCAGCCTCCCAAAGTGCTGGGACTACAGGTGTGAGCCACTGCATCCAGCCTCTATTTGTTCATTTTTATAAGGCAATTTCTCACTCAAGATGTAGAATCCCTTTTCTTTTCTTACTTCATTATTTTTTTCTAGAAGCCAATGTTAAAAAGAGAAGTGTATTAAGAGACACTTTAAAAAGATGAGATTTACAAAAACATCTTGATAATAAGAAAAAAAACCATATGTCATTTATATCTAAATCAATCAGATACCTTTAAGGCTTGTCTCATAGGATCCTATAACCAGGGTTTTTAAAACTGCTTTATATTAAGAATAGCTAAGAAATGGGAACTTAATCTGCCTTCCTCTTATGAATTCTACACCACAGCCAGTATGAGCTGAGATAATATTAGATACTCTTAATGTTATTGTTCCTGCACCTCATATTCATGAAAATTGCATAGATATTTAGAGAAATCTACATTCCACTAAACATCTATTTATCTATTTATATATGTATTTACAATTTTTGCATTTAAGAATATGCATGCATTCACTCAATGTGATATAGTTAGGCTTTGTGTCCCCACCCAAATCTCATCTTGAATTATTATCTCCGTAATCCCCACCTAGCAAGGGAGAGACCTGGTGGAGGTAATTGAATCATGGGGGTGGTTTGCCCCTTGCTGTTCTTGTGATAGTGAGTGAGTTCTCAGGTTATCTGATGGTTTTATAAGGAGTTCTTCCCCGCTTTGCTCGGCACTTCTTCCTGCCACCTTGTGAAGAAGTTTCCTTGCTTCCCTTTCAACTTCTGCTATGATTTCCTAAGTTTCCTGAGGCCTCCCCAGCCATGCTTAATTGTAATTCAGTTAAACCTCTTTCGTTTATGAATTACACAGTCTCTGGCAGTTCTTTATAGCAGTATGAAAACAAAGTAAAACAGCATGTTTTGACATGTCCGTATAATTTGGTTGACTCACCTGGCCCCTTGCAGTTTGGTATAAATTGTAATACAATTTCCATGTTTATTTATCTCTATCAAATAATGAAAACATGGCATCTGCATTCAGAGATAAAGTTTCTCATTTTTATACAGGCACAAGTTTTACCTAGTAAATAATGTTTAAATAACTTAAAACCAAGTTCTAGTTATACTATCTATTACTCCAATTTGGTCTCAATAAATCACATGAAAGGAAGGTAGATATTGTTATTTTCATCTAAGAGGAAACCCAGTTTGAGAAAAATGAAATAACTTGCTTAAGGTCACAAATCCAGTAAGTAGTGGAGGCTAAACTGAAATCAAGGTTTTCAGGCTCCAAATTCTCTATTTTTGAATGTTATATAACTCAACCAAGTAAATATCATATATTAAGGTAAAAAACATCTTTCACACTTTTATACTACTAAACTCTATTACAATTCTCTATAGAATAACACATGGACATTTTAGCAGTTCTGTAAAACATCAGAGTAAAAGCTTTTCACCTGTAACTCACTGTCAACTGAAAGACAAATTTTACTCTCTTAAAAATAGAAGAAATATCATTTGCAAGTAGAAGAGACAATGATGCACTTTTTCATTTTCTTAACTCAACTGGAATTAAAATTATATTAACTCATCATTTTTCTCTTTCATATCACAAATAACTTATTCTGCTTCTCACTATTGTAATGTGTTTTTTTAAAGTCTAACAACTCTTTCACTTATTTGACAACATTATATTAGAGTTAAAGTTAAAAACATTTTTTCTTTTGATGTTTAAAAATACAATACAAACAATGGAAAATGGAATTTGCATGTCATTGTACGTTGCAGACTCCAAGTGGAATTTGCTAATCACAAATTCCAATAGCATATATATTCTTATATCTCTAGTTGTTAAACTGATCGTTAATAATTAAACTTTTCAAAAATATAGTGTATATTTTAATTATATAAGAATATGTAAATTTTGGATGCAATTAATATTTAAACCATTAATCTGCACTTCAATAATACAGAGTTGACTCTTTTGAGATAAAAGTCAGCCAGGATTACAAACTCTAGTAGTATTTTTTAATAAATAAAAAATATTGAAGAAACAGCTTTGTTTTCCAATCCCTAGTTTTCTTCATTTGGTAAATAAATGTTTGCTGAACATGTATAAAATGTCAAGTATTGTGTGTGCTTTGATAGTTATGTATAAGCATGAGATATGAACTGTTCATAGAATATTAATCTTTTTTGCATATTTGCTTATTTCATGTTCTTTTTTCAGTAAGACTTTGTGCCTTATAATTGCATATAACCCAACAGAATGAAATACAATAAAATTAATTAGATGAGGACATCAAAATGAAAGAAAAATAAAAATTCTTTGAAACCAGGGACTAAGTTAGTATACAAAGTCCATGCCAAGAAGAATTAGTTTCTAGCAATGTATTCCACATGTGGCTCTAAGTGTTCTGTCTATCCACAAATAGAAAAAAACAGATACAATTACATGATTCAGATCTTCCAGAAGTTAAATGAACATACACACAATTGTTTTGTTCAATAAAAGGCAAAACTATTCCTTTTAGCTGCATAATAAAAAAATCTCTCATTATCCTTTTTCTAAGAGTACTGAAAATAATGGCCATCAACAATAACTTTAAGTAAATAATCTGATGTTTCACAGAATATTTTCTTGTAATTTCCCCCTCTGAGTCTTTGTAAGAATATTTTGTAAAAGCACTTCTGTAAGATCTGAATTTTGTGTGGTTGAGTATTAATACTCTATGCAGGTCTGGCTTCATTACAGGAAGAATTTCCAGTATCCAGAGAAAATGGCTGGCCCATAGTCCTTCTGGCATGCCTTCATAAATGCTGCTTATTTTCACTAACCTCTCCATCTGTACTGAGTGGCAGTATGTTTATGGTTATTTCCCTCGAAAAGAGACTAAAGTTCAGAGAGCCTTTATTGTGTGTTAATTGCAAATCCTACACTAAAAAAGTCAGCTAAACCTGGGCTAGTAATGACGCAAGCATGAATCAAAAGGCATCTCACCTTTGCTCAGAGGGAAACTTCAAGGAATCCTTGAAGTCAAACATCCCTTCAAAGACTGTTAAGACACAAATGAATAGGGATTGGGCCCCAAAATTCTGAATCAGAGCATTACAGGATGTAAATCTCATGGAGAAAAGAACACGTACGTCCGGCAGAATGGGATAGGCACATATAATTCTAAACAGCACATAGTTTGAGATTTACAGTTAAATAGTAGAGATGACTGAGAATATTGTTGACCCAGGGCAAGGAAAATTTTGTCATTGGGCACAATTGAGAATAATGAATTTATAATAAGCTGGATTCAGACAATTCTGTATCCTTACCCATGAATGGATAAACCAGAGAGTGGGACTAATAAAGTGTTCACAGATTGCATATTTTATTTGGAAAACTATCAAGGATAATTAAAGGGGCAAGAGATTAGCTAAGATATAATTGGTTCTGGGAACAAAAGCAATAGAGTTCCATGAAGCAAAGAGCATTCATGATTTGGGTGAAGCGGGGCATTCACCCAGAATAAAAGACTTGCTAAGTTTGCTCAGGTTACATCAGGGACACATGTAATATAGGTGGTTAAATAGATGGGGGGGTTAATGCCCATAAATTCTTAGTCCAGCATTCTCATGATGACAGGAAAAGTAAGAAGATATTGTCCTATTTATGTGAAAACTGGCATGGAAAAGGGAGAAGCAAAAGAGAAAATTTTACAATCCATTAATTAGTTTCATTAGCTTAAGATATACTCACATATATGCATCATCAAAATTCTGGAAAATTAGGCCACTACTAACACAGCTTCCAATATGTTGGTAAAGCAATAGTTCATCAAGATTAAAAATAACTTAGTATATACATTTCTCAGGTACATTTTATATTTTTAGTCAAAGAGCCCACACAATTGTTTTATGTTGATATGGAAAAGACAGTGCTGACCCATTTCTCGTAAAGTGAGAAACTAGAACTTTTCTTTCTTTCTTTCTTTCCTTCTTTCTCTTTTTTCTTTTTTTTTTTCTTTTTTTTTGAGACAGTTTCTTGGCTCACTGCAACCTCTGCCTCCCAGGTTCAAGCAATTCTCCTGCCTCAGCCTCCCAAATGGCTGGAATTACAGGCAACCGCCACCACGCTCAGCTAATTTTTGCATTTTTAGTAAAGATGAGGTTTTGCCATGCTGGCCAGGCTGGTCTGGAACTCTTGGCCTCAAGTGATCCACCTGCCTCGGCCTCCCGAAGTGCAGGGATTACAGGCATGAATCACCGCGCCGGGCCAACTACAAACTTTCTTCTAGAACACATAACGTTAAAAATAAAAATGTTAAAATTAATGATTTATTTATTTTTACTGCACAGTTGAGTTGATGTTAATGTAAAGTAAATTCTTAAAAGATACAATCAACAAGTAACATTCCTTTTGAAAAGTATGCTTGTCCTAGATTAGTGTTTGCTACTTACTCGTCAGTTCTAATCACCAAGTTATAATTATATGTTGGAGAAATTTGGGGGGGAAATTTCTGTGAAGGATCAATGGGAAGGTGCCAGAGAAGACAGGCAGAGCCTTTGGATTTTGATGCAAGGCTGAAATTTGTGAATGGAAGTAGGGCGTGCAGGAAGGCCCTCATATAATAGGGCAGCTCTGAAAACAGTAATGTTGGCCAGAGAGATGGTGAGTCCTGTAGCCAAAGTCAGAGGAGTGCACATCCTACAAGGATGAGCTGGCATTATTAATTCTGTTTCGCTTATTCATTAGCTGGGAAGCCTGAAAGAACATGGCCTTAGTGGTGGTAGATCCAGAGTGTAAGAACAGGGAATATTAGTCACCTCAGCTTCTTGCATCATGTTCTCTTGATGGCATTAGAAGTACACCACTGGGGTCCCATCGATGCAGAGTTTGAGATTTAATAGGCCACACCCAAGTGTGAGACAGTAAACAAGGACTATGGCCACACAGTCCAGGTAGAGCTTAGATTAGCACCCCTAAATGAGACTAAAACATTCAAAAAATTAAGCAAGTTCTACCCCATAGAAGAGGATGGAAGATAACCATGACTGTCTCAGAGACTGTTCTGTGTAGAGAAGGGAAAGAGAAGACTCCTGGCAGAATTCTTCTCCATGGGCTCTCCTTCACACCGGGGAAGGGTCCCAGAAGACCTTAAAGTCCCAAATGTGGTTTTAAAATGGTCTCAGGTCAGGAGCAATCCCAGATATCTGGGACATGCAAACCCAAATCCTATGCTGAGGAATGTACCCTAAGCCCAGTCCTCAAATATTCCCTCAGATAAAGTTCTATGGAAATGAGTTCCCAACAAAACTATCACAAACAGATGGAGAGGGAAGTCTCTTTGAGCAAATTTATAGATAAAACAAAGGATATGATCAAACCTCAAGTGGCTGTGAAACTTGAGGGTCTTCATAATAAAAATACAATTTAAGGAGCTTGTAGGTTGGGTGCAGTGGCTCACGCCTGTAATCCCAGCACTTTGGGAGGCAGAGGTGGGCGGATCACTTGAGGTCAGGAGTTGGAGACCAGCCTGGCCAACAAGGTGAAACTCCATCTCTACTGAAATACAAAAATTAGCCAGGCGTGGTGGTGGACGCCTGTAATCCCAGCTACTCTGGAGGCTGAGGCAGGAGATTTGCTTGAACCCAGGAGGTGGAGGTTACAGTGAGCCAAGATCATGCCACTGCACTTCAGCCTGGGTGACAGAGCGAGACTCCATCTAAAAAAAAAAAAAAAAAAAAAAAAATTGTATAGTTCATGTGAGCAGAATTCTTTTTTTTTTTTTTTTTTGAGACGGAGTCTCGCTCTGTCGCCCAGGCCGGACTGCGGACTGCAGTGGCGCAATCTCGGCTCACTGCAAGCTCCGCTTCCCGGGTTCACGCCATTCTCCTGCCTCAGCCTCCCGAGTAGCTGGGACTACAGGCGCCCGCCACCGCGCCCGGCTAATTTTTTGTATTTTTAGTAGAGACGGGGTTTCACCTTGTTAGCCAGGATGGTCTCGATCTCCTGACCTCATGATCCACCCGCCTCGGCCTCCCAAAGTGCTGGGATTACAGGCGTGAGCCACCGCGCCCGGCCATGTGAGCAGAATTCTAAGTGCTTTTATAAGTAACTCATCTCCTCCTCATAATTCCGAAAGCAGGGAATGTCATTTCACGACACAGCCAACAAATATATGGTGAGTGCCAAAAGCATCAAGATAATACAAAAATAACAGCAGCGAGGAAAGCAGGACGTCTACCACCTTCATGGGGCTTGCCTTCTAATGAATACAAAATCAGTATGAGCTCCTGTTTTCTCTCTTTCTGTCCCTGTGTGTCTGTCTGTCTCTTTTTCTCTCAATCTCAAAACATGCATGTACACAACACATATACAACACAAACATTTCCTTTGCAACTGAAAATAGACAGATGAAGGATAATGAAAAAAACCAGAAAAGCCGCAAAATAACAAAATGATATGTGTAACAGGCATTGAAATCATCAGCCAAAACATTATATAGCCTAGCTACTGTGTGATTTTGTATAAATGAAAGGAAACTAGGAAGAATTTCTAACTTCACCATCTTCTTCCTGGGAAACCATGGGGAGAAGGTTTAGTCCCTGTTATTTTCAGTTTGCATCTCTATACATTTATTTACATTTCTCAACCTAACAATAACAGTGGAATTAAATGAAACCAGAAAGTGTTATGATTTAAACGGGAATAATTTTTCTGGATTTTGCAGGCCAACTGATACAAACAACAGAATGTTTTATTTTTATAAAATAGGCTTAGTGGAAGCCACACTATTACTTCCTGGTCTGTGTTTGTCATCATCATTTTACTATTTTTTTAACTAACAAAAAAGTTGTATATATTTATGGTGTACAACAGTATGTTTTGGACTATGTACACATTGTGCAATGGCTAAATCAAGCTAATTAATATATGGCTTACCTCACATACTTACCAGATATTAAAGTGAGAACACTTGAAATCTACTCTCAGTGATTTTCAAGCACTCTATACAATACATTGCTATTAACTATGGTCGCCACGTTGTATAACAGATCTCTTGAGCTTGTTATCATCCTCATTTAATGTTAATACACGAGAAGATAAGTCCAGGATCTGTCTTTTATTACCTTTATTGGTTTCCCTATATAGTGCTATCTACTGTTACACTAGATTTTTCCTATGCAATCCAAGAATAGAGATTTTCTAAAACAATTAATTTAGTGACTTGAATGCAACTGGTTGGTAATTCTGTTTTTATTGTCAAAAGTGTAAATAAATAATTTTAAATAACATGAGTTCATTCTCTTTAATATTGGCCTATGAATTATTTGTTTATGATTCATAGGCCAATATTAAAGAAAATGACTCATATTATTTATAAAGTTTATAATTTGAGATAAACAGGAAAATAAAACAATACTAATTTTAATAATAATAAAAAACTGTTCTGAGGGATTAATGCAAGGTTGTTACAGTGTGAACACTTCACATGCATTACCTATTTTCATGCTTAGAGCGACCTAATGTGCTAGTTACTGTCAGTGATCAGATTATACCGATGAGGACCCTGAGAAATAGAGAAGATAAGAAAACTAATGAAGTTAAAAAGAACAGAGCATGGACTCAAACCAATATCTGACTCAAAGCCCAATCTCTCACCTATTAGTTTGCAAATGTTATATCTATAGGTGAACTCACTAAAGCCTTCAGACATAAGATTCAAAACTGTGGTGTTTTCACAGTTAAATTATGAGTAATGTTTACTATTATATAATTTCTAAATAGATCAAGTTCTTGTTATTTACACATTTATAGACATAAAGTTTTGAGACATCTGGGTAGAGACTGAAACAATAGACTGGAACTTAAAAGCAGAAGTTTAGATGAGAGGGATATTTAGGTGTATTAATAAGGATTGAGGCTGTAAAAATGAATGAAATTACCCGAGAAAGCATTTCAAATAAGCAGAGAGGTGGGCTTGGCTGGGCACAGTGTCTCATGCCTGTAATCCTAGCACTTTTGGAGGCCAAGATGGGAGAACTGCTTGAGGCCAGGGGTTTGGGACCACCTTGGTCAATATAATGAGACCCCCATCTATATTTAAAAAAAAATTAAAAGTAGAGAGGTGGCCTGAAACACAGACATAGAGTTACCCAATAAGTGGGGCAAGGAAGTATAACCATGCAAAGGAAACTGATAAAGAGGGCCAGATGAGGAGATAGAAAATCTGGTCTGTGGGATGCCTCAGAAGCCAAAGAAAGATGTTTCCAAAAGAAAATGATAAACAGCTTTAGTAGTTGGTAGAAAGAGGATAGAAAGCTTTTCCATAGGATTGAGCCAACCTGAGAACAAAGGTGACCTATAAGCTGCAAAGGTAAAGGGATGGCACTAGAAGTTCTAAGGTAACCAGAAGTTTGAATACATTTGAAAACCCATTGCAGAGAGTAGGAGAGTAAGTTGACTAGGTATACAATTTCAGGCAATTTAGGAAAAAATAATTGAAGGACTGATTATAAATTTATTCATTAATTCAAAAAGTGTCTGATAGTGGCAGTAAACAAAACACTGTTCTGAGTGGTTTGGGTATATTTGCAGTGTAAAACAGACAATATCCTCTGCTCTCATAGAAATTAAGGTCCAGTAGAATGATAAAGAAACAATAAATATCAGGTAAAAATGTTTTAATACAATACATTAGAAAATGGCCAGTGGGTTTTTTTTTTTTTAAGTAGATCACAACAATTAGAAAGATCAAGAGTGTTTGAGGTCAAAGCAGGTTGCATTTTAAAATGGGATTGACCCACTGCTGTATATCTACACCAAGGAAAAGGAATCATTTTTATAAAAAGACACCTGCACTGCTATGTTTATTGCAGCACTATTCATAATAGGAAAGTCATGAAATCTACCTCAGTGCCCATCAATGGATGACTGGATAAAGAAAATATGGTACATACTAGGGCCGAGCACGGTGGCTCATGCCTGTAATCCCAGCACTTTGGGAGGCCGAGGCGGGCAGATCACCTGAGGTCAGGAGTTCGAGACCAGCCTGGCCAACATGGCGAAACCTTGACTCTACTAAACATACAAAAAAATTAGCCAAGTGTGGTGGCAGGTGCCTGTAATCCCAGCTACCCAGGAGGCTGAGGCAGGAGAATTGCTGGAACCCAGGAGGCAAAGGCTGCAGTGAGCCTAGGCTGCGCCATTGCACTCCAGCCTGAGTAACAGAGCAAGACTCTGTCTCAATAAATGAATAAATAAATAAATACAGTAAAGAAAGAAAGAAAAAAGAAAATATGGTACATATACCAGCCATAAAAAGAATAAAATCGTGTGTTTTGCAGCAACACATATAGAGCTGGAGGCCATTATCGTGGGTGAAATAACTCGAAAAATCAAGTACTGCATATTCTCACTTATAAGCGGAAGCTAAACAATGAGTACACATGGACATAAAGAGGAAAATAATAGGCATTGGGGACTCTAAAAGTGGGGAGGATAGGAGAGAGATGAGGGTTGAAAAATAACCTATTGGGTACAATGTTTACTTTATGGGTGATGGGTACATTAGAAGCACAAACCTCACCATTACCCAATACATCCATGTAACAAACCTGCACATGTACCCCCGTACTTATAATACAAAATAAAGTGGGATTGACAACAATACTCAATTTGGTTGATATTTCAGCAACAATGTGGACTGAAAGAAGTGAGAATTAGCCATGCGGATATCTAGGGAATAGCACTCTAGGTATGGGAACAGCAGTGCAAACTCCCTGAGGTGGCAGGGCAGCGTGCATGAACAGCGAGAAGAGAGTAATAGGAAATGAGGTTAAGGAAACAGTGGGAATGAGTGTAGGGGCCAGAAAGTGTAGGAACTTGAAGGCCACTCCAAGGATTTAGGTTTTACTGAGTGAAATAGGAGCCTTCCTATTGCTAACAATATACACTAGTCCCCTCATTTCTCCAGTGGGGTTCAGTGTAGGATTTCTATGCACTGAGAGTGGCTTCATAAGTAGCTTTGACAATTACCACAAAATAACAGCATGAGGAAGGAATAGTTTACAAGTGTCTTATGAAAATGCAAACCATATGTGTTCTGCTTAATAATGAACAGAGGTAAGAAATTAATGGGTGGCTGTTTTAGAAGAATGGAAGAGAAATGGACTGAGGTTTAATGCGTACATTTGTATTCTCATTCACTGATATAAAGATAAATACATTGAATCTGGATCCAGGATTTGAGGCTTTTTCTGCATCAGACCCTCCTGTTCTTAGTCAAATCATTTCCATTTGTAAAACTAAATTACTATTTCAAAGTGCTCAGACAGAAATGGGACAAAAAAAGAAGATAATTTTGAGCCAAAAATGTTTTAACATAGCATGAAGCTTTAAATTAAAAAAGACACTTCTTAGTATTACACTTCTGGAATTTAACCTAAATGTAAATCCTTTTTTTTTTTTTTTTTTTGGAAGCAGGGGCCTACTGATCATTTATTCTTTCATGAAACGAAACAAATAAACATTTATTTATTGACTATGAAGATGGGTCTTGGGGAAATATTCCCTTTAGAAGCTCACAGTCCAGTGTGCTTCTTCTCCACTTTCTGTGTGGTAGTGAAGTATTTTTCCTTTTATAAGTACAAATGAATTACTCACTTTTTGATTCCAGTCAATGCAACACTAGAATTATTCAATGAAATTACATTTTTCTTATGGTGCTCAGAGGACGGCCCACTGCCAATGTAATTGAGGCCCTTTCAAAACGTAATTTCCATTAACAATGTTTACTCTGAAATTGTCTCTTTGGCTTTCTTCATATGATAGAATCTATGATTGAATGAAAGTGCTAGGTTTGAGATTACTGCATCTATAAATGTAATATTTACTTTGAGTATTAATGATTGTAATGGTTGGCTTTTAAGATCATTTCAGTTGCTTTGATAACGGAATAGCAAGGCAAGAAATTAACAGTGACAGATGACTTCATTAACTAATTCCAGTTAAATAAACCTCTGATTCTCTCCCCAGCTCACATGTTGTTCACATAAATGCTTGGAGAAAATGTGACGATTATAGTTCTTTTTATACATTTTAATATACATGCATCATACTGAAAATTTTATATATATTATATAAGGTAAGAATTATTCATAAATTTATAAAAGCAAATTCCATTATCTGACTGGCAATAAGATCCCTTAACACCCATATATATTTCCCATACAGGTATTATTAAAATGAAAAATATACAGTTTTTAGGCATATATCCACTAAATCAAAAGCCCATTTTTGTTTAAATAATTTTCTTTAGCTATATATCATTTTTGAAAGCACAATTTATAATGTTCAAAATAGAATGTGTTCCAAACTTTCTCTTAGAGTGCTCAGTGAGAAAGTACTTATATTTATATCCATTTTGAAGCAGTCTTCAGAGAATCATACTTTAATCAGGAAATCTGAGCTTATGAAAATGTTCATTATATTGATTTTTTTTTCCATATTGCTGTGCACACTGAATCTTGTCCCAGCAGGCTAATGAAATACTTTATTTCATGATGTGTCTCTAGGCTATGGAGATATGTGACGTGTTATGGCCAAATTTTGTGTGATCTTCTATATTGAAAGAGTCACCCACATGTCCCTAAAAGATACCCATACTTGCAATTTTATAAAAAAGTGAATTTTGCTCAAACACATTATTTACAGATGTTCAATCAGATAAGTTAAAACCAGACAATTTGTAAATGATTTAATTGAATTTTAAGGGATATGGAGAATAAATCCAATGAATAAATATCATTTTTAAATGCATCTCATATTTTGTAAGAAAATATATTTACAAAATGGAAAACTGCATTATTAAAATACAAACTTTATAGCAGTTTTATGCAAAATAGTATATAGAACAGTTACCTGATTTGTAACAAAAGGGTAGCTCTGTATTCTCAATACAGATCATTTCCCTTTAAATGTTCTTGTCTTTTTAAAATGCTTTACAAAATAATTGTTTCATTATTTATTAGAGAGTTCATAATAAGTTTTCTTTGCATAAAGTATTCATTTGTCATTTAAAAATACAAAATTAAATGACTCTATCAATAAAAATGTTTGGAATATTTTTCATTTTATATTTACTGACTAGTATAGAGCAAACTAAATGAGTTTTGGAGTCTCTCTTTTACATATGTTTTACATTGATATGATTCTTCCTATAAAGTCATAAATAACTTTTACAAGTATAAACACTGCTGCATGAAGAAAAATACTGACCTAGTAATCTCCTAGGTCAGATTTGGATTCAGCAGCACAGAATGGAAATCCAATTATAATCTCTTAAACAAAGAAGGATTTATTTTTCTCGTGGGTCTTATACAGCAACCCAAAGATTGGCATCCTGGGTCTTATACAGCAACTCCATGATAACATCAAAAAAGGACCTTTTAATTTCTCAATCAAACATGTGGCTTTCTTTTTTATGATCGTAAACCAGTTTCTGCATCTCTAATCATTATTTTGGCAAGCCATGGAAAAGACAAAGGAAAAAAATGGAGAGATTAAAAAAAAAAGCAGCAAAAAGTACATGCAGTATGAATACAGGTGGATACAAAGAAAGGAACAACAGACAGGGCCTACTCGAGGGCAGAGGGAAGGAGGAGGGTGCAGAATGAAAACCTAGCCATTGGGTACCATGCCTATAACCTGGGTGATGAAATAATCTGTACACCAAACCCCCATGACACTCAATTTACCTATATAACAAACCTGCACACGTACTCCTGAACCTAAAAGTTAAAAAATAGAATAAAATAATTAAAAAAACTTTTCCTAAAAAGCCCCAAAAGATTTTTCCCATGTTTACTGCATAAGGTGAAATGAAGTCACATGTGTACTCTAGCTCTGAGGCATTCTGGGAGGAGTGAGCATTTTAATTGGGCAAAACACAGCCATTGATGATACATGCTGTGACTATGGAAGGATTCTATTAATAAGGAGAAGGGGAACGGGATATCAGGTAGGCCTCTAGCGGTGGCTGTCATGCTCATTAACAACTTTGCAATCAGATCCCAAAAGGCTAAGAAACTGTTAAAGACATTGCTTAAAATAGATGTTCACTAGCTTCAGTGAAATAAAAGATAGTGTATCTCATTGTCTTATGATTTAATGTTCTGAAGTAATCATTTGCTGAAAGCTACAACAATTAATGGTGACAAATTTAGAGGGTGAAGTCACGTCTGTGTTTTTACTCCCTATGTTCCAGCTACCTAGGATTGGGCAAGTTATTTAATATGTCTTGGCCTTTATTTTCTAATTTATAAAATATTCAGGAAAAGGAAAACTGCATCAATGAAATTTTCTACAGTACTGATTACTTCTTTTTTCTAATAATGTAAGTAAACAACAAATGCAAAGTAAAAAGTCTATTGATTTTAATAGATATGATAGGCTTTTTTTCGAGCTGAATAGATATTAAAGAAAGTATAAGTACCCTTTTGCAGCTGAAGAATATTGTAAACTAAATTGCACATTGGCTGAATTTATATGTATGGCAGGTAAAATATTTGTGCACTATCCGATCATCACTTGAAGACAGAATGTAATAATCTTTAATTCTTCTACATGGTAGAAATGTGAAGGTCCTCCTGGTTGCTGCAGTATTTCCAGCCAGTAGCAATATATACTTTCTAAGTGGAGATTAATGAGTAATTATGTCATTTTACACCATCAGTCATGGTGATGGACTGATTCCAGATTGCTACAGTAAGAATGAAGAGGTTGAGTCCCACCCCTTGCTTATTTGTTGAGATTAACTTGATAAAGTGATCACCAAAGTTGAGTCCTCCTACTCTTTCTGAGACTTATACATATAGCTTTATCTGTTTGGTCTTGCAGATATCATTTGCACTCAGGCCAACGGCTGATGTGATGCCAGGCTCAGTGTTCTACGTGGCATTTTCCTAGTACACATAGATATTGGCTCAGGCTGTCAAAGATAAAAAAAAAATAACCAAAAAACATTAAGCATAAGAAACAGCACATGGGGCTGAGTGTGGTGGCTCACACCTGTAATCCCAGAGCTTTGGGAGGCCAAGGCGAGAGACTAGCTTAAGGCCAGGAGTTCAAAACAAGCCTGGGCAACATAGCAGTATTCCATCTCTACAAAACAATTTTAAAAAGAAAAAAGAAAAGAAAAAGCAAATAGCAGGAGTCACATTTCTACACTGTGACTGAACTTCATTAATAACAGCAAATGAGCAGATCGGCTCAAACAACCATGGGAAAAAGAAACTAGACACAAATGGGTGGAAGGAAATACTAGGTAATGCCTAGTAGTGCAAAGTATTTGCATTGTACTAAACTCTTAACTTTTTATTATTTTATTTAATTCTCCCAACTGCCACAGTTATTTCCCTTTTACACATACAAAGTTAATTATTTTGCCCAAGGTCATAGCACCAAACCCAGGCAGTTGATTTTAAAGTCTATGCCTTTAAGTGATATTCTACATTATATCCACCTAGAGATACAAAATAAATTCTAAAAAATAAAACTTCACTAGTGCTGAGTATATATACTTGTTTGAGGAAAACCTTGATAGATTGACCTATCGACATTTATGACTGGAAAATCCCATTGCAGATGCGCACCTGTACACTAGACTTGAAGTTCCAAAGAGATGCCTTTAACAGATATTGTTCACTAATACTCAGATTTATCACGAACATTATGGAAGACATTTAATGGCTACAGTACTCTGAGAGACATGATCTGGGAATATATGTTTCAGGCTGCTGCAGTTCTTCTCAGGTCAAATCATATTTCTTGTGAAGATAGTGCAGTGTTAACTGATAGCGCATCAAACCTGAAGGGACAGTTCAATGGGTTTGTGTGCCGAGCTGGAAAAGAAAGTCAATTTTCATTTGCTTTTAGACCCACATTTTGAATCAGACAATATTAGATACAATGGCAGTCTCAGAAGAGATGGTCTCATGTTTGCCTTTTAAATGTTGGTGCTTCATTTTTAAGACCAAGATACAAGTATGTGAGAAAAAGCACCCAGAGAATACTGAATGGTAATTCTCTCATGATGAATAATATGTCTACCTTAATTGATACTTGAAGAAAAATTGGTAAGTCTCAGCTAAAGCATAGTAACTAAGGGTTGGTTTGTAAAATAAATAAAGAAAAAAGGAAAGGGCTACTATTGCTTTAATAAAGATTTCCTGCCAGTATGTCCTGCTGCAAATTGTAAATGGTGGAAGCACTTCACCTCTAAGCACTGTGAATGGAAATGGAGACCGTTAAGGCAAACTTTAAGATTAAATACTTTCGTTTGTGGTATTTAATTTTCTCTGTATGATGTTTTAAAACAATTAAACATGCATAAGTTATAGTAAATATAAGATCCTTCTTTATCTATGCCTCATTTTGAAGGAAGAAACCTTCCCTTGAGAAGGAAAAGAACGAAGAAAGACAGAGCCTAGGGTACTGTGTATCATGAAATGAAGGGTAGAACAGTTTCTCAGGAGACCAACTGTGGTTCCCTCATTCAAATGACACACGAGAAGACACTGTCATATGTTTAAGTTTGCTTTTATGTAAGGAACTATTTACTGCTATTCTGCTTAAAATGCTGACCCTTAAAATATTTTATAAAGATCTAACATCAATGCAACTTTACCCAGCCAATTATAAAGAAGTAGGCTGATTTTTCTGATATTTTGTACAGACATTTTTAAAAATTTTAATGTAAACTTTGATATTGTAATTATTAATAACACAAAAGGATTAGTTCTCATTTTAAGCAGGGAACTATTTGTGTCCTCTGTACTACGTAAACTCAACATAAGATGCAAGAGAAAACTAACATTATGCTAATAGATAAAACCACACATGATCTGTGGTGGAAGGACTGGAATTGCACTATCACTGAAGTGCAAATGTATATATATATTTAAAATTTTGAAAGCTTACACTCTTCTCAGATTTAGTTTAAAAAAGATTCTAGTTTCATTCTCTCCTTTATTGACTGCTGTTTCTGCTACATGACCAAAAGTAGTTTTCATTGTTCATGTTTGGTTTGTTTTGCTTGTAGGTAAAGCTTATTATAATTAAATACATAGAGCCAAGGAAGGGAAAAATTAACAGTTACATAAGAGAATAAGGAGAAAGTAAGAATGAAGGTCAATATATACTCCAAACATTGATGTTTCTGTCTCCTTCACATACAGATATTGGCCTCGTGTTGTAGCCTTAAACCATCTGATCCAGACAGGTCAAAGCAAGAACTTTTTAAAAAATCTCTCTTCTTTTCAGCAAGTTTTCCCGCTAAGGAAACACATTCTCATCCCTCAAATCACTTGATGTCATACAATAACTTTTAGCTCCTACCCCAAATTGGAAAACAATATTGTGAGGAATAAAATCATTGTAGATTTTGCAGGCAATCCTAAATAATCAGGTGAATTACTTTAGATATAATCATCTCTTAGCTTGGAAATTTGCAGATCGATTTCGTTTATCTATTTGCAGTGCAAACAACTTTAAAATATGCATATTATTTGACATTTTCATATCTTTTGAGTATGAGAGAAAGAAGGTAAAAGAAGAAAGTAGAGAATCTTCTGTCTATATTTAAGTGATATAATTTCAGTTATATTCATGGCATCTCTAGTATTTATCACATAGTTTTCCATGGAAAAATATCATTTTTAAGTCTGGTCTATTGTTTACTTCAAACTGTATAATGTATAGTAAACTATTTATGGATAAGATGAATTACACCGCAGCTTTAATTTTTCAGGTTTACAGCTGTCACTTTTGACACAGAAAATGAAGAGATTTAAAATCCATTTCAGGCATGTAACTATAATTTCATAAAATTTTATGCCCCACAATATATAACATGTGATAAAAGATGTGAAATGCAGAAAATATTCATCATTTACTGCTTCTTCATGACCACAACTTTGGGCCCTTTAAACAGGGATAAATATTGGAGGAACAGTATTCTTTTTCATTGTTGAAAAGCTTCCAAAATAGATTACAGTAAAATTTAAAATAAAACCAGAGAATATGTATTATTGAGACAAAGTCAGGACACCTGAGTTTTGTTCCCAGACTCTGAACCTGTTTGCTGCAATATGCTGGACAAATACTTTAATATCCCAAGGTTTAGCCCCCTCATCTTGATTGCTAAGAAGAAAACGATTATTAATAATGTCAAAGAAGATAATATCTATAAAATAATTCACAGGTCTATAGCAATTATTCAAATAGAAAATATTAATGTCATTATTAATAAACAAATAATCCCATTTCTTTTGATTTACATTTTTCTCTTCAAACATACCCAAGTCAGATAATGACGCTTCTATCTACTAATTTTACTCCATGTTATATTTTTCTGTGTTGCTACTGGAGCTTGAACTTGATGTCATCCTTTCTAATCCTGGCAGCCATCAATTCTCAGTTCCTAATGCTTTCTGGTAGAACTTTTTCCTCATATAAATGCGGTAACACATTTACATATGAAATCCATTTAATGTAATGTATTTTATCTGAAACCATCAGAAAACAAAACTTGTTTTATTTTTAACTGTTTTAAATTTTATAGGAACATAATATTTTGATTTGTGAAACATTAAAAGGCTCCTATAATGAGCCATCTAGCCCAAATAGCAGCAGGTAATTTTATTTGGTGTAATGGAAAGAACCCTGGGCAGAGGATTGGATAACCCAGTTTCTATTCTGATTTCTGTAATTAACTAGCTCTATGATATTGGGGAAATCACTTAGCCTTCCTGATTCTCAATTTCCTCATTTGTGAACTGAAGTAATTGAAACAATGTTCTCTAAGGAACTTCCTAGTTCCAGCGGCCTGATTTTATGCCGACAGAAGCCATGCATGAAGACCATTTGGTTTTCTTTTAAAATCTATACTTTCTTCTTACCAATTTATATTACACTAACATTATTTTTGCAATACCTGATCACAAGTATAATTTGGTTTAGGAGCTACCTATGGCTGGGAGGCAGCTGGCATGGCCAGGGCCGATCCCTTCAGACAAGGAATGTGCAAAGCTCTAGAATGGCCAGCTCAAGAATCGTAGTAGAAATAGTTCTAGTACGAGAAAGACATGGTCTACACTTCAAGCAGGCATTGGAAGAAAAAAAAAAAAAAAAAAAACACGTGTGTGTGAACTTATAAGTACCTGAGCCGACTGCTCAAATATCTTATTATTCTCCTTCTTACGAGAAGGTCAATAAATTTCAAGCTTCATTAGCACCAACGTGTACTCAGAACCAACAAATGTTATGCCGACTACTCAGGGAAGGATTCAAGACATAAAATGGGCGGCAATTTTTATATCTGTAAGCATAGCATGATCACGGAAGCAAAAGTACTCAACATTTTATAAGGCAGTAAATAAAGCCTGTTTTAAACTAAAAATACAGCAGTACTTGTGGGCTGTTTTTTATGCAATCAGCATCAAAACTTGGAATGAAACAAAAATTATGTTGAGCACAAAGTGTTTCCCTCAGAAAAGGATAGGAGAGAGGTTAGCTTGGAGTAGCCAAATAATGGTACCACAAAGTTTCAAGCAGAAGATTTAAATGTGTTCTGTGAATTACAGTGATACCTCCTGTGTGTGCCTATGATTATGAATTGGGAAAGGGGAGTGGGGAGAAACTGAACCCTGGCCCCGCATTTTTCCACAGACATTTAGCATAATGAGGTGGCTGCTAAGCTTTCATTTTCAAAAATCCCCTGTTTTAAAAAATGCTTAGGATGGCTGAGTTGGAGAATACTGGCATGGAGCACAGTAAAACTAATGAATCTATACATTTGTTTAAAATTTAATTAACTTCCATTATTTGAATGGCAGAAAAAGAGGCCTATACCCTGACGCATCAGTAGGAAGTACACACCACGTTTCATTTGCCTTTGCATATCAATTTACATGATGAAAGCTCTGTCCTCTATATTGAGCTCACTACACACTAGATCAACAGCCCAGAATTCCCTCCTTCATAAGTTTGGATTGGCTGACATTTTGTGTCTGGAATTGGTTCCTTCCGGTAGGTTCTTGGTCTCGCTGACTTCAAGCACTAAGCCGTGATGGCGGTGAGTGTTCCAGTTCTTAAACATGGTGTGTCCAGAGTTTGTTCCTTCCCATGTTCAGATGTGTCTGGAGTGTCTTCCTTCTGGTGGGTTCCTGGTCTCACTGACTTCAGGTGTGAAGTGGCAGACCCTCACCGTGAGTGTTACAGCTCATAAAGGTAGTGCAGACCCAAAGAGTGAGCAGCAGCAAGAGCAAAAGAACAAAGCTTCCACAGTGTAGAAGGGGACCCCACTCGGTTGCCGTTGCTGGCTCAGGTGGCCAGCTTTTATTCCCTTATTTGGCCCTGCCCACATCCTGCTGATTGGTCCATTTTACAGAGTGCTGATTGGTCCGCTTTTACAGAGTACTGATTGGTGTGTTTACAAATCTTCAGCTAGACACAGAGTGCTAATTGGTATGTTTACAATCGTTTAGCTGGACAGAGAAGTTCTCCAAGTCTCACCAGACCAGAAGCCCAGCCGGCTTCGCCTCTCAATTTCACTTTGACCTAGTAGAAGAAACAGAGTTGTTTCCAACTGTATAAATGATGAAGCAGTAGCAAAACCTGCTGTACTGACTTTGATGTGGAACAAGGTTTCTCTTCCCAGGTTACCTTTGGGGACGTAATGATGAACTTGTTCCAAATCTGTGAAACTTGAATACAATGAGTATTCAATAAATGCCAGTTGCATGGAAAAGAAAGTAGGAAATTGTGTTTTGGGGGTCACTTAGGCCGAATATTGTTTTTCTTTTTTGTTGTTGTTGTTCTTTAGAGTAACAAAAACAAATTCAGAGTAAGAGATTGATGAGTACATTATATGTGGAAAAGTCAAGAATACTTGTTGGAATTGACATCATGTGGTCAGAACTCCTTTCTTTCTCCTTTTCTTAATTTTCTTACCTCTGTCTCCCTTTGTGTGTAGTCTCTATTTTCTCCATTTTTAGAGGGAACTCTATTACATTGTCCAGTGCACAAGATGAGGTGGGGACCATCTGAGTAATGAAGCAACTACTCTTTTTTCTAAAAAGCTGCCCATGATTATTGGCCAGACCTAAGACTCTTGCTCAGCCTGTGGGTAAGGGACAAAATACAGTAATTACCAATATCACTGTATTCACAGAGAGGATAGGTATCAAAACACTGATAAAACGAAGGGGCAGAAGTGTCAACCAGAAATAGTGGAGAGAGGATACTGGCAGGGAAAAATAAATAAGCAAACAAATTAAAATGTATCAGAGAACTATAGCACATAACCGAGAAATAAAAATTCTCTTTACTCTTAAGGCATGATTTCTTTTTAAGTGAAGTAATGCAAATATTAGATTTCAGTATTTATCTGTACTAGTATTCTATTGCTGCATTTCAAATTTCCATAAACTTAGCAGCTGAAAATAACCCTTATTTATTAACTCACAGTTCTGCAGGCAAAAATTCAGCCCAGTGTGAATGAGTTCTTTGCTCAGGGTCTCACAAGATTGAAACCAAGGTGTCAGCAGGGCTGTGTTCATCTCTTGAGGCTCTTAGGGAAGAAGCAGCTTTGAAGATAATTCATATTGTTGATAGAAGACACTTCCTTGCTCTCTTAAGGTTGAGGTTTCCTTTGTTACTGCCAGCTGTGAGCTGGGGTGTAGGTAGTTCAACTCCTGCAGGTGGCTTCTCTGCATCCACAGCTTTAACACATGTATTTGCTTTCTTCCAAGCTGGCTGGAGCATGTGTTTTGGACTTCCTTTTCTTACACTTGGAAAAAACTTTCTGCTTTACAGGTCTCATGTGATAGGGTTAGGCCCACCCAAATAATCTTATTTGAAGATTAACTGTGTCATATGACATAGCATAAGCATAGTAATAAAATCCATTGTCCTGACAGTCCTGGAGATTATGCAGGATATGGACACTCAGGGGAGAGAAATCTAGGAGTCTGTTGTAGAATACTTCCTACTACTCTGTAGGTTACATTTCAGTCATAATTGAAAATTCAGGTTTGATTTTGATTTAGTTCAGTATTGATAAGCTAAAGTGATATGGTTTGGCTCTATGTCCACCCTCCACCCCCCGCCAATCTCATCTCGAATTGTAATATCCACATGTTGGAGGAGGGGCCTAGTGGGAGGTGATTAGATCATGAGGGCAGATGTCCCCCTCATCGTTCTGATAGTGAGTGAGTTCTCATAAGATCTGATGGTATTAAATTGTGGCACTTCACCCCTGGCTATCTCTCTCTCTCTCTCCTGCCGCCATGTAAGATGTGCCTCGCCTTCTGCCAAGGTTGTAAGTTTTCTGAGGCCTCCCCAGCTGTGCAGAATTGTGAATCAATTAAACTTCTTTTCTTTATAAATTACCCAGTCTCAGGTAATTCTTTACAGCAGAGTGAAAATGGACTAATACATCAAGTTTTATGATGTAAAATAATACACTGAAGTATGTTTGGACCCTGGTTAGTCTTGGAAATTCCATCTATAAGTTCTGTCTGTAACTTACCTTAATAAGAAACCAACGATACATGGAGAAGGAAAAATTGTAAAAACCAGTGGATGATCAGTAAGAAAACTAATTTTTTTTTTTTAATCTCGGAAATAATGCACCTCTATGGTCAATAACATTCATGTGTCAGTTTTAAGAAAATGTTCTACGAACACGTATGCACACACATAATTCCATGGACTCCAAGAATCATTAGGAGAACCTTAATAATAATAATAATAAATTAGTAGCTTCTGAAAAGCAACCAAACTTTAAAAGAAATATTCAACATTTAAGGCTTCAATCAATCTCTACTTAAGCACCTGCTTTCATAATCCTGAAACTCATTTAAAAAAAAAAAAAAAAAAAACTTTCTGACCTTTAAAAATGCAACAGCCTGAAATCAATTTATTTCAGTCAGGCATTCAATAGTATATACTTGCTAAAACAGTCAAAGTTCAAGTTATAGCATCTGTGACATCTATTTTTTTCGTTTTTGCATTTTTGCCTTCTTATTTTATTTTTTTCTTTTAAGTTAAAGTCAAAATGGAACTATTATCTCTTTGGCAGTTTCTTGGGAATCCTATTAACCTATTGGGAAATAAGTAAACTCTGAGAATGATTCCTTTCTTAATATGTTTATAATGAGAGCTTTAAAAAAATGATCTCTCACTAACCTGTATTTAGAAACAAGATGTAACTTACTGCATTTCTTACACAGGATAGTTAATATTTATCTTTGGGATTAAGATTACTCATTTTCACACTATGGGGCAGAAAATAAATATTATGTATAAATT
The DNA here is from genome assembly GCF_000001405.40 of Homo sapiens. NCBI lineage: Eukaryota > Metazoa > Chordata > Mammalia > Primates > Hominidae > Homo > Homo sapiens. The sequence goes on from NW_003315917.2 coordinate 534,008, forward strand.
ATTATGCAAGTAAGATAATATTTATGATACTATTACAAGATATAAGACCATGAAATATTAATTCTTAGCAGTAAATTTGACAAAAAAACTTGACTCATAATGCAAAGAAAACAAGCTAAGTTCTTGTATTTATTTTTTCTGCATTTGTGATATTACACATTCAAATCCATTTGAAGTAGTTACTATAGAATGAGGAAAGGAAATAGAAGACTTCGGTAAGGCGGCTTCATGCTTTAACACACTAAGCAATCCCCACAGTGATGGATGCTACAAAAAATAGGTCACCTTCAAACCACCCTTGAAAATAAGCAGACACTGTAATTTCAGATTGTGTTCTTATGAGCATTGTTAAGAGCATTGAGATATATATACATATATATAAATGTTATATATTTAACAAATTATATATATATTTGTTATATATATAACAAATATATATATAACCTATATATACATATATAACAAGTATATATATATATAAATAAATATATATATTTGGCCTTGTATTTATTTTGCAAAAATTGTGCTTGTCTGAGCACAAGAAAATACCATTTTTTCATTTTTTTCTCTCACATAAAACACATATAAACGTCTTCATACACATGCACAAATCTGTGTAGTTATTAGTTCATTGTGAGAAAGAATGTAGATATTTTAATGACCATTTCTGTTATTAAATGGAGTTACTCTATTACCTTTTTAATATGATGGATTTTATGTCTTTCAAAGCAAATTATGGCACAATGTGCACAACCATAGAAAAATATTTTATTCAAAAAACTGACTCCCTGGGAGCGATTACTAAATTGTGTTTTCTAGTACCTAGTACAATTACTAATGGGCAGTCGAAAGTATTTTTCAATGATACTATTGTTATTAATGCATTCAGGGTAATACAAATCTGGCTTTGCTCAAATTGATGTCACAAAACGAAAACTTGGGTAGTTTATATCTATTGCTAATTCAATTCTCTGAACATAGATTCAGCTTTTTTGGTTTTTTTCTCTCAAGATATTTCAAAAGTTTTTTTTCCTGTTAATGGCATTGTATTATCAAATTAAAAGTGAGATGATTCAGTTTAAATGCTAGTCCCAAAGACACGTGGGGTTAGACAACCTGGTTTAATCTCTGCTCTGAATATTTTTACTTGTGTGTCTTGAGCCAAGTTAGCCTGCCTGTCCCTCAATTTCTGTATCTACAACATGAGAATGCTAATAGAAGGATTGTAATCATAGTGTTTTTCTGAGTATTAAAGTGGGTTTAGACACATAAAGCCATTAGAAAGTTGCCTGGCAAAATATAGAAGCTTGATAGCTTTTTCTACCATCTTATTGAATCCAATCAGTTTTCTCATGCACATTTATATAAGTTAATATAAATAGAAAGGAATATTGCTATACTGGGCTTATTTGGATATGAAGGGAGAGAAATGAAGGAAAACAAACTGTGAAGCCAAATTCTCTACAGTATTCTCCAAATTTATGATATAAATATTATAGTCTACATTTTACATATGAAGACTCTGAGGTATGAAGAAATTCAGTAATTTACACAATAACACAAATGTAATAAGTGATCAGTTTCGGATTCTAACCCACAAATATCTGATGTTCAGGATCATGGATTTTAACTCTTTTTATGTTGTATACACCCTATATGCCAAACAAAAATTCAAACGACAACAACAACAAAATTTAAAGATGGGCTTGCTATATGTGCATGCATTCGTTCCTTTATAAATTCATTAGTTCATTAAACCATTGCTGAGCATGGACCATGTGATCTGTGTTTGATCTGGTGAAAACACAGAAATCACTAAATATGGTATGATTGTGTCTAATTTCATATCCCTGTGAAAAGAAAACTTCGACCTCTAAAGTTAGACCAACTCTGATAAAAATCCACAGCAAATGACAGAAAGAAGGATACAAATTAAATATGAGGTGGTGGAAAAGTGTACAACAGCCAGAGAAAGAATAAGATTACACAAAGGGATTTGATATAAGTGTATCATATTGCTCCATTCTCAAATATTGTGAATTGAACACATCTCTCAACTAATTTAACATCCATTTAAGGGTAAAAGAAAGCCACTGATAGAATTAGTATTATCTAAAACAAATTTCAGTGGAAAAAAAGGATTTTATATTATCTCCACTTTGTAGGGTCATTTCATTCTGGTGCAGGTTTTGCAAAAACAAACCATTGATTTGGAAATCATAAATATATTCTAAATTTTAATATAGTTACTTATGTTAAACATAATGTGTTAAAGTTTTAGCATATTCTTTTTGACTAATCATTAGTTACTTATGTTAAACATAATATGTTACATTTTTGACATATTCTTTTGACTAATTAATCATTTCCTTTTTAAACTCGGAGAGGCAATGGGGGGTACAGAGTGAGACAGGAAGGCAGCCTCTGTAACAACCTGAGGACTCATGGTTGGGGAAAGATGTCATCTACTTTTAGTCAAGAGATAAATGTTTTACCTGCTAATAGGGAAACCCACCCAAAAGCACAGAGAAAAGTCTGGTCAAAACATTGCATTGCATCTAATAAAAACTAATTAACTGGTTTAAAAGCAAAAGATCCCTTGGTACTGCAAAACTCAATCGCTTTCACAATAAATAGATAAACTGCTTTGTGGGAAGAATTTACTAATACATGGAAGAACTTCCATTAGAAACTACATGTTTATTTGATTTCTTAAAACGTATTTAGGCATAATGTGTGTTCTAATTATTTTCATTTCTTGAAGAATATGTATTCTTATACAATTCTTATTGTTGACAACTTTGTGGCTACACTTTTGTCTTTTCTTCTTTCCTTCCTTTCTCTCTATTATGCCTTCTTTTTCCCCTTTTTTCTTCGTCAAAATTCTTAAGCCTTCTAAAGTCAATCCTGTCACAATGAAAATACATTAAAATGGCTATAACGTCCGATCCATGAACTTCAGTGAACTCTAAAGACTCCTCAAATATACGCAGATGTATAGGATTCTTACGTTTCTCCTAATTTCTACTAGAGAACCTGTCTCTTATCTCTTCTTCCCCAGCTGTTCCTTCTATTCACCCCATATTAACCCAAGCATGAAGCACAGCCCTAATATTTGTTAAAAAATCCAAAAGCTTGTGAAGTTTTAATGAAACCCTAGAACTTGGAAAGTATTATATCAAACTACAGAAAGTTGAAAATTTAATGTTTGTCTCCCTCTTCTTAAGGGTCCTCTACTCAACCTTTAGACTGACAAACTCCTCACGGCTTGCCTCAATGTCTTAAATGCTTTTCCCACCGCTTTTTTTGTTCTACTTCCGATTTTCTGTTTTTAGCAAACCTTGATGTTTCTGGGAATGCCCATGGATAGCCTAGATTTCTTCTTATACCCTGAAAATTAGGAAATCAAGCAACTTTTCCTTATTTCTAATCTACTGTAGGCATTTTTTTTTTTTTTTTTTTTTGAGATGGAGTCTCGCTCTGTCGCCCAGGCTGGAGTACAGTGCAGTGATCTCGGCTCAATGCAAGCTCCACCTCCCAGGTTCACGCCATTCTCCTGCCTCAGCCTCCCAAGTAGCTGGGACTACAGGCGTCCGCCACCACACCTAATTTTTGTATTTTTAGTAGAGACGGGTTTTCACTATGTTGGCCGGGTTGGTCTCCAACTCCTGACCTCCAGTGATCCGCCCACCTCAGCCTCCCAAAGTGCTCAGATTACAGACATAAGCCGCAGCGCCAGGCAGGCATTTTTCTGATATTGCAGAGCTATTGTCATATCCTGTAACCAAAGTAACCTGTTGTAGTGTTATATGGGGGGAGGAGGGGAGTAGTTTTCACTACTACGTTTGGAAACATTCTAGTCTCTGTTATTTATTTACCTTTCCAGTTACTAATACAATAGGTGATACAGGTGAGGCAGATATCAATTTTGGATCTATTCCCCTGTATGGTGTATTTTTTTTCTAGCTGTCCTTAGATTATTATTTACATAAGTTTGTCGCAAAGGGCTTTGTGAAGGAGATTTTTTTTCCCTTTCTGATGATTACAAGATCAACTGGGAGAAAAGATGGTAAATAAAACCAATGCACTGAATATTGATCTCTGAAGTAACATGAAAAAGTGATACTGATTCACAAAGAGTTCAGAAACTGCAGATGCTTTTCCCTAGTATGTGTAAACATTTGAGATAAAGTGGCGCTCATCAATATACTTAGATGGCAAAAATGTTTGACTTATTAAAAGAGTCCCATTAAGAACAATCAAGGAGTTTAATCATAGCAACCAAATTTGCACTTCCCTCAGTATCAGTCAGAAATAAATACAGGAAATTTAAGACTCAACTTTTCTGTTCTGATCAAGAGATCCTATTTATGAAGGGAAGATTATGAAAAGTCTCAGTGATGGACAGAAAGCCAAATAGTTGCGATTGTTGATATCTTTGTCTTCTTCAGATGATGCCTTTAGATCCAGCATTATCCCTCTTGTTCTCTCTTGAGAAAGAAGCTGTTTCTGAGACATGCAGCTAACAGTAGAGACCGTGGAACAAAATGCTTGATTCGTAGGTCATTTTGTCTATACTGCAATTAAGAAATGTGAATATATCAAATATTTTTTAAAGTTTTACTCCCAATGTATTACATTTTACTAATAAATCATGTATACTTCGCATGTGTTAAAAATGTAGAATTTTTAGCTAGATTTAGCTTTTTTTGAAATCGTACTTATATTTATCTTATCGTAATTGATTTGATTTTATGTAGCCAGACATTTTATACCATTAAATAAAAGGGTATTTAAAATAAAAAAAATTAAAAAATAAAGGAGAAAATAAAACATAAATAGAAGTGACTATGATAATAAAGACTAACAGAAAGAAATTAGGTTAGATGGAGTTTTACATTCGAGTTCAGATTTGGGTTAAGCTGCTTTATTGGGATTATTAAGTGCATATGCAAATAAATTAGTGTAGGACATATAGTTTTTAAAATTTTATTTTGCACTTGGGACTATTTGAATTCAGTTAAAAAGATTTTATTACTAGATTTTTCATGATAGCATATCAGTGGTTAGTCAAAATTAAATAAAACCTATAAGGCATTTAACATAGTATATAATATTCGATAAGAGCTAATAATGGAAATAATGAAGAAATGCTAACAATAAATTAAGAAATGATATCTAACTATAGTAATGTATTGTTATTAACAACTGATTATTATTGGCATTTATTTTTAAATCTAGACTAAATCACATACATTTATGTAGTATTCTGAAAAATAACTACATTGTTTGAAATGATACATCAAATTTACTGTTATTCAAAATAGAGATTCCATTACTGAAAATTTGATATGAATGGTTTATTGTCTGGAAATTTTTTCCCTAAAACCGAGCTTGTGAAATATGTTTTACAATGTTGGAAAAGTAAGAAAGAAGTTATTTTAACCTTCTCTCATATTTTTCTTCCCAAATCCTGGGTCCAAGCCAGTGACCTCTCCAACTTTTATAGAAGTTCTTATTCACATATTGTGACACTTTGAAATGAGAGATTATAATTGGAGTGAGCTAAAGTTGTAAAATATGACAATCTGAGAAAATAGGATGGCTTTTATATGTAGCCATGAAGGCAATATTCGAGCAAAGTAAGAAAGATAAAAGACAGCATTGGGGGAATAGCATATTTTTTTTTCTATAACAGGATGTATAATATATCCTAGCACATAAGCTTTTTTGCTCTTGAGCATTGCAAATATTCTTTTTTCTTCTGTGAGCTTCTTTGGCATACACTGGGGATGCTTGGGGGCCTTTTTGAGATGGATTTCTGCTCTCTTCAATATAAGGTGAAATATTTCCAGATGATAAATAGCTCTGGGTCTGTTACTCAGGCAGGGGAGTTCTCAAAGCACATTGGGCTGTTAGAGGGAATTCCTAACCTTGTAAAGTGGTATCCCTCTTGCTCATATAGCAACAATTAAACTAGGGAGAACAAATGAGTCACCTCAGGAGAGTAGACTAGCATAGAATGTTAAATATTCTTGGGCATTCGGTGACTTTGAAAAGAGAACAATTTGCATAACATTACTCAGGCAGAGTTATAGATCATCTTTGGGTCTGATCTTCTTTCATCTATAAATACCTTAAGTATAATCTAATGGCTTTGTAGTTAATATAATGGCCACTATGATGTTCTTGAGCTCAGAATAAGTATTAGCATGAAACTAGGCAACTTCAAAAAAGGAAACACTAAGTGTTTTATAAGTTTACCAGGAAGAATCTAGCAAAAGTAGTTTGTGTTGTACATAATAAAATTATTTCAGACAAAGAAACTCACGCAAAATTTTCTTATACTCATATTGGCTGGTTTAAGTGAGTAAATCCTGTGTGTAAGTAAACAAATCAGTGACAATATTACTTTAAATCTCAATCACTAACTACTAAACCATTCTACATCACTTATAATCATAGATTTCAAGAATGGTAATGGGTCTTACCACTTATACGTGATTATTATAACAAAATGTACTGAGAGTATCCTGTACAAGAAACATATCCCTTACATCTGAATGTGTGTATAGATCTATCAGAAGATTCTGTAACTGCTTTTATAAAGATGTCCATATTAAGTAGGACAGACCTTTATGTGATTGCTTTTGTCCATATATGTTTTGAGACTGAAGAAGAGCGATAGTAAAACAGATAGAGCAATAAAGATTTAGACCACATGTCTGGAAGTTTCTCATTCCAGCAGAAAAATTCAAAATGGGGACCTAGTTCCATGACAAAAGATAATGACAAATAAATTGTTAATATTTAAATATGTGATCCGTCTATATTAAGGAAAGTAAAGACACTAATCCAAATGCAATGCTTGAAACTTATGGGGCTTCGTGTTCAGAAAACAAAGAAAGAAAATGCTACAAAGATATTTGGAGAGAGAAGTGGGGGTATTGAATATGACCCATTATTAAGTGATAACAGGCATTTTAATTAATTTTCTTAACTGAAACTGTGACAATGTGGTTATGCAGGAAAAGGTCTTATTTTCAGAAAACTGGTGCTGAAATATTGTGTAGTGAGTTGGTATGATGTTTGTAAATTATTTTCAAATCATCCATATATGAAAGTAAAGCAAATACAACAAAATGTTGAGAATGGTTTAATCTAGATTGTGAGAATATAGATTTTCATCATATAATTACTTCTATTTTTTCTGTTGATTTCAAGTTTTACTTAATATGATTTTGGTACAGGGAAATGGTGTACCTCCCAAACACCTTTAACTCCTCTTCAGAGAGCATCAGTAATTTATAGCAGAGGAACAAAAATAACAACCCGTAATTCTGATGGGAGGGAGTGGCGTAGAGGTCATCAGAGAAGATGGCCAATTTCTGTAACATTGCACATAGGTGAAGGATTGGTGACTGTTTAAACAAGCCCAAAGGAGCTATATGCGAGTGTTTACACTGAGAGGGCTCCAGCAATGAAGGCACAGCTCTGAAAGAGACCCAGATTTGGCAGTGATTCCAAAGAAAAGGCATAAAATTTGCCAGGAAAAACACAGAGATGAACTAATATTCTATATACAGAATTTCTCCTATATGCTTGAGAATGCATAAAATATAGGCATTAATGACCAGAATGTAAACAATAAAGAAATAATTTTTAAAAGACGTTATTCTGTAGGTAACCTGTAAAGAATTAGGACAGTGTTGGGACACCATTGTGCTTAGAACACCCCCAACCGAATATCTGAAAGTAGAAGAAATGATTGATTCTTTTATTCATTCTAGGCCAAAACTCTGATCAATAAATACAACTCAAAAACTCAAAACTTCAAATTAGGTTATTTATTCTTAAATATGAACAGGAAACTCAGAGTTATCTGGTATTCAAGGAAAGCCCGCCTTATGAATGGCAAAGACTCAAATTCAAAACACAAAAGTAATTCTGAAGGAAGAGATAATTTAAAGAAACCACACAAACACAGACTAATGAGAGTTTTCAAAAAGTTTCAAGAAATCCCACAGTTCACAAAATAAGAATATGATTATTTTTAAAATAACACTTAAAGAAATCCTGAAAATGAATATATCTGTGGTATATGTGTGTGGGTATGCACAATTTGTGTGTATTAAATTTGAAAATGAAGAGCATTACCAATAAATAAAGTAATATACATTTATTGCTTTCACACAATAGTCCAAAAGATATGACAATAAATAATATGAGTGAAATATATATGATACATTGAAGATGTGTAAGGTCTAACATTAAACAATTGAATTCTAGGTTAAGAACACGAAAAACCAAGGACAGGAAATAATCGTGGAAATAATCATTGATAAAAATTTCTGAGTGCTGAAGGAAAATAGTTTTCGAATTGAGAAAATTTTCTAAGTGTCCAACCTCAAATAGGAAACATAAACACACATAAACTCGCACCTGGAGGCAATGTTCAAAACACAAACCCAAATAAACACATACTCGGAGACAGTGTTCTAAATAATTAGACTACATTCATAAAAATAAGATTATAAACACTAGAGAAAGAGAAGATGAAAATAAAAAGGGAAAAAAGAGGCTCTTTACCAACAAAGAAAATATAATCAGACGGATACCAAGTCCACTCTTGGTTTCTAGAAGATAATGAATACAATTTCAGATGCAAATGTATAAATTCCTTAAAATGTATGAAAAGAAATGATTTCTAATCTGGAAATATATGCCCAGATGAAAATTAATTATATATGAGGGTAAAATAAAGGCATACCGTGATATGAAAAGACTCAAGTAAAATGTCTAACATACACTCATTATTAAGAAATCATATAAAATTAGTGCAAGCCAACAAAATAGTAAACCAAAGTAAATATAACATCCAAGAAAAAGTGTTTCCAAACCAGGAGATTAATAAAGTAAATTCCAGGTTGACAATTGTGCAGATGTTCTTGTTTGGATTAGCAAGAAAGAAACCTCCCAAAGAGAGGCATGTAGTGAAAAGATGTGATGTCTGACCTCAGAAGTGGGATGAATCTAAGGATATTAAAAAAATACATAAATAAAACCACTAACAGACAAAGATGTTACGGAAAAAAAATCTATATGCAAAATAAAACTGCAGCAATTACATAGGAAATACAAATTATTTGGTAATAAAACAAAAAGGCTTACATTGTTCTAATTAGTGTAAAAAGAGTATTAGTTGTTCTCTTTTTTTAATGTTTTAGCATCAACTGATAGACAAAACTTAGAAACTTATTTATCAGTAGGTGTTCTCAGAGAAAAAGAACAAATTGGATGTTGATATAGCTATAGATGTAGATGTAGATATAGTTATAGATATAGAGATATTTAGAGAGATCTCTCTATATATAGATGTATCCATATATAGAGGATATATATGGATCTCTATATATCTATATATGGATATAGACATATCTCTCTATATAGGTATAGATATCTATATAGATATATAGATATATCTCTCTATATAGGTATATATATATATCAATATATATCTCTATATATCGATATATAAAGATTTGTTATAAGGAATTGGCTCACACAATTATAAAGGCTGACTAGTCCAAAGGTATGCAGTTGGCAAACTGTAGACCCAGGATAGCTTCTAGTTCTAGTCTAAAGACGGGCAGGCTCAAGACCCAGGAAAAGCCAATGTTTTAATTGAAGTCAAAAGGCAGAAAAAAAATTCCAGTGTCTCAGCTTGAAGGCAGTCAGGCAGGAAGAGATCTCTGTCACTCACGGAGGGGTTTGCCCTTTTGATCTATTCATTCCCACAGCTATTGAATGAGGCCCATCCACATTAGGGAAGGCAATCTATTTTATTCAGTCTACTGATTTAAATACTAATCTCATTCAGAAACACCCACAGAGGCACACCCAGGATAATGCTTGACAAAATCTCTGGGCAACTTATGGCTCAGTCAAATTGACATATAAAATTAACTATCAGGCTTATTTTTAAAAAGAGGCCTGGCCACACAGGGTGTCTCACACCTGTAATCCCAGCACATTCAGAGGCATAGGCAGGTAGATTGCTTGAGCCCAGAAGTTTGAGACCAGCCTGGGTAATATGATGAAACCCCATCTCTACAAATAAAAAAATAGAAAAATTAGCTAAGCATGGTAGTCTGTGCCTGTAATCCCTGCTATTCAGGAGGATTACTTGAGCCCAGGAGGCAGAGGCTGCAGTGAGCTGAGATTGTGCCACTGCACTGTAGCTTGGGCCACAGAACAAGACCCTTTAAAAAAACAAAAAAAACCTAAGGCCTACTTCAGAATTTTTTAGGACAGATTCTGTATAATACAGATGATGGAAGCTGGTGGCGGACGGGGAGAAGAAATGGAAGGAGATGTAAGGGGAAGTGTAAAGGTGTTAATGCTATGATCCTATGAAATAGAGAAACCACAGATACATTCCAATGTCAAAAAAACAACTGTAAACATTGTATTGAAGGGTGTTAGGGTGATGGTTATTTGTATCTACAACCTACTTTTAAATGCATCAAAAATTAAGCTGGGTTAACAGATAGACAAATGGGTAGAAAATAATAAAACAATTATAAACAGTATGTAAAAAATATATAGACTAGGAGGTAAGTATACAGATGAATACTATATACTTTTATCATGAATTTGAAAATTTCATAATAAAATGTTGGAGGCAAGAAGAAAAAAAAGGATACATTCTATGAGTGAACTGAAATTTAGAAACTCAGATATCACTTAGTGTTTTATTGACAACACAGAGAATAAACGATGGTACAGTTTTACTTGGACAAGGCAAGGGGTATGCAGTTTGGAAGTCAACAAATATTATTCAAATTTATAATTAAAGAACTACTATAACATTTAATCATTTAGCCAATTTTATATATGTATTTTTATAAGAACTGAAACAGAAAGAATGAAAATAGAAACAATTAAAAATGTCCCCAGCTGGCTAGGAAAAGAAAGAGTATGGTTTGGGATTATAAACTCTTCGATTCCCTATGATATTTAGCAATTTAATTGTATTACTTTGATTAAAATGTTTTTGATCAGTTTAAACTGATGTAATGAATTCATATTTATTGATACAGAAAAATATGATATAATCCATCTAAAAAGCAAGTTACAAAACAGTGTACAGTGTACCATAGTACCTATGAACACAATTAGTGAAGTAATTTGCAGAGCTATAATACCAAATCAGAAATTATTTTGGTAATGAATTTATGATTTTCCTCGTTTTCTGATTTTTTCCATGATCTCATATACTTTATTCTCAGAAAACAAAAGACAAAACCCCACACATACACAAAAATAAACGAGTAACTTCTTTACAACCCCAGAGGCTAAGTCAGTGGGAAAAGAGGGAAATGAATGGTTATGAGCATAAACACAGGGACAAATAAAAGAAGTTTGGAGCACAGAGAACAATTCACAAATCAGAAGTCATTTTAAAGGACACAGAAATCATGGTTTTAAATATCATTCCATAAGCAAAGAGAATATTAAAATCATTTTTTGGAAAATTCCTTGAAAAATGTTTTGTAATAACTTTTTTATTTTTTACCCTTCTCATCACAACCATCCTCATTACCTCATAAGAGCCATATGTGGTAACTGTCCAGGGTTGTTCATCTCTGCCTCTCGCCAGGAAATACACTGAATTGCAAGAATTAGGTACTACAAAAAGATGCATATTTTATATTAAGCAGTTACATTTAGAAGTAAACTGGTAACTTGATGGCATTTCTATAGCATATATATATATATATATATATATATATATATATATATATATATGCCATACATATATGTATGTTTTTTTTTTTTTTTTTACTCATGTATAAAACACATATATCCACATATGGGTTAGTAGTAGTATTTGTTGAACACAATTTTTGGTTTTCACACAAATGCACCTTTTCAAAAATCAATTGTTCCTTCTCCCAACATACCCCAGGCTGGCAAATGACAAATGAAAATAAAATCCCTGCTGGAAATAGTGGTATAAAAAGCATTTTCCATTTTATGTGCACTTTTCAACCCAGAGAAAATAAGAAATTTGTTTTATTTTTGTGCAGTAGTTTCTAAAATATAATCGGAGAGATGCTAGTAAACATTTAACTTTAGATTAGCTTTCTCAAAACTTTTAAGCGCTGGAATGAAAGATTTGCTTACATTCTGAAGCTGGTGCAGGGTATCTTTTTTAAGCCTTCTTTGGCATCTCATTTTCACGCACCATCTGAGATGACTTGGAAAACACCAGAAAATAACAACACTACTTCCACAAAACAACTGCCTGGACAGTGCCTATTTCTACAGCCATCATTTATAGAACTCTTTTTCTGGGGAGAAGTTTTATTTTAAGTGTCAATACTAAAAGATGGTATATTTGGAGTTGGCTGCTTCAATCAGTAAATGTAGTCAGCACCGACTCAGAAACAGCTTATTTTTAATAATTGGAAGAAGAAATATTTCTAGCTGTTAGTTTTAAATGGCTACAAAGGAAAGAAATTATTTTTTTGGAATTATTAGCTTGCCGTATGTGTAGATTAAAAAGGCTGTGTAAAAATGGCATCTTGTGATTTTTTTTTACAGTGAACATGACCCAAAACTATGGAAAAGACTATGAGTTCTTTTTATCTTTAGCCCTCCTTCCTTCTTTGTGCAAATGAGACTAAGAACTTCCTTCACATTGTAAGCAAAGCCTGAATCCCATTGCTGACGTATTTGAGAAAGCAGTTTCATCGATAGAGATCAATTTCTGGAATCACTAAAAATTCAACATTTTCTAAGATTCATAAAAATTATTATAGCTTTAGTCTTGACAGTTGCCTTTTTATTTTAAGGAAATTAACCCCAGAAAACACATAAACACGTGCATATACATACATACACACACGCACATTCACCACACAGTTTATGAAGGAATACAGAGTGCCCACTGGATCATTCAACTTCACTGAATGAATATGCAGAAATTTTAAAAAAGTAATTTTGAAAAATTTCAAATGATACTGAAAAATTTGGTATTTTGTTTTAAAAATCTTGACTCATTTATTTATAAAGTGTGTATATAGATAGATACAAGCAGAGAAATATATATCAATATAAATGTGCAGTAAATATGTATTTATATATATTTACCCTTTCAGTTATATATTTACATAACCGAAACATATAAAATTAACAAAGAAGGCAGGGCGCAGTGGCTCATGCCGATAATCCCAGCCCTTTGGGAGGCTGAGGCGGGCGGATTATTTGAGGTAAGGGGTTTGAGACCAGCCTGACCAACATGGTGAAACCCTGTCTCTATCAAAACTACAAAAATTAGCCTGGCATGGTGGCATGCGCCTTGTAGTTCCAGCTGCTCTGGAGGCTGAGGCAGGAGAATTGCTTGAACCCGAGAGGTGGAGGTTGCAGTGAGCCGAGATCACGCCACTGCACTCCAGCCTAGGCAACGAGAGCGATACTCCGACTCAAAAAAAGAGAAGTTATCTCTAGGTAAGATCATGATGGAAATTTTCATCTTACTTTATACCTTTCACTGTTGAAATTATTTTACAGTTGAAGTAAAGGAAATTTTACAATATCCAACAAGAGCCGATGTCATTTATTTAATATCAAAATTAATATTGGAAAAATGTCTATACTTTAGGCTACCACCCATCTGCCTGAATTAATCAGCATTAATACTTAATTTTAAATATTACCTGTCAACGCAGGTCACTGAATGTGATCTCCTTTAAGGTATTATCATGTAATAAACTGCTACAAAAAGTCTAATTCTCTCAAGAGTTTTATAGTCATCCACTTCATTTTCAGGTCAACATTTTAACATATTTTCCCATATTTTTTTCTGAAGCTTTAATCTCTGCAAAGCCCATCTTTAAATTTGAAGGAAAAGGTAGAAGAGTGAGGAGCAGCAGTAATTAACTTGAATTTGGAACTTGGATATAACTAAAGACACATTTTGCTTCTTCATTTTTATGTCAGTTTGCAAAGGAAACAGTTATGATTTTAGCTAAATACAGAAATTTTTTTCTTTTTTCTTTTTAAAATTCTACTTGTATCACATTTCAAAACCTACTCTGAATTTTCACTCAGTTCCCACAATATTACCATAATTCTTTGAGCTGTTGGCAAAATGGATCCATTTTATAAAGTCATGCCTTTTGCATTGAGCTTTTGCCTGTCTCATATATTTAGATAAATTTGAAAGCAAAAGGAATATCCACTGTGTTGAATATCTTTAATAGCATGGTTGAAATTTATAATTTGAAATTCATAAGTTCAAAGAACATTTATCTACTGCTTGATTTTATGCTTGAAACTTCCTATGCTTCACAGCAGTTTTTTTTTAATAGGTGGACAAAAATCCTTCCTCCTATCATTCATAACAATTTTCTTTATACTTAAGTAAAATATACAGAAACTTTTAAAGGAACGTCAAAATCTTGTTCCCTCTTATTGTTGCCACATTATTTTTATTATATTACCCAACCAGGTTTTTATGGTTATGCTTATACTCTCATACAAAACAGTTTTAGAACAAATATTGAAGGAAATGCAGGGTCACAAAATGAATAAGTTTACCTTAATAACATTAATATGAACAATGATATTATTTTATTGAACTTAAAGCACGCTCTTGAGCTTAAGAGCAAAGATGTAGCCACAGTTGAACTTGTATTTATTTGGGCTATAATTACTCATACTAATACACAGGAAGCTTATTTGCAACAGGATATTTATATAATTTAAAATATTTTCAGAGTTTTTGTGTGTGTTGAAATGTTAGGAAAACAGAACTCATTCTTAAGCAATGATTTGCAAAGAGCAGTGCTCATATGCAGATTTTTAAGGCGTAGCCCAAATGGTTAGAAATGCTGCAAAAGTTTAATTTTCTTTTGGGTGATCTGTTGTCTGGAAAAAGCTGTTACATGTAAAAATTTGGATGCTGAAATCAAATGGCTATACCCAAATGAGCAAGAATAGTTTAAAACATTTAAATCAGCATCTGCATAAAAATTAATATAAATATTATTTATGACTGTTATGTATATATAATTATATTATGCATAAGAATATATTTATACAAATATATACTACTAGAAAATTGTATATGATGTACTATTTTATTTTATGTAATATTTTATGTATATATTTATTTACACATAATTTATATACTTTTAAGACTGTGTCCATTTTTCATTTATTCTTGGTCTCCGGTTTGAACAACGCTGCTTTATGGCATTACACTGATAATTCTCTCTACTCTTTAGTTCTCTTCCTTATCGCTTATTCATGTGTATCTTATTCCATGCTATAATGTAATGTACCATACATGTGTTGAATTTTAAAACAAAATTAGCAGAATTTCAATGCTTTCCTATATTACTCAACATAAATATTCTCTATATAGAATGAATTGGAACAAGCTATTTGTGAATCTGAAAGGATAATCAGTGATTCTACCAATCATAGTGGTAAACTCATTCAAACTCAGCCTGTTAAAATGAGACGCTCTGCCCTATATCACTGAAAACCTCTTGATTTGCCAGATTTTTCCCTTCTTTACAAATGAAAATGCTTAGTGTTTTCTGAGTTCCTTTGCACTATCTCCCACTGGATTCAGGTCATTGATTTCATCTTCAGAACACTTGGAAAGTTTATTTTGTGGTGTTTATGAGCTAATTTATTTTTATTGCAATGTTTATTTAAAATGAAACAATAAGTACACTGAAGTTTTGTGCATTTCATTTTATGAAAATGTTATCCCAAAGGGATACAGAAGAACTAAATACAAATTTTCAAAATTTATTGTTTTTTTTTTTTGCCTGCTGCTATATCTGAGGTTGTACTTTTGTTCTGATCTTTGTAACACCTCAAAAAAAAAAATGGGTTAAGAGAAGGATGAACAGAAGAATGGATATGAGACCTATCTGATAAGGCAAGCAGATTAATAGACGAATGGAGGAATGTTTGGATGTATATGTATATGTGTTCATTGCAGTTTTCAACTTTTTGTGTTGAAATTTTTATAAAAAGAAGTTGGAGAAATAAAAAACAAGAAAACAGAACCATAAGATTTTTATTTAACATTTTTGATTAAAGGAATTGTATTGCAAATTATGACTTTTTAATTTGGCAACATCCTTTTAATGGTGTTCTTTCTTTGTCCTTCTCTTTCTCTTCCTCTCTCTCTCCCTCTCTTCCCTAAAGCTCCATTCCGACTTAGACAAGGGAAAGGGCACTGCGAAATACACCCTCTCAGGAGATGGCGCTGGCACCGTTTTTACCATTGATGAAACCACAGGGGACATTCATGCAATAAGGAGCCTAGATAGAGAAGAAAAACCTTTCTACACTCTTCGTGCTCAGGCTGTGGACATAGAAACCAGAAAGCCCCTGGAGCCTGAATCAGAATTCATCATCAAAGTGCAGGATATTAATGATAATGAGCCAAAGTTTTGGGATGGACCTTATGTTGCTACTGTCCCAGAAATGTCTCCTGTGGGTGAGTAGGCAAATCAAAATTCTGTGAGATACAATGAGACCTCTTCAACATTGACTTTTTGCAGGTTGATGTAAACATCTTATCTATCATCTAAAAGAATTATTTTTCAATTCTAGAAAATACAGTTCTTTTCATTTATTTTTGTAACTTTTTTGTTTTTCTTTCTGCTTCATTATGAAGATAACTACAGGAATATATAACATTAGTTCCTGTTTTCCACCCTGTGAATTTACCTGAATTCATAGAATCCTTGCGTGCTTTAAGCAAAAAATGTATTTTGTATTGAAATTGATTCTTATCTCAATTCCAGACACCTATACAGTGCTGGAGACACCTACCCTACACCACGAAATGCCAGACAGTAATTCCTAGATCAAAGTAAATGATCTAAAGCATGCATCACATCTGATCTGGAAGTGGTCCAGAAACAGGTGTGTTGCATCTTCTGTAGCTGTAAATAGAGATTCTGGAAGGGTGATACTGTTTCCTTTTCAGGGTAAATAACCCATACTTGTTATGCCATCAAGCCAAGCAGCAAATGAATAATGTCATGAAAACATTATTAGAACAAATTAACAAATTACAATTACAATTATCAAATTAACAATTAGAATATAGTAGCACCATCATTCTAAAAATTTAAATTTGATATAAATATACATTTCCATATCAGCCTAAATTTACAAAGTCCTATAATATGTAGGATATAAGGTCAATAAGTTAAGAATTCCAGCTTTAAGGACAATTTTAAATTATAATTTTTATTCCTCAGTCACCACTGCTAATCCTTCAATTTATTTCAAAGTAACTTCTGGTTTTTATTACATTTGGAAGATAAAGCAACTTATCACATGTAGGTTACAACTTAAAATTCGTGTATGAGCCATTGCTTATATTTTCTAAATCTGACATGACCCAGGGGGTTTCTACTGCTCCTACCACCACCCAGGACATGCGATGAAGATTGTGCACGTTACCGTGAGGGCAGAAGCAGGTTAGTAGCTATAGGAGCTGTCACATGGATTTACTATAATGCACTTGAAATTGTGTATGTGACCTTATCAGGCATTTAAGGACCATAATCTCTCCTTGACCTAAGAAATCAGCTTGAAGTAATTCACTTAGATTTCAAATTTTAATGTGGATACCCAAGGCTGCAAATCTGTTATTCAGTACCTGCTACACTTTTGGGGTTGCCTCTTTTATGCACTGTTAGAATTGCTAGAAATTTAGAAGTCCAATTGGAAAGAAGCATATCTTGTTAGAAAGTATTCCCAGAAAATGAGGAAGGCTACATTTTAACTGTGTCTTGATTTTACAGGGAGAAAAATAAAGTTAATATTTTGAGGAAAAAATAAGGCTTTTAAGATGACATGCTATATAGTAGACAAATAGTTTAACTCGGTGCCTACTTCATGTACACTGGATGTGTTAACATGAATTTATGACCCTCAGTGACTTTTTATTACCAAAACAGCTTCCTTAAAGCAAACACACACACATGCCTCTACAGTATTGGAAAATTCCGTCTCCTTAGATAAAACAATTAGGATTTTTCTTGGGCCAACTAGAATAATTAGGGCTGCAGAGTTGGAGCCTTTATATAAGGAGTTTGCAGCTCATATCCGAAGAGAGAAATGTATTTCGAAAGTCAAAAGTGTAGTTAAGTGAGAAAGCAGAGTAGTTTCAGCTTTTGCATTTGGAGTGGGTATAATTTACTGTGTTGTCATAAGATACTGGAAAGATCTTTGGAAGAATAGGTTCTTAAAGTGTTTTCTCATGTGCCCTTACTGACATTTCCCATTGGGCCTTCAAGACAACTCCAGTAAATACTTAAATTGATTTTCAGTGCACTGCTTTCTTTCATTTTTATTTATTTATTTTGAGACTGGGTCTTGGTCTGTTGCCCTGGCTGGAGTGCAATGGCCCAATCTTAGCTCACTGAAGCCTTAAATTCCTGGGCTGAAGAGATCCCTCCACCTGAGCCTCCTTAATAGCCAGTCATGTGCCACCCTGCCTAGCTATTTTTTTTTTTTTTTTTTTTTTTTTTTTACTTTTTGTAGAGAAGGGATCTAGCTATGTTGCCCAGGCTGTTCTCAAGTAGTCCTGGCCTCAAATGATCCCTCCACCTTGGCTTCCCAGAGCACTGGGATTACAGTCATGAGCCACCCTCCTGGCTCCTTTTTTTTTTTATTTTTAATAACAGAAGGGTATTTCTTTTGAATGTGAAATTTTACCACATGGTATGAATTAGTCCAAGTGTTTTTATACTAAATTTACATAATATACACTTTTCAAGTAAGTACAAAGAGGTATAAACACTGCTTATGAATTGAATGTTAAAAAATAAATCTCTATGCATTACTTTTGTCTTTCCCCATAATCTCACGTATACACATAAAACAAAAAACAAGGAGACCCAGTTATAGTTGTGGTATCTGCTGTTTCTGCCTTGAAATTTCCAGCTTACAGCTAAGCAACAACTACTGTGCATCCAGAACTTACATCTATGTTCCTAGAGTACTTGAACCCCATTCTCAAGTGCACCCTTCTTACCAGGTGGAAATAGTTCACTGCTGTAATAATCTAAGAAAACATTATGTTTCTCTCTACTTTTTTTTCTCTCATATAATCTAGGCAATTCTCCCTCTGTATCATTTTCCTGAGAAAACTAAAATAATTTTTAATCAAGACCAGATGGAACTTTGTATGGTATATTGACAGTATACCAATTGTTGTGACGAATCTTACTGCCTGTTGTAGATATCAGTGTTTGAAGTATTCCCTATGAAATAACTTTTCTGTCCCAATAATTGAGAGTGCTGTTTCATTTCCAAAAAAAGGGAAGAATTAATCAATTAAACATACATATAGTGAAATAACCTGTTTTGTAACATAAAACATAAGATGAAGAAATATCGGAACATTGATATGAAGTTTAACAGTAATGGATTATATATCCAGAAATATGAACAAATAAACCTGCAATGAAAATTTACTAATGTTACTAATTTTCACTTGTGTAACATGAACATTACAAAGAACATAGTGTACAAAGGGAGAATGTTGGTGGGTAGGATGAGTCAAGATTTCAGAGGAAAATCAATATTTAAGACTTACAGCACTGTGGAATATATTTAATTTTCCTAAAGTTGAAGAAAATTTCAGTGAATCTATGAATTGTTTAAGAGAAAGGTCACTCCGTTACTGACTTCTGCTACATCTAATATTCCAGGGAAGTAATATTTAGAGATAAAAAGCTTTTACTCTGACCTCCGGAAATTACTTAATGATCCAGATACTCCCAAAGTCAAAGCAAATCCTTGGAGACAAGTTTGGACTTTATGAATGTGGACTTAATTCTTTAAGATCACTAGAGCAACAATAAATTACAGGAATGTACCCTCTTTATATCTGATGATTATGCATAAGTGGGGTGTGCAGTTTTAAGTTACTTTTCCTACAGTGCTGACAGGTTTAGAGTGTTAAATCCATACTCAACTTGTATTATCTTCCTCTGCTTGAGCTATGCCACCTTGAGTCAGCTGATTTGACTATTTATAATTAGATACCTAACCTATGATATGATATAGTAGATGTCAATAGTGACTCATGATTTATGTAGTAAGTCTTACCATTTTCTAAGCAGTAGTCAGGTGCCATGTGATCTAACTAAAGATTTGTATTTCTTATTTTACTTAACAATTACAGTAACCCCAATGCAGTATTATTCACTGTTGGATTTTTTTTAATGTGAAAACTTAATAACCCCTGTGGATAAGAAAGTAAGAATGATTCTTAGGTGCTTTAGGACCAAATTAATCAGAATTTAATATACCACTTTGTCTAGGTGTCATGGCGGCTAAAATATCTTTGAGAAAGTTAAACTTAGCTTTCAATCTCAGATGATCTACTTAAGAATTTGGAAAGTTTATATTATATTATTTGAGAATGGGGATTCTTGCTTAAACGAAACCTGAAGGACGGGCATCTTTCATTCAATATCTTAAAAAGAAAGTTTAGCTGACATTTAAATAAGAAAAGATACACCTAAAATAAAGTAGAACACTGGTTTAATAAAAATAGTGAACAGGTACTCCCTTGCCTTTCTATTTTTCTCTCAACTCTATTTTATTTTACCTGAAGTTTGGGGAGAAATGCTAAGATGAAATTTTTGGTGGAGTCTTTCAGAGGTTATTTAACCAGAGACTATTTTCTTTTTTCTTTTTTTTTTGAGATGGAGTCTTGCTCTATTGCCCAGGCTGGAGTGTAGTGGTGCGGTCTTGGCTCACTGCAACCTCTGCCTTCCAGGTTCAAGTGATTCTCCTGCCTCAGCTTCTCGAGTAACTGGGATTACCGGTGTGCACCACCGCACTCAGCTAATTTTTGTATTTTTAGAAGAGATGGGGTTTTGCCACATTGGCCAGGCTGGTCTCGAACTCCTGACCTCAAGTGATTTGCCTGCCTCGGCCTCCCAAAGTGTTGGTGTTAAGGACATGAGCCACAGTGTCCAGCCAACCAGAGACTACTTGTTTCGTGGCCATATTTAAACGGTCTAAGAAGGAAAAGTGAAGACTGTGTCTGTACTTTACATTAATGAACTATTACAATTTAGAAACATATATAAGTCTCCACACTTCCTTATTTTCACAAAAATGCCATAGAGAGACAAATTGAAACATAAAAAACTAGATATATTCTCTCATCCCATGAGCCAGCCATGGAAACAGAGAGCAGCTCAATTAGTAGCAGAGGAACAGGTGAATTATCATCCACTTCTATCTATGCCCTAAAAGCAGAGTTTTTTCAGAAGCTTGAAGACAGAATGTTGACTATTTATTTTCCACACATAAAGACATTCTCCTTGTGCAATCAAACTACAATGTTTAAAATCAGGAAATTTGCATTAATGTATTATTATAATCTAATCCTTCAGCCCTATTCAAGCATTAGCACTTGTCTCAATAGTGTCTTATATAACAAAAAGTTCAAGTTCAAAATCAAACATTGTATTAAAATGTTAGGTCTGTTTAGTTTCCTTTAATCTGAAACAGGTTCATATTTTTTCTTGGTTTCCGTGACTTTAATATTTTTGAAGATTTCTGCCTAGTTATTTTTTAGAATGGCTCTCCCATCTTGAGTATGTGTGATGTTTCCTCATGTATGAATGAAGCATATACATCTTTGTCAGAAATATCCCAGAAGCAATTCTGTACTCTCCTCATTATGTTCTATTGGGTGGGCCATGGTTTTTGATTTGTCTCATTACTGATGATGGTTACTTTTATTATTTGATAAAGGTTGTATATAACTTATCTATTATGGCATAATACATTAGCTAAAACCTTAGCGGTGTAAAACAGCAGATACTTACGTTTCTCATAGGAATGGCTCTATTGAGTACCTCTGTCTCAAGGCTTCTCAAGAGTTTGTAGCTACCTTGTTGGCTGGGGTTGCAGTCTGATCTAAAGGCTTAGTTAGGGGGTGGTAGAAATCTTCCATATGTTCTTTGCTACGTGGACCTCACAGGCCTACATCATAACGTGGCAGCTGGCTTTCCTCAGAATGAACTACCCAAAAGAGAGCTAGACAGAGAGAAAACCCTCTGATTGAAGCCATAGTCTATTTATAACCTAATCTTGAAAGTGACATCACATCCCATCTGCCATATTATACAAGTAAGTGCAACGCGAATACAAGAAAGCCGGGATCATTGAGGGCTCTCCTACAGTCTACCTACCACTCTCTATACTCTGGCTCTCAATGATTCATGTTGCTCTCTCATGCAATATATCCTCATCCCCTTCTGAGGACCCCAAAATTTTCAACCCACTATAGCATCAGCTCAAAGTCCAGAAGCTTTTCATCTAAATCAAGTCCAGATGGGGAAGTGATTTTGGGTTTAATTCTTTTTTTTTTTCTTTTAGATTTTTTTACTTTTAGTTTTGGAGTACCTGTGCAGGATGTGCAGGTTTGTTACATTGATAAACATGTGCCAGGGTGGTTTGCTGCACCTATCAACCCATCACATAGGTATTAAGCCCAGCATGCATTAGTTATTTTTTCTAATGCTCCCCATCCCTCCCCTCCACCCCCCATCAAGCCCCAGTGTGTATTGTTCTCCACCCTGTGTCCATGTGTTCTTACCGTTCAGCTCCCACTTCTAAGAGACAACATGTGGTGTTTGGTTTTCTGTTCCTGCGTTACTTTGCTAAGGATAATGGCTTCCAGCTTCATCCATGTCCCTGCAGAGGACATGATCTCATTTCCTTTTTGTGGCGGCATAGTATTTCATGGTGTATATGTACCACATTTTCTTCATCCAGCTTTGTGATACTAAAGAGGCCAGTTACTTACTACACATTCACCAAAAATACAGTGGCAAAACAGGAATAATGTCTCTAGACATTCCTGTTGAAAAAAATGGGAAAATGCACAGACTAAAAGAATGATTGGTCCACCACATTTTAAAATCCCAGTGGTAAATGTTGCAAGTCATTTGATTATATTCAACGCCTGTGAATAATTATTCATGCCTCTCATCTCTGACCTCTAGGCTCTTCGTTCTGCCTTTTGAGTTATTCTTTTTTTTTTTTCCATGAAATACAGCTGGTACTTGCAATAGTACTTGGGTGTTGAACTTGTTAAGAGTGCATATCCTTTTTTTCAGATCCATCTATCATTTCCTAGTTGTATGTGGTTGTGTGGGTTATTTCTCCTCTTTTACATTGATTTTCTCACCTGCAAGTGAATAATAGTAACACTTTATGAGCAGGGTTATTGCAAGTAGCAAGGAGAAAATATATATTTACCATTTGCCACAATCCCTGGGGAAGTGCAGTCAATACATTGGAAAGGGTCCTCATAAGAGTTTGATGATCATTCTCAGAAAGCTAGCCAGAGAAAGTCTAAATGGTAAAGGTTCCAGCTCATTATCTTCTTCCCTTTTCTCAAGTTTTCTCTCCATCTGACATGTGAGCTCAGTATTTACCATTGCCCTTTCTACAAATTTAACCAAGTTTATTTAAAAACATAATGACCTTCTATCCCAATTTACATTTTCTTTGGTGTAGAGGACGCCTTTACCTTGATGTGTGGAGACAAGCCGTTGATTTGTAAGAAACACCAATTATCAGCTTCCACTTGTGCTTCACAATCTGCTGAGTCGCTTTAACACTTTTGATGAAATTGAGCAAGGCCTTGTGATCTCTCCTGTGCCAGCCGTGAAGTGTCCACTGCACGCAGCTTGGCAGAACTATTTTCAGGGCCATAGGATGTTATGGCTGTGTGGGCAGGGAGCATTTTATTCGTCTGTTTGATTCCTATGTTTTTATTAGTGGTGCAATTGCAAAGGTAATGCTATTGACACTTTTTGTGTAGCCTTGAGAGAAGAGTATGAATTGTTTTAGTAGCAGCACAGCGTGTCCCTAAATATAAATCATGCTGTACTGATAGTTACTTTAGCAGCCACTGATCAGCAATAAATGTTAAAAATTAACAAGAAGTTTCTTTTTTTTCGAAACCACCAAATGACTCTAAGCATTAAATATATTTTAGCCGGAGTTGCTTCTCGGCCACAGAGTGGTTCACAACATTAAACATATTTTCAAAGTATTACTCCTTCCCCAGCCTCCAAGTGGTTGTAAACATTAAATATGTCTTATAAAAACTGCTTTGCCAGCTACTGGCAAGACAGCTATGAACATCATTTTTCTTTAAAGTTGCCTTCCAGCTGCGGGACTATTTTTCCTTATTTGCTCTATTCTATTTATATTTTGTACACAAAAGCAGGCAAGAGGCTACATTGGCCCAATTGTCTCTGGCTTTATGATAAGTGATCGTGGGAGAGCAGTTGCACCTCCGTAAAACCCTGCTGGCCACAGGAGCTTGCTGAAGTTCAATCACTGATACTGAATATTTCATATAGATGTCAGCTGTGTCTTCCAAAATAATTTTTGTTTTTCATTGTGCAATGTGTTGAGGCATAAAGATGGGCATGCATTAACATCAGCATTAAGAAAAATAACTTGAAGCAACCAGACACTGATGAATTATACCCACTGATTCAGGTGAAAATATTCCGTGAAGAGAACAGACTCAAATGGCAGGACTAGTATGTTAATGAGGTCTTTAACCCAAACATGATGAAAGACTTGGAGCCTCTGTCTGGAAATCATCCAGTGTGACAACTGCATGTGATTCAAAAAGAGTGAAGAGTATGCTATTACATAAAGGTCTATCCAGGACTTAGAGCAGGAAATCTTTTCATTTTAACCAAATTCACAGTGAAAATAACGTGTGTCCCCTGAGTGAATTGAAAAATAAATTAGCTCTATCATCTCAGGCACAGTAATTCATCATCAGGCCAAATAATTAATTACTCAGGAAGGCTTTGATTTCTATGGGAGCCAAGTGTTCTCCAAATTGTGTAGTACTGTATCTTGCCAAATGTTTTATTTTAGGTGTATGTTCAACAGGTTCAAATATTCATCAATACCTACGTGACAGGCACTATTTTAGGTACTGGAGCTAGAACTTGAGCAAAAAAGACAAAAAGTCCTCCTCTCAGGAAGCTTTTACTCCAAAGGCCTCCTGCAGGGGCAGCAAGCTAAACTCTGTGAGCTAAATTCAACATATCATCTGTTTTTATTGGAACAGTTACACTTATTCATTTCTGTGTTGTCTATGGCTGCTTTCACACCACAATGGAAGAGCTGGCAACAGAGACCATATGGCCTGCAAAGACTAAAATATTTACTATCTGCTCCTTCACAGAAAAGTATGTTGACCCATTACATAGTGGATTGAGTTTGAGAGAGGAGATTAAGGTAAGGCCAACATTTTAAATCGACCTATGAGGAAAAAGTGTTTTTTTTCTCCCTAAAAATTACCTCCTCCAGAAGAAAACAAAACACAAAAAAACATAAAAATAAAAAGAAAGAAAATGGCAAGACCCAAGGTAAAATGAAGGGTAAAAGTGAGCACCACACTAATACATATGTATCAGTGTGAAATCAGATGCTGCCATTTAGTTCCTGCTGAAAGTGTTGGTTTGGCTTTATTAAAATAACTTAAACACAGTCTTTCAATGTTATAGACTCATGGTAAAGGTTTCTTTTTCCTTTTGTGAATTTTTAAAAATTTCTCTGCAAAAATTATTCCTCACACAATTATGTAACTTTATATTTTCGATTAAAACTAAAACTAAAAATGTTGAAAGAACAACTCGATATTGGATTAAAATATTCATTTTCCATCTTCATTCTCAGGATTCATATTTGGTTGCCTCATTGCGATATAAGTATGTTGAAAAAAATGGAAAATTGCTGAAAGCAAAAATTTTAAAACTCACCAGTATTAATAATTATCACCAAATAACTATTACAGAAAACTTCCTCAGAAAGTAAAATTAGAGTGAAGGTATCACAGGTTGGCACTATTTTCATTCCCGACCAAGAAACTGACACCTGAAAATTAAAAAAAAAAAAAATCAGAGTCTACAGTTTTACAAATAATTAACAAAATGAACATCAAAATAGGGTGCAATTTGTTTAATTGGCAAAGGCACACAACGAAAAAGAAATATGTCAATTAAACTGTCAACCATGTTAATTTTGCCTCTGAGAAAAACATTGTAATGGGATAATTTCACGAAATGCTTTGATGACAAGAAAATGCCAAAATATGATTAGCTACTTCAAAATTCAGCTGAAACAAGAAAGCAATTGGTGGCAGCCAGAATAACCAAAGGTCTTTTTTTTAATATACCTTTTTCTTTCCGTCTCTTTTTGCCTGTGTTTAATCAACAGCGTACATTTTGTTTGACAGTGAAATGATTCATAATGAAAACACTGGCATCACAAAAACTTAGCAGAAACTTTGCTATAAGATTAGAGTATACACTTCTATTTTCCCCAAACTCTTTAAAAATATAATTACTATTTCTGAAAGAATTTGTTATCTTTATGAAATAATGTATTTTTCTTACTAGCATTAAGTGCTTATTTAGCTAAAAGCCAGAATTAGAAGCAATTCACTCATATGAGTATGTTTATATTTATATTGTCAAATATATTTACTTAGAATTTAAACCAAGATATATTTTATTTATTGTTCTCATCACTGCCTGTTAGTCAGAATGGATATTTTAAATTTTACCAGGTCATGTAAATTTTACTACCTATATTTCTTATTCCTGTTTGTTTAGAAAAATAATCTAGTCTATACCTAAGCTAACAAATAATCCTAAACATTGAAAATACAAACATGAGTATGAAGAATTCACTTTCTAATAAGTTTCAGCTTTTTACAAATGGCTGCTTAAATATAATGCATAAATATGACGTATTTTTAAAAATACATCTTGTTTATGCATTACTTGAACCATAACTAATCCCCATTTCCAGTCAAAAAGAACACTGTCTACATATGTTAATCTCTAATACAACAAAAGCAGGCTTAGCTTAATGGGAAACTTATTAGAGTAAAATAGTTCTTTTTATTTTTTATTTTATTTTATTATTACAATAAGAAGATTATAATTTGGTAACTAGCAGGAGAAGAAAGACTTCCAAAGATTATTTTATGGGTCCATGTATTTGCTTTTCCTGAGGGTAACTAGTGCTAATTCTAGAAAGGCAGAATGCTGTAGGAAAAACAAAATAAGCCCTGGAGTACAAAAGATTTGGATTCAAACTTTGAAGAAGGATGGGGAAGTGTTTAGGAAAGTGCTTCCCTGTGTAAAACTTAGCTGGTAAGTACCATATTTCACTGAAATTGCTGTTATAATAATTGAAACAGATTATTATTGGAAAAACAACATCAGCAAAACTAAAACCTAGATGAGTTTAAATAAGTGCCAGCCATTTTTCTCCTGTGGGGATTTAGAGTTGAAGTGGGTATCTTCGATTACTTTTCTTTATCCTCATTCTTATTCTTATAATTTTTCCTAATAAGTCACCTAAGAAGGGCATTTAAATAAGTGCTAGCCTTTTTTCTCCTAGGGGGATTTAGAGTTGAAGTGGATGTCTTCAATTACTTTTCTTCTCTATTCTCGTTCTTATTCTTATAATTTTTCCTAATAAGTCACCTAAGAAGGGGATTCTAGAAACATCTCTTTCCAAGAATACATATTGTTTTAAGAAATATCAGTTACCCCAAATACTTGAATAGAAACTAGGAAAACAGGAGAGGGAGATTATAGGTGTAAACAAGGAATTACTGTGCAGTAATATGTGTAGTGGACGTGAAAAGTAATGACTTAACAGTTTGAATACACAAAGATGGACCAAACAAATACATTTATTTCTCCTTTATTCCAAATTGCCATTGAAATAGGAAAATATAGTACTTATTAAAATAACTATGGAAAGTTGAGAAGAATTCTACCAACAGACTAAAGAGTAAGCAATTTCTGAAGGACATAAGTCATATCAGAGGCACTTTAGTCTTTGGCCATAATAGAATTATTGGAGGGACTTGCCTTTTCACTATAAACAATGATAAAACTGGGCAACATATATGAGGAACCAGATTTTATGCATCAAACAAGAAGTACAAGTTTTTCATACTCAAGAGAGAAGAAAGCTGTGAGGTAAGTACCACATTTAACCAGAGAATGTGACTAGGGGCACTTTTTCTCCCATTAAACAAGGAGGCAGACTCTAAAAATAATGAGTTTAGAGGAAGAAATTAAAGCTTAAAGCTCTCATTTTGTAGGTTGTCTGCTTATTTGTTGATAATTTCTTTTGCTATGCAGAAGCTCTTAGTTTAATTAGGTTCCAAAAAGAGGTAGGGGTAGAGGGACAAGAGCCAAGGAACTTCCTGTTAGGTATTCAGTTCACTACCTGGGTGACAGGATCAGTGGAAGCCCAAACAGTAGCAGCAAGCAATATAACTTTGTAACAAACCTGCACATATACCCCCTGAATCTAAAATTACAATTAAATCTCTATCTATATCATCTCTCTCTCTATCTATCTATCTATCGATATTTGTAAATAGCTTACACTTGCTTAAGTGGTTGTTATTTAAGAGCTGCTGAAGTGGCTGAAATTTGTATAGGAAAGGAAAAAGAGGCATGGGGTAGGCCTACAGAAGCCAGAATAAGTATTTGGCACCAATTTCGTCAAAAGCTGCTCTATACCTGAGCAGGGTTAACATCTGCAAGACCTGCTGAAAGCAGATACTGTGGGAATAAGATATCAGTAGTAACAGGACAAGGAGATGTTTGGGTTACTGACTAGCCACAGGGAAGATATTTTACGGAATATTCCAGGCATTAAGAACAAGGACTATTTCTTTCAGTAAAGACTATGTCCTATCTTTAAGAACAAAAATGAAAGAGATTTTCATTAACAAATAATGAAACCAGGCATGGCAGATCAAAAGGATCTGGAAGCCACTTAACAGCTTTCAAAGGACTATCTTAGGGCCTTTTACAAGAAGACAACGTCTAGATTTTCTACAGTGTATTAGTCAAAAATACAAGTTACGCAAAGAAGCAGGAAAATTTAATAAATAATCAAGGGGAAAAAAGCAGTCAATAGAACATACATCATAATGACCCAGGCATTGAAATCAACAGATATATATTATGAATATGTCCTTAGACTATGGAGATATTGTCACAATGATAGAACGAAAAAGGTAATTTTGAGAAATGAACATTGTTGAAGTAACAAGTGCAAAATATACAATGAAAGAGTCACTGGCAGGGTATACTCTCAGATTTCAGCTCTCTGAAAAGCAGACAAATAACCTTGAAAACCATTTTTGAATTTATCTAATCTCAAACAAAAGAGGAAAATGATTAAAATAAGAGATTGAATGACATGGGATATCAAGCCATCAAACCTATACACAAATGAAGTCTCAAAAGGATGAGTCAGAAAATGGGAAAGAAAAAATATATTTGAAGAAATAATTGCCAGTGTTTTCAAATTTTGATGAAAAATTTCAATGCAGAGATCCAAGAACATCGAATCAACAAGAACACATGTATGAAGGGTATAAAGCCAATAGCATAATTAAAATGAAATATTGAAAAATATCCATTTACTCTAAGGAAGGTAACACTGAACCGGTGAAGAAAGAAATATCAACAACCAAGGGAAGAGAACAACACCCAAATAAGAAAATAGTAGGCAAATAGTAACATGGTAGATTTAACAACACTGACATCACTGATTAAATGTAAATGGATTGAACATTTATATTAGTTTCCTAGGGTTATATAACAAAGTACCATAAACTAGGTGCCTCAAGCAACAAAAATGTATTATCTCAAGTCCTGAAGGCTAGAAGTCTGAATTCAAGGTACTGGTTCCTTCTAAAGGCTGTGAAGAAGAATCTGTTCTAGACATCTCTCCGTGGCTTTTAGATGGCTTTCTTCATGTTCATATGTTGTGCTTTCTGGTGGCATTTTTGTGTCCAAATTTCCCCCTTTCATAAGGCCACCAGTCACATTGGATTACAGGCCACTCTAATGATCCCATTTTGACTTGATTACATCTATAAAGATCCTATCTTTCAATAAGGTTGCATCCTTAATTACTGGGGTAAGGACTTCAACGTATGTTTTTTTTGGCAGACAATTCAACCCATAACACACTTAAATTAAGAGCTAGCAATTTTGAGACTGGATTTAAAAAGGACAAAACTATATGCTCTGTATAATGAATGCATTTTTTTTTTGAGATGGAGTCATAAAATTGGTTGAAAATGAAAGGAAGTAAAACTGATGTAGCTGGCTAATACCAGAGAAAGTAGGATTCAAAATAAGCTGAAATATCAGAGATGGAATGATAAAAGGTTAAGCTCATTAGCAATGCATTATAATTCTCAATGTTTATACAACTGATAACAGAGTGTCAAAATGCATGAAGTAAAAACAGACAGAACTAAACAGAGAAATAGACTTTCACTCATAGTTGAAGATTTTAATCATCGGCTCAAAATAAACAATAGATGAACATATAAAAATTAGTAAGGATTTGGAAGATTCTAATAATACTATCAACTAATGTAGTCTAATTTCAAGTTTTAGAACACTACACAAAAAATTTCATGGAAATATTTTTATCAAATTTACATGGAATGTTTACGAAGGACTGTGTAGTCTCGGTCATTAAATAAGTCTCAATAATTTGCAAAAGATTAAAAATTATCTTCAGAGGTGAAACAATGGTTTTTGCGTTGATTGAGATATTGATTAAATATGTACATTTGTGAAAACTTACTAAATTGAATGCTTAATTTCTGTGCATTTTGCTGTATCTCAATTCTAATAGAAAGACAGGCAAACATATAAATACCTATTACAGACATACCTACACACACACACGTGTGTGTGTATGTGCGTGTGTGTATGTGTGTGTATAAGTCATTTGCATATATACTGGCAGTGAATCCCAGTAAAGGTGAGGAATACATATTCTCACACTGGTAGAAATGATGACTTTTTACAGTCTGATTTTTTTTGTGTTTTAATCCAGAAATAATCCCAAAATTAGAGATACAAGGGAATGGTAATTGGTCCATAGAATAAGAACTGTCCAAGAAGTTTATAGCACATGACTCCCTGTCCCACGCTCAATTGAGGTTTGTTTTATGTCTTTGCTCTGGGAAGAAAGCCCCCAGTTTAGCTTTCTAAATGATGAGTTCAGAATCTACTCACAAGCATTAGAGATTAGTAAAGTTCCTTGTATTCAGTAGAGTTCCTTGCAACAAGCATGAGCAGTAGAGATGCTGCCACTTTCAAAAGACTTACATATGGACCACTGAAAAGAAAGGCATTATGTGGTCAATTTTAGAGCATGTGCCATGTGGAGATGAGAAGAATGTATATTCTGTTGTTTTTGGATGGAGAGTTCTGTAGATGTCTATCAGACTCATTCGGTGGAATGTTGGGTTCAGATCCTGAATATCATTGTTAATTTTCTACCTTGATGATCTGTCTATGACTATCAGTGGTGTGTTAAAGTCTCCTACTATTATTGTGTGGGAGCCTCTTTGTACTCTAAGAACTTACTTTATGAATCTGGGTGTTCCTGTGTTGGGTGCATATATATTTAGGTTAGTAAGGTCTTCTTGTTGAGTAAAACCCTTCATCATTATGTAATGCCCTTCGTCTTTTTTTTTTTTTTTTTTTTTGAGACGGAGCCTCACTCTGTCGCCAGGCTATAGTGCAGTGGCATAATCTCAGCTCACTGCAATCTCCGCCTCCCAGGTTCAAGTGATTCTCCTGCCTCAGCCTCCCGAGTAGCTGGGACTACAGGCACACACCACCAAGCCCAGCTTATTTTTTTTTTTTTTTTTTTGGATTTTAGTAGAGATGGGGTTTCACAATGTTGGCCAGGATGGTCTCGATCTCCTGACCTTGTAATCCGCCCACCTTGGCCTCCCAAAGTGCTGGGATTACAGGTGTGAGCCACCACTCCCGGCCCCTTCTTTGTCTTTTTTGAACTTTGTTTGTTTGACGTCTGTTTGGTCTGAAATTAGGATGCAACCCCTGCTTTTTTCTGTTTTCTACATGCTTGGTAGATTTTCCTCCATTCCTTTATTTTGAGCCTATGGGTGTCATCACATGTGAGATAGGTCTCAAAGACAGCATACCATTGAGTCTTGCTTTTTTATTCAGCTTGCCCCCCTTTACCTTTTAAGTGGGGCATTTAGCCCACTTACATTCAAGGTTAGTATTTGATATGTGTAGATTTGATGCCCTCCCTCATGACTCCTATTCAACATAGGAAATCCCAGCCAGAGTAATCAGGCAAGAGAAAGAAATAAAGGGCATCCAAATAGGAAGAGAGGAAGTAAAATTATCCCTATTTGAAGCTGACATGATTCTATATCTAGAAAACCCCATAGTCTCAGCCGCAAAGCTCCTTCTGCTAATAAAAAAAACTTCAGCAAAGTTTTAGAAAGAAAATCAATGTACAAAAATCACTAGCATTTCTATAAACCAACAGTAACCAAGCTGGCAGTCAAATCAGGAAGGCAATCCCATTCACAATTTTCACAAAAAGAATAAAATATCTAGGGTAAAATACAACTAACCAGGGAGGTGAAAAATCTCTACAATGAGAATTACAAAACACTGCACAAAGAAATCAGAGAGGATACAAACAAAATGGAAAACATATCATGCTCATGGATAGGAAGAAGCAATATCATTAAAAGGCCATACTGCACAAAGCAATTTACAGATTAAATGCTATTTCTATCAAACTACCAATGACATTCTTCACAAAACTAGAAACAACTGTTTTAAAATTCATGTGGAACCAAAAAAGAGGCCAAATAGCCAAGGCAATCTTAAGAAAAAGAACAAAGCTGGAAGCATCAGGCTATCTGACCTCAAACTATACTACAGGGCTATGTTAACCAAAACAGCATGGTGCTGGCACAAAAACAGGGACATAAACCAATAGAACAGAATAGAGAACCCAGAAATAAAGCCACACAGCTATGATTATCTGATCATCAATAAAACTGACAAAAACGAGCAATGGGGAAAAGACTGTCTTTTCAATAAATGGTACTGGGATAACTAACTAGCCATATGCAAAAGATTGAAACTGGACCCCTTCCATACACAATATACAAAAATCAACTCAAGATGGATTAAACACTTAAATGCAAAACACAAAATTAGAAAAACCCTGGAAGACAACCTAGGCAATACCATCCTGGACTTAGAACAGGCAAGGATTTCATGACTAAGATGTCAAAAGCAATTGCAACAAAAGCAAAAATTCATAAATGGGAACTTCATTAGTCCATTTTCACACTGCTATAAAGAACCACCAGAGACTGAGTAATTTATAAAGAAAAAGGTTTAATTGACTTGAAGTTCAGCATGGCTGGGAAGGCCTCAGGAAACTTACAATTATAGGAGAAGGTGAAAGGGATGCAATGCACCTTTTTCACAAGGCGGCAGGAAGGAGAAGTACCAGGCAAAGCTGGGAAGAGCCCCTCATAAAACCATTAGATCTCGTGAGAACTCATTCACTATCACAAGAACAGCATGGGTGAAACCACCCCCAGATTCAATTACCTCCACCTGGTCTCTCCATGTGGTGATTATGGAGATTATAATTCAAGATGAGATTTGGGTGGGGATACAAAGCCTAAACATATCAGGATCTCATTAAACTTATTAAGAGCTTCTGCATAGCAAAAGAAACTATTAACAAAATAAACAGACAACCTACAGAATGGGAGAAACTATTTGCAAACTATGCGTCTGACAAATGTCTAAAATCCAGCACCTATAAGGAATTTAAACAAATTTACAAGAGAAAAACAACCCCACTAAAATGTGGGCAAAGTACATGAACAGACACTTTTCAAAAGAAGACGTACATGTAGCCAACAAGCATGTGAAAAAAAAAAAAACTCAATATCACTGATCATTAGAGAAATGCAAATTAAAACCACAATGAAATATAATTTCATACCAGTTAAAATGGCTACTATTAAAATGTCAAAAAATAACAGATGCTGGCAGGTTGTGGAGAAAAGGAAACACACACTGTTAGTGGGAGTGTAAGTTAGTTCAACTATTGTGGAAAGCAGCATGGCAATTCCTCAAAGAGATAAAAGCAGAACTACCATTCCAACCAGCAATCGCATTACTGCATATATACCCAGAAGAAAATATATCATTCTACCATAAAGACACATGCACACAAATGTTCATTGCAGCAATATGCACAATGGCAAAGACATAGAATCAACCTCAATGCTCATCAATAAGAGTTTAGATAAAGAAAATGTGGTATATAGACACCATGGAGCTATAAAAAAGAATGAGATCACGTTCTTTGCAGTAACATGGATGGAGCTGGAGGCTATTATACTGGGCAAATTAACACAGGAACAAAAAACCAAATACTAGAAAATACTGCATGTTCTCACTTACAAGTGGGGAACTAAATTATGAGAACACATGGACACAAAGAAGGGAACAGCAGACACTGGAGTCTACTTGAGAGTGGAGGGTGACAGGAGACAGAGGAGCAGGAAAAATAATTGTTGAGTACTTGGTACCTAGGTGACAAAATGATCTGTACAACAAACCCTGATGACACGAGTTTACCTATATAACAAACTTTCACAGGTACTCCCAAACCTAAAATAAAAGTTAAAAAAAAAAGAAGAAAGCAAGCCCAAACCCATGCTGTACCACATGGCAGCATGGCATTGCAATTTTCAATTACTTGGGGGAAATAAAGATTCTCATGTGATTAGAGGAAATAATCTTTATTTAATAACAATGCTTAATAAGAACACTTGACAATAGATGGCTGAGAAAACCAAGAATCACCAAATATTTAAATAAAAATAAAAAATAAAGAATATCCTATCTATGAAATGATATAAACACTAAGAAAATAGAATTAACAGAAGAAACTAAAGAAAATGTCAATAGCCTTGGTGTCCATACAGGAATAGGAATCACAAAAATAACCATAAAATATTTTTAAAAATACCTTTTACGAGCAATACTCCAGAATGTCAGAAATTAAAAATATCATTAGCAAAATAAAATGTAGTAAACAGAATAAATAATATAAAAGATAAAACTGATGTCTAAAGATTACCCCAGAATCTGAACTGCATGAGGGGGAATAATAATTACATTACTGGATATGAGAACAACTATTTAATAGACACATCTACTTGGACGACAATGCTTTTTTTTAAATGTCAAATTTCCAGTTTATTAATTTTAATACATTTCTGATCAAAATTACTCATTTCTTTTTGTGCCCTTATTTTTTGCATTAATTTTCATTTTTTACATCTCCATGCTGAATTGAAAAAAACTTCTACTGACCTGTATTTCAGTATATTAATTATTCCTTCAATGGTATCTAATCTGGTGGTAAATTATCTATTATATTTAATTTAAGTAATCACATTTGTATTTTAAATGTTTTGCTTATTTCATCCACAATATAATACTAACACAGTTTTTTCTCTACAATTAGTTTAAGCTTTTAACTAAATTTTTAAAGAGTAAAATATTTATTATCTTTCTCTGATATTGTCCAATGTTTGAAGTCTTTGTGGGTCTAATTATGTTTCATGTTGTTTTTGTTGATTTTAACTTATTTTGCCTTGTTTCACTGTGTTCTTGAGAATATTGTAAGATTTAGCTTCAGGGTATTTTTATAAAGCATTCAGATTTGCTTCTCCCTAACACCTGGGCATACGAGTAGGACCACCTTAAAAAAATGTTCAATTTTTGAGATTACCTGAGTCACGCAGTCACACAAACCCAAGTAGTGGATCCAAGCTACCACTGCTTTAGGTCTGTCTGGTTCACCTTATGCTGAGGGTATAAGATTTGGTCATCTCAATCTTTTAAGGGAGGGCTCCTTAAGAAGACTTAACATATGCTAGTCTTCGGTTTTGGTTTCTTTCTCATTCACCCTGAAACTGTCAAAATAAATATTAATATTTGTAGAGATCGGCAAATTGCAACTGGTAAGGTTATATCCTTACCTCTCTGGGTTCTTCTTTTCTCTTCAAATTTGGTTTGATCACTTATTAAAATTTTATAAGCTCTCAATGCTTTTTAAAAGGTGTTTTAAATGTGCAATCACTAGCATTTTTTAAAGTTTTTTCATTGGGAATTATAGTCTGAATAATATCCCACCATAACTAGAAAATGAAATACCTACCTATTACAAATGCAATACATTTTATATATTGAGTAATTTGCCTTTTTCTAATTAATTTTATTTTAAAACTCATATTAAAATCTATATTTTATAAGAAAAAAAAAAGCTTGACATTTGATTAAGACCAACTTAGCTTCACAAATCTCTACCCGAATGACCACAGGCAAGTGATCTGACATTTGCAAGTGCCTATTTTTTTTTTTTTCATTTATAAAATGGAAATACATAACTGAGCTTAATGTGGATCAAAGAAATTAATATGTAAAAAAAATCAAACACAGAACCTGAAAATGATAGGAAGTCAATTATTCAGCCTACCTATCCACTACTAAAATAATTCTTGGTTATGAACTTCACAAGGGAACACACTGTATTACTACTCTACTCAATAACATGAATTTCATTGTGTATCTTCTGGGGCAAGTGCTTCTTCCAAACAAATTAAACCATGCCACTCACACAATGTTCATCTATCTCATAAGTTTTTGCTATTCTCCTGTTGATTTTACATTTAATGAGGGATAAATTCTATTTTCACAATCATAATCAAATAGTACCTAGAGAATAAAAGCTACTAAGACAAGACAACCCTCAATTCAATTAATAACTAATCCCTCTCTTTTTCAGAGGTACATCAGTTGTTCCTCCAGGATTAAAACCCCTCCTGTTTTACAATAAAAAAGCAGACAGATGACAGGATCTCATTAAACATCTATTGTGCACCCACACAAAAAAAATTAAGTAGGCAGATGCTCTGATTATTTAAAGCAACACACAGAGTTTTAGGATGAAGTTTTATTTCTGAATTTTAACTTATGCACAACTTGTAAAATGTTACTTCATTTATAAATAAAGCAGCACTAACTTGGTAACTTGGAATCACTGTATTTTTCTTCATAAAGAATAAAGTCAGGATAACAGTTAGCTCTCTTTGTTTCTGAATAATGATTCAACATTAATTTAGATATTAGAAGCTCTCACATGCAAGTGTGTGTGCATGCACTCACACACACTACTCTGAAGAGGTAGAATATGAGGAAATAAGATACACATACACAGAGAAGGAATATGTAACATTTAATTTTAACCTCAATGACAGGAGGAGGAGCACCAATAATCTAAAAAAAAAAAGAAATCCCAAAAGTTTTGGATTAGCTGCCTCTCTAGCTAAGTATATATTTTATTGCTAATCAATATGGCATGACCAAAATTATAGCAATGAAAATAGTCATAATTATCATCAAGTAATGAAAATAATATTTATGTGCTCAACAGTATTACTTATATATTCTGATTAAATCATGTGCTATTGAAAGCAGGATGAAGTAGAGCTTATTTTATATCTTAGAATTCTTTTCCATCAATGTCAGTTTAGGAAATGAAAGTTATTAGAATTTCAATGTAATTAATTCATTTGCAATTGGTGTCTATTTGGTTATGTATTTTTTCATAGATATAGTCTGAGAGACATTATCTGGTAACTTTTATCATGTCTCTGAGAAACCAATTTTCTGTAAGGCCTAATTTTTTTTCTTAAATAAATATGTATCTGCTCATGCATATACCAACTTCATGGATTCCAAACAATAAAAAAGTTAATTGTAAGGATTGGACAGAATCTACATTTTAAATGCTATTTAAAACATTATCACACTGTAGTGGAGGAATCATAAACTGCAGAAGTTTTTCAACCATGCCACCACAAACTACATCTCTACAAAATGTTTTGTACTTTTACTTTAAAGAACTAAAATTGGAAACAAAGAGTGGAGAATTATTTCTTCCCTTTCTCTTCCCTTCATCCTCATTCTAGCACCAGTCATACCTGACCATGATTTTTAAAGAGTATAAATTACTCCTCTTCTCAGAGGTAGAAATACACAGAAAAATACACAAAAACCAAATTCTGTCAAAATATATTTAAAGAGGTTTATTCAGAGCCAGTATAAGTGACCAAGGCCTGGGTTACACTATCTCAAGAGGTTCTGAAAGCGTGCCCAAGGCAACCGGGTTACACTTTGGTTTTATACATTCCAAGGAGACAACCAACTGCAGGTAATTGCAGGTAGGTCAGGGTAGGAGCTTGTACGTCATAAGGGGCTTTTAGGGATCCTTTAGTTGACAATTGGTTGAGAGAGTTATGCTATCGTCTAAAGTCTTGAAATCGATAGAAAGGAATGCCTGAGTTCAGATAAGAGTGGGGGAAAGACCAAGGATCTTATTAAGTAGATGAAGCCTCATAGGTGGCCCTCAGAGAGAATAGATGGTAAATGTTTCTTTTCAGACCTTTAAAGGTATCAGACTCTCAATCACTCCTAGGTCCTGGAAAGGCATAGAAAGGGGAAGCATGGCTGCATTAATGAAGATTCTCCATAGATGCAAATTTCCTCTACCTCAGTTTGCTGGCCTTGCAACAGCCATTTCAAAAGACATCAAAGAAATATATTTTAGGGCAAAATATTTTTATATCCTTCAGGGTCTGCTGTCTGTTATGTGATGCTGTACCAGAGTCAGGTTGGAAAGCAAGCCACATTATATAGGGTTAATAAAAAACCCATGTAAAGAGATGTTATCATTCGTAGGGCTGACTCCCAGTTTCTTTAAATAGGAATTTGGGCAAGATGAAAAAAAAAAATCAGAATTTAGTCCTCAACTCAAATATTTTATTCATTCAAACGCTTATTCAAACTACCGAATCCTCCAATAACAGAAAGTATAGTGTCCATCCTGAAGACTTTCATCCCATCTCACAGCATGTTTTCTCCTAGTACACCCTGATTGTCCAAGGACTTCTGAGAACACCATTCCAGAAGAGGTCATGATCTCAACAACTGTCACAGAAAGAAAGAATACAGGAAGACAAGATGCGAAAGTTATGTCAGTGGCTTTCATTCATCACACCACTACGTACTGGTTCTCTAGTACTGTGCTGTTATGATCCTCCTGACTTTTACCCTGTGAATATCCTAGTGCTTTTATATCAGTCTCACATCCTCAACACGCTGGTTTCCATAAAAACGCAACCAAGTCAGATGGCTGTGATCTGGTGGGATTCTAGTTCCATTTGCAGCCTCCAAAGCAGTCTTTTACCTAAGAACACTCAGGCCTCCAAGGTTAAGATAACAGTATACTCCAATGCAAAATTCTCTACCTCCCTACTTCAGGTCCCAGGGACTCTCAACTGCCAGTCACTCTTTGAACAATAAGAACAGACACTTAAATGATGATAACTAATGGCAGCAGCACTAATGTAAGAACGCTGGAACTATTAGTACTCTCATCTTCCAGATGAGAGAACTCAATAACATGATTTACATAAACTGCCTGAAGATACAGTAGAATAATAATAATGAAATCCAGGCATTGTGGACCTGAATGCTGCTACCTAGCTACTCCTCTTTGTGGCTTCTCCATTGTCTTTTCCTGCCAGTTCAGTTCTAACAGGAATAAACAGACGCTATTCAAAAGCTTTTCAAGTCTGAATGAAGATGTACCTAGGGTTGGTGTTGATGAACTTTCCCTCACTCTTCCTTAAGGAAATTTGTTCTTTCCTGCCATTTGAGAGACATGTTCTTCCTCTTCTTCTTCAAAGAGCTAAAATGCACCTTTATTTGCATAATGAAGATAGTGCAGTGAAGTACTTTCTTGCGTTGTCAAGGAAATGAGCTCCAAAGGAACTTCCTTTTAGCATAGAGAAAGCTGCTGTTTTTATTTACTTGCATTTTGCATATGAATATATTTTAATTTAGTTTCAACAGGTAACTGAATTAGAAAGTGAAATTATAAAGTCATTTCTCCAAGAAAGAAGGTAGAGCTTATAAATATTAGTAATCTTAGCTGGGCATGATGACTTACGCCTGTAATCCCAGCACTTTGGGAGGCTGATGCGGGCCAATCACCTGAGGTCAGGAGTTTGTGACCAGCCTGGCCAATATGGTGAAACCCTGTCTCTACTAAAAGTACAAAAATTAGTCTCTACTAAAAATACAAAAATTAGCCATATGTGGTGGCACGTGCCTGTAATCCCAATTACTTGGGAGGGTGAGGCAGAAATTGCAGTGAGCTGAGACTGCACCACTG
This sequence comes from Homo sapiens, assembly GCF_000001405.40. Classification (NCBI taxonomy): domain Eukaryota; kingdom Metazoa; phylum Chordata; class Mammalia; order Primates; family Hominidae; genus Homo; species Homo sapiens. Next base: position 574,313 of record NW_003315917.2, read on the forward strand.
CACTCCAGCTTGGTGAACAGAGTGAGACTCCGCCTAAAAATAAATAAATAAATAAATAAATATTAATAATCTTTTAAAGAAATGATTGTGGCTATTTCTAGGTCTAATGATACTTGCTTAATCGTATTGAAAACAATGTTATTTCTTTGAATGGCAATGGAATGTAAAATATTTAAAAACGCAATTTGACTTTTTTTACTTTTTAAAATTTATGTAGCTGGGCCGGGCACCCTGGCTCATGCCTGTAATCCCAGCACTTTGGGAGGCTGAGACTGGAGGATCACAAGGTCAGGAGATCGAGACCATCCTAGCTAACACGGTGAAACCCCGTCTCTACTAAAAACACAAAAAAATTAGCTGGGCGTGGTGGTGGGCACCTGTAGTACCAGCTACTCGGGAGGCTGAGGCAGGAGAATGGCATGAACCTGGGAGGTGGAGCTTGCAGTGAGTTTGAGATTGCTCCACTGCACTCCAGCCTGGGTGACAGAGCGACACTCTGTCTCAAAATAATAATAATAATAATAATAATAATAATAATAATAATAATAATAAATAAAATAAAATTTATGTAGCTGATATATTACTATAACCTCACTTGCATTTTTAAATTATTTTACTGGTTCTCTCTTTTTACTTTTATCTTACCTATGCTGTATTTGAAGTTAGTTTTATATAGACAGAATTTTAAAAATTATTTATTTATGGGGTACAAATGCAATTTGGACAATATTGTTGGCCATGTTTTTTCGTTTTTGATTTTTGTTTTTTTAACTACTCTGCCAATCTATGTTTTTTAGTTGGTTTCTATAGGCCTTTTATGTTTAACAATTTGTATGTTGTGGTTGAAGTCTACCACTTTGTTATTTGTTTCTGTTTCTTATTCCTCTGTGTCTTTTTCTTGCTTTCCAATGGGTTACATAAACATGTTAAGTTTCCATCTTAATTTATTTATAGTGTTTTAAATACAATGTTGCATCACTTAATGACAAAAATTACATTCTGAGAAATGCATTAGGCAATTTCTTCACTGTGTAACATCATATAGTGTATTCTATGTGTAAATAGAGATAGCATAACCTACTACTCACCCCAGGTTATGTGGTACAGCCTACTGATCCTAGGCTACAAACCTATACAGCATGTTACTGTGCTGAATACTGCAGGCATCTGCAACACAACGGTAAATATTTGTGTATCTAAACATAAAAAAAAGGTACAGTAAAAAATCCAGTCAAAACATCAAAAATGGTATACCTGATTAGGGCACTTACTATAAATGAAGTTTGCAGGGCTAGGAGTTGCTCTGGGAGAGTTAGTGAGTAAGTGGTGAGTGAGCGTAAATGCCTAGGGCATCATTGTACAAAACTGTAGACTTTATAAACACTGAATTTATAAAATTTATAAAGAAACTTATTTCTTTCAAAATACATTAAACTTATCCTACAGTAACTTTTTTACTTTATAAACTTTTTAACTTATTTTTAACTTTTTGACTCTTTTGTAACAACACTTAGCTTAAAACGCATATTGTACACAGAAATACTTTATTTCCTTATATCCTTATTCTCTAAGATTTTTTTGTAATTTTACATCTTTTAATTTTTAATTTTTTTGTTGTTGTTGTTAAAAACAAAGACACAAATGCACATACTAGCGTAGGCCTACACAGGGTCAGTATGATCAACATCACTGTTTTCTACCTCCAGATCTTGTCCCACTGGAAGCTCCTCTAGGCCAATAATGCATATGGATCTGTCGACATCTATGATAACAATGCCCTCTGAAATGCCTCGTGAAGGACCACTGTGAGGCTGTTTTACAGTTGCCTATTACTTTTTTTTTTGTTTGTTTTTGAGACAGAGTCTCGCTCTGTCGCCCAGGCTGGAGTGCAGTGGCGTGATCTCGGCTCACTGCAAGCTCCGCCTCCTGGGTTCACGCCATTCTCCTGCCTCAGCCTCCCGAATAGCTGGGAATATAGGCGCCCCCCACCAGGCCTGGCTAATTTTTTGTATTTTTAGTAGAGATGGGGTTTCACCATGTTAGCCAGGATGGTCTCCATCTCCTGACCTCGTGATCTGCCCGCCTCGGGCCTATTTCTTTTAATAAGTAGAAGGTGTACACTACAATAACAATAAAAAATATGGTGTAGTAAATACACAAAAATGTAATATATTTGTTTATTATTATTACTAAGTAAAATGTACTTGTATTAGTCCATTCTCACACTACTATAAAGACACTACCCGAGATTGGGTAATTCATAAAGGAAAGAGGTTTAATTGAGTCACAGTTCTGCATGGCTGAGGAGGCCTCATGGAACTTACAATCATGGTGAAATGGGAAGCAGTCATCTTCTTCACAAGACAACAGGAGAGAGAAGGATTGTGTGTAGGAGGAGCTGTGAAACACTTAACAAAACCATCAGATCTCCTGAGAACTCACTCACTATCGTAAGAACAGTATGGCGGAAACCGCCCACATGATCCAATCACCTTCCACCAGATCCTGCCCTCAACACATGGGTATTATGAAGATTACAATTCAAGATGAGATTTGGGTGGGGATATAGAGCCAAACCATATCATTCCACCCCTGGCCCCTCCCAGATCTCACATATTTTTTACATTTCCAACCCAACATCATGCCTTCCTAACAGTCCCCCAGAGTCTTAAATCATTTCAGCAGTAACTCAACAGCCCACAGTTCAAAGTCTCATCTGAGACAAGGCAAGACGTTTTGGCCTATAAGCCTGTAAAATCAAAAGCAAGTTAGTTACTTCCTAGATACCATGAGGGTACAAGAATTGGATAAATGCTCCCATTCCAAATGGGAGAAATTAGTCAAAACAAAGGGGATGCAGGCCCCATGAAAGTCTGAAACCCAGCAGGGCAGTCATTAAAACTTAAAGCTTTAAAATAATCTCCTTGTCTCCATGTTTCACATCCAGGGCATGTTAATGCAAGGGGTGGGCTCCCATGGCCTTGGGCAGTTCCTTCACAGGCTGGCATTGAGTGTCTGTGGCTTTTCCAGGTGCACAGTACAAGCTGTTGGTGGATCTTCCATTCAGGGGTCTGGAGAACAGTGGCCCTCTTCTCATAGCTTCACTAGGCAGTGCCCCAGTGGGGACTCTGTGTGGGAGCTTCAACCCCACATTTCCCTTCTGCACTACCCTAGCAGAGGTTCTCCATGATGGCTCCACCCCTGCAACCAATCTCGGCCTGGACATCCAGGCATTTCCATACAACCTATGAAATCTAGGCAGAGGTTTCCACACCTGAATTCTTGACTTCTGTGTACCCTCAGGCCCAACACCATATGGAATCCTCCAAGGCTTGGGGCTTGCACCCTCTGAATCAACAGATGAGCTGTACATTGGCTCCTTTTAGCCACGGCTGGAGCTGGAGTAGCAGCAGCTGGGACACAGGGCACCAAGTCCTGAGGTTGCCCAGAGCAACGGGGCCCTAGGCCCAGCCCATGAAACCATTTTTCCCTCAGAGGCTGCTGGGTCTGTGATGAGAAGGGCTGCCATGGAAGTCTCTGATACGCCCAAGAAAAATTTTACCATTGTTTTGGCTACTGTAATAACATTTGGCTTCTTGTTATTTAGGCAAATTTCTGTAGCCAGCTTGAATTCCTCCCCTGAAAAATGGGTTTTTCTTTTCTACTGCATGGTCAGGCTGCAAATTTTCCAAACTTTTATGCCCTGCTTCCATTTTAAACATAAGTTCCAATTTGAGATAATGTTTCTCAAATTAAAAGTTCCACAGATCTCTAGGACAGGGGCAAAATGCTTCCAGTCTCTTTGCTAAGGCAGAGTAACAGTGATCTTTGGGCTCTAGTTCCTAATGAGTTCTTGTCCATCCAAGACCACCTCAGCTTGGACTTCACTGTCTATATCACTATCAGCATTTTGGTCAAAACCATTCCACAGGTCCCTAGGAAGTTTCAAACTTTCTCACAACTTCCTGTCTTCTTCTGAGCCCTCCAAACACTTCCAACCTCTGCCCGATACCCAGTTCTAAAGTCACTTCCTCATTTTCAGTATCTTTATAGCAGTGCCCCACTCCCAGTACCAATTTACTCTATTAGTCTGTTCTCACACTGCTATAAAGATACTACCCAAGACAGGGTAATTTATAAAGGAAAGAGGGTTAATTGACTCATAGTTCTGCATGGCTGGAGAGGCCTCAGAAAACTTACAATCATGGTGGAATAAAAGCAGTTGGCTTCTTCAAAAGGCAACAGGAGAGAATGAGTGTGTCTAGGAGAAATTTTCAAACACTTTTAAAACCATCGGATCTCATGAAAACTTACTCACTATCATGAGAACAGCATGAGGGAAACTGCCTCCAGGATCCAATCACTTCCCACCGGGTCTTGCCCTTGACACGGGAGGATCATGAGGATTACAATTCAAGATGAGATTTGGGTGGGGACACAGCCAAACAATATCAGTACTAGACAGAATTTTATGTGCTACACTTTTATATAACTGGCAATGAAGTAGGTTTGTTTACACCATCATTGCCACAAACAGGTGAGAAATATGTTAGACTATGATGTTAAGACAGCTCAGCTGCAATGTCACTAGGTAATATTCATCTCCATTATAATCTTATGGGACCACCATGATATATGCAGTCTACTGCTGAGCAAAACATCGTTATGCAGTGCATGATTGTACATGATTTTGTTTGGTTTTATTAATTGCACTGGTTAAAATAATATATGTGTAATGTCAAGATCTACTGTTAATGATGTTTTACCTCTTTGAGTGAAGTGTAGAAAACTTGTTTCCATATGAGTCTCTTTACTATCACTACTTTTTAGATATAATTATCTTAAATACTTCCTCTATGTTCCTTGAGCATCTAACCAGATAGGTCATTAATTTTTGCTTCAACTATTAGAAATGGCTTAAAAACTTAAGAGAAGTTTGATTATACATTATATTTATGCTTAATTTTACCCATTTAGATGGATGTTTGTAAAAGCTGCAAACCTTCTTCTTTTATCATTTCTTTTCTGTTTAGAGAACTTATTCTTTAAAGGTAAGTTTGTTAGCAACACATTACCTTAGCATTCTTTCATTAGACAATGTTTTCTATGTCACTTTAGTGCCTGAAGAATATTATTGCTGGGTATTGAATTTACAGTTCACAGTTCTGTTCTTTCAGTACTTCAAAAATATTATCTGTTTCCTTCCAACCTTCATGGTTTCAGATGGAAAATCTGCTGTGGTTTACATTATTGTTTTTCTGTAAGAAATGTGCCATTTTTCTCTGTTTGCTTTCAAGATTTTTAATTTTTTTTTTTCATTTCCAGAAATTGAATGTATTTGGGTGTATTCTATTTAGGGTTTGCTCTGTTTCTTGAATATTTAGGTTTATGTCTTCCATCTAATTTGGGAAGGTTGAAGTCATTATTTTTTAATAGTTTTTTAGTCCCACATTCTATCTCCTCGTCTTCTATATCTCCTGTGATTATGAATGTTAGCTCTTTTATTATTGTTCTAAAGTTTCCTGAAATGCTGTTAAATTTTTTTTTTATCGGTTTTCTTCTTCTTGTTCAGACAGTAAATTCTGTTGGCATGTTTTCAGATTCACTGATTCCATCTTCTGCTCTGTGCTCTCTTCTTTTGTGACCATCCTCTGCATCTATTATTTCCATTATTGTATTTTAATTTTATTTAGTTCATGTTTACTTTTTATAACTTATAAGTCATTATTGAATTTATTTTTAATTTTAACTTTTATTTGTTCCAAGAGAATACAATATATAATTGCTTATTTAAACACTTTTATGATGGTTTCTTCAAAATCCTTGTTAGATAATTCCAACCTCTTTTTTTTTTTTTTTTTTTTTTTTTTTTGTCTGAAACAGTCTCACTCTGTTACCCAGGCTGGAGTGCAGCGGTATGATCTTGGCTCACTGCAACCTCCATCTCCCAGGTTCAAGTGATTCTCCTGCCTCAGCCTCCCAAGTAGCTGGGATTACAGGCATGTGCCAATGCACCCAGCTAACTTTTTATATTTTTAGTAGAGGCGGGGTTTCACCATGTTGGACAGGCTGGTCTTGAACTCCTGACCTCAAGTGATCCACCCATCTTGGCCTCCCACAGTGCTGGGATTACAGGTGTGAGCCACTGCGCCCAGCCCCAACCCCTTTTTTATGTCTGTGTTGGTGTCTGTTGTCTTTCTCTCATTCAGGTTATGATTTCCTAGTTCTTTTGTCTTATAAGTGATTTTTATTGTGTCCTGAATTTTTTTTTATATTATGAGAATTTTTCTCTCTTATTATTTCGTAGATGGTTCCCTATTGATGTGTAACCTGAGAGCTGGGTGGGTGTGCGTGTTTATCTTCCTGATGGGACCTACTAATACCATCCTACCAAAAGTAGAGTACTAACTTATACTTCCTTCTTGCAGACTGGTTAGGTGGAAGTTTGTCTTCTCCCTCCACCCACTGGCAACCTCATGGCAAAAGTAGGGTACTGAGTTACATATCTTTGTTTCCTCCAAGTGAAAAAATAACCTCACTTCCCTGATGTGGTCCACTGACACCAGGGAGGGGGTGAGTAGGGGCCAACTCATACCACTTGGTTGCTTCCAAGGAGTAGGAGTGGGGAGAAGCTGTGTAAGAACAGAACTGATCATTAAAGACCCTATTATAAATTCTTGCTTTTATAGTACTTATTCTCGTGGCTTAAATATTCCACACCAATTAATCACCACGGAATATATGAGACATTATATTAATTATTAAATTTTACATGGCAACACTAACAATATTAACTCCCATTTTCTATCTCTTTAATTGAGGTCATTCTTTAGAAGTTTAAGTATAATCCATTCTTCTGTCCTACACGACTGAGTGAAAGAGCATGTAGCAGCAACATATAGTACCAGTATGTAATCCTAATGCAATGGCACACCCCAGATGACCCTTTTGTGTATTGGGATTGACCATGGTTTTTCAGTTTAATCAAAGTTTAATTGATTAAACTCGGGGTTCACATTTTCTTTCTACACACCAATATTGAAGAGAAGTACTACAAAATACATAGGAGCACTAAACTGGTAGTAATAAGAAAAACATAAAATATTTAAGATAATGTGTTGCTTTTATTTCTAATATTAGCTACTGATACAATCAAAGCACTGCGGCTCAGTTTTCTCTTTTGTAAGAGGACAAGTTTGTATTAGTTAATCTTTAAATGTCTCTACAATCTGATTCTGAGATTGTGAATAAATAGATCTAAATACTGTTATAGGTATATAAATACAGATATAAATGCAGGTATGGGTAAAATTATGGCTATGGGTCCCAGCCTTAAATTCTTATTTTTTTATAACTAATTGATGTTCAGGGATAGATTTATGTGATCTGCTCATTTGCAGGGGCCCATCACTTGGCTAATTCTTTGGTGTCATTCGTGTCAAGTTTTAAATAATTTTTGAGGAAGATGTCCTATATTTTAATTTTGCACTGAACACTGCAAATTTTGTAGCTGTTCCTGTTAATTTGTTAATGAAATTTCTCTTTAGAAACTATTAAATTAATAAGACAATAATTAAGCAAATAATTATTAAATTTTACATGGTAACACTAGCAATATTAACTCCCATTTTCTATCACTTTAATTCAGGCCATCCTTTAGAGGTTTAAGTATAATCCATTCTTATGTCCTACACAACTGAGTGTGTAGTACCAGTACGTAATCCTAATGTAATGGCACACCCCAGATGACCTTTTTGTGTGTTGGCATGGTTTTTCAGTTTAAGCAAAAGTTTAATTGATTGAAACTTGAAGTTCACATTTTTTTTTCTACACACCAATATTGAAGAGAAGTCCTACAAAATACTTATTCTATGGAAAAAAACAAAGTCCACTTTAGATCTAAAATGGTTGCATAAAATTTTGAGAATAACTTAAATGTTATATGAATGTAAGTAAAAATTTTACTGTAAACTTTGTAAATGCTAACTATAAACAGAAAACAAGTATATCTTATATAAAGAAATGTGTAGACTCTCTGTATTAATCCATTTTCACATTGCTATAAAGAATACCCGAGACAGGGTAATTTACAAAGGAAAGAGGCTTAATTGACTCACAGTTCTGCACGGCTGGGGAGGCCTCAGGGAACTTACAATCATGGTGGAAGGGGAAGCAGGCACGTCTTACATGGCAGCAGGGGAGAGAGAGCATGTGAAGGAGGCACTGTCAAACACTTGTAAAACCATCAGATCTCATGAGAACTCATTCACTATCATGAGAACATCTAGGGGAAACTGTGCCCATGATCCAATCACCTCCCAACAGGCCCCTCAACACATGGGCATTATGGGAATTACGATTCAAGATGAGATTTGGGTGACAGCACAGAGCCAAACCATATCACTCTCTGTGCCTTGTATTTCTCATACTAGTCAATGCCAACTCATTAAAATTATCTGGAGATATAACATTTTTGGGGGATTATATATTGCCACTACTGTTATATTTTTGTCAGGATAATGTAGCAATTCCCAAATAAGTCATACTTAAACCTCCACAGAAAAGATAAATAGAAATGAGAATTCCATTGCCAGCATTGCTTTGAAAAACGTTTCAGAACTTTGAATATATATACTCATAAACACACACACATACACAGATATATATTTCTGCATGTGTATATACATATATGGATACATATGTTCTTAAACTTTCTTTTAACAGAAAAATTAAAATAGAAGGAAAATAATAGAGCACTAGTTATATAACTAGTATTATATAAATAATGTTATGTAACTAGTTATATAATTAAAAATATAAGAACCTAGGTGAGAATGAGAAAGTCTAGATTTAGATTTACTACTTTTCCTAATACACACCCACACACATATATATGTGTGTGTGTGTGTGTGTGTGTGTGTGTGTGTGTGTGTGTGTATACTGTATTTGTCTCATAGTGGCTGGAGCACATTACTACCAACTTAGTGGATTAAAACACCACAAATCTACTATCTTACAGTTCTGCAAGTAAAGACTAAAATAGAGTCACATAGGTGAAAATCAAGAGCTTCTACTCTCTTGAGGCTGCTTGGATTCTTGGCTATAACCCCTTTCTCCATCTTGAAATTCTGTCACTCCAACCTCTGCTTTCATAACACATCTCCCATCTCCTTCCTAACTCGAAGGCATCTTCTCAGTCTTACAAGAACTCCACTTGGGTTCACATTTGGAACACCCAAATAACCCATCTTAATATTCTCATCTCTAGATCCTTAAATAATTGCTTCTACAATGTCCTTTTTGTCATGGAAGGTGACATTTTCACAGGTTCCAGAAATTAGGACGTCGACATTTTAGTAAGCCATTATTCTGTCTACCACAGTGGCCTTGAATAGAAATCCTTCAGTTTTCATATACAGAAACAAAACATTCTTCCAAATGAGGAAGCTAGATTGGGAAAAAAAAAAGTCAGCCACACAGGTCTCCCCATTAAAACTTAAAGATGGTTACATATTTTATTCTGAGTTAAAATGGAGAGTCTTCCTATATAACTCTCTTTCCACTGTATGATTTATCACTTAATAGCTCTCCCTTTCCGTTGTATGATTTGTCACTTAATATCTCTCTCTTACTTGAAGTCAGAGAACAGCAAACAGTTTGCAAAATATATAAATAGTCTATAAGTTGTGGTCCAAATAGTTCTTAGAATTCAGCTACATCTAAGTACACAATTACTTATTTAAGCTTGATTCAGTGAAACAGATTTTCAGTTGAGTTTCTTAATGGGAATGACCAGTCACATTTTTCAAATTTGGCTTTATGCATAAATTGACAAATTATTTATAATTTGAAACATCTGGGCTCATTTTTTAAAAACAACTCATAAAATAAGAAATCATTTTATTGGTTCAAGCACGCATGCTATTAAATGACTCATCTTAATTTTTATCTTTTCATAAATGTTGAAAAATCTCAAGAAACCGTTATGTTGTCCTAAAAATGGGCAAGCAAGGTTAATTTGTTTTTGATGTTTAGATAGTTAGGTTATTTCTCATTTTTCTTTTAGGGATTACGTTGCTATCCTAAAGCTTGACATTGGTTAGAGTCAGCCAATGTCAAATTTTTACCTATAGATAGTCTTAGAAAGATATTGCAAATTAGTGCTGCTTCTAGTAGCTAAAATAACCTGCAGCTAGCTGGCAGGCAGCAGTGAATATTTTAAAAGGTGTACCAAATTACATTTAGATTTTCAGTTCCTTTTGAAGTGAAAAGAATATTCAAAGCTTGGAAGTCTTTGACTCTCATAAGCCTAGTAGATTTCAAGTATAAACATAGATTTAAAGATAGTTTACAGACAAATTGTGGATTTTATGTTATAATCTCAGATTAATGATTTTTTCCTTTTTGTGATTTTTTTCCCAAAGTAATTGTAAAGGACTGTGTGTGTGTGTGTGAGAGAGAGAGAGAGAAACAGAGAGAAAGAAACAGAGATAGAGACATTGTCCAAATGTACACGTAAGATTTTCTGTGACAATTACACATGGATTATCTAGTAACAAGTTGAACTACATGAAGCAATTGTATATCATCAGATATATACTATATGAAACAACTGTGTATAATCAGATTTATACTACATGAAGCAACTATATATAATCAGATTTACACCACTTTCTGAAGAAAACTACAATTAATTGGATACTAAAGTGGTTTCTGAAAGCCTAATTATTCTCAAGTCCATATGTGTGTTTGGTGGGATGGCAGTGAGTTTTTGGAACAAGCTTAACTGTTTTTTGAAATAGTTGTGAACTTCACAAGTTAGATGAAATACATGTCACAAGAAATTTTCCATGTGGAGACAATTTAGTAGTATTTCCACATTTATGTTCAATAAGTGTAAATTATAAAATGATATTTTTGCTCAAAAATAAATGAAAATAACACATTTGAAACAAAAGTAGACTCACCCACCCTCCAGAATGATATCCAAAGACCAAAGGAAGTTTGGCCTTTTTTAGGCATTTGAGACTTGCTTTCAGTAAATCATATCATCATATTTATTTCTATAACTTTTCTTTTTTTTTGAGATGGAGTCTCGCTTTGTCACCCAGGCTGGAGGGCAATGGCGTGATCTTGGCTCAGTGCAGCTTCCGCCTCCTGGGCTCAAGTGATTTTCCCACCTCAGCCTCCCCAGTAGCTGGGATTACAGACGTGAGCCACTATGCCTGTTTATTTATTTATTTATTTTTTAAGTAGAGATGGAGTTTCACCATGTTGGCCAGGCTGGTCTAAAACTCCTGACTTCAAGTGATCCACCCACCTTGGCCTCCCAAAGTGCTGGGATTACAGGCGTGAGCCACTGGGCCCGACCTCTGTAACTTTTTATGTTACTGTTTATCATGAGTACGCACAAAAAACCACTTTTTGAATATCTTTTTCTCAGATATTTAATTATTAAGAACAAGGCAAAAATGTGTATACATTAGGTAAAAACTGCGAAAGCATGTCCAAAGAAGAAATAAAGTTCTGTAAATACTCAGAATCAACAGTTGAATAGGTATTCAGGTTTTCAGAGTTAAAAGCACAAATGCATATTTTAGTCTCTTTTCATTTTATTTTAAATATGACTATCCATAGAATGACTATTGCACAGTTTCATATAACTCCCTTATTTGTGTATTTAGTAACTGAGATTCATTATTTTTTAATTAGTACCTAAATAATTACTAGTAATCTGAAACTAATTTTCTTTTATGAGGGCAAAATGCTTTTTCTTTTAATAGGAAAAACCAAAAAGGAAGTTAGTTTAAGTATTTTTTAAATAAAAGAAATTGACAAAATAAAAAGCATGTTAAATTTAATTGTAACCCTGATGTATGTAAAACCTTTATTAAAAATATTTTTCCAAAGTTCTTATTAAGCTTTAATTAGCTATTTGTATATATTACCTTACTGGCATTTTAAAAGTATAATTATTACATATTGTGTGGAAAGATTTAAACATTCAGAAAATATAAAACTCAGTGCAACTATTTTTTCCTACTCTTCATGTATTATAATTCAGTCTTTTTGATAATTTTATATATATAGAAGGTATGATATTTATATTACATTTAAAATTTAGTACAACTTTTATTAAAGTGTACATATTATTTATACAATGCTTTTTTCTTTTCTATATCTATACAGCTTACCCATTTTTGAGAAGGCTGCATTTTTTTCTATAACATGTATATGTTGTACTTTACTTGTCTATATCCCCATTAAGAGATATGTTGCTTCCAGGTTTCATTATTATAAATACTGTTTCAGTGAACAGCTTTCAATATACATCTTTGTGCCCATGTGACAATAAAAGTATTTTTGTATGCATCTGCAAGTATAATAGTTATAGTGTCCATGCATTTTCAATTGGGTAGTTGTTTCAAAATAGCCCTACATTTTTCAAATAATTCTAATTCAAAGGACTGCTCCCCTTTCAAACCTGGTAAATATTGAAGTCCTTAATGCTTTTGCCAGAATTAGGCTGAATTGACAGAGCACTGATATGTAGAAGATATATATATATATATATATATATATACATGTATATTATATATATAATATATTATAAATATAATATATATATATAAAATTCTTAAAATTTAGCAAGTAACTGAACAACAAAAATGACAGATAAAAGAAGCAGGTCATGCATAGCCTATCTGCCTGAGATTTATTTAACCCTTCTTCAGAAGAGGCTTTGATTCTTGTCTCTCTGTGTCTACCTATAGACAGCATTTCTCCCAGGAAGCTTGCCCTGACCTCCTAGAATTGGTTATGTACCATTTATATATTTTTCATATTCCAATGTACATAACTCATAACAGAAATTATCACAAGGGAACAGCTGTGGTTTTATTGTTATGTCTAGCTATCCAGCTATCATCTTCACCAGACTGTAAGCTCCTTGAAGGCAGAAGCCAGATTTATCTTCATGACCTCTGTGTTTTAGATGAGGTCTCAGAGATAGAGGTCAGAATTTTCCCTCTAGGTAAATTAATTAGATTAACCTCAACTTATACAAAACAGTAGTCATTAAATTTATCCCCAGCCATCAGGAGCTTAACTACTCTGGAGAGAGAGCCAGGTGTTGGAGTAGGCAATTAAGACATCAAGACAAAAGGACATTAACAAACCTTTGAGGTTAAACTGGAAAAAGCCCTGACGGTCCAGTCCCCATCCTTTTTTTCCTTCATGAAACAGCTCTATCAAGGATCACATGGGTCAGCACAGATGTGGAGTTGTCTCACTATCAAAGGAACCCTGAACAACAGGCTCCTGCCTGCAGTTTTATGGAAGGTCAGGAAAAGGCTGGGAGCGGAAAAGCACTGAGTATTGAATCAGAAGGAAGACAATTGTCTTCAAGACTCCTCCTCCTCTCCCCATGAAAAGGAGGTCTTGGGCAAACATGCCTGGGGAAGGTCTGCCAAGGTCCCACAGTGGAGAGGCCTCCAGGGGAGGCACCAGTCAAGTGATGCTGATCTGTGTGTGAGCATGGCCCTGCAGCCCTTACTGAAACTGCCATTAGAGGACTATGCACTAGTGTGGGGAGGGCAGCTCTCCCTGTGGGACCCACTTGGTCAAGTCTTTGTCATTGTTTATGGATGGGCCCAAAAATCACATATAGGATTGAGTCTGGGGCTGAACTCTTTACTGCTCTGTCTGTATTCCCTGTCTTGGTTGACACCTAATACATGACTAAGAAACTAAGAAATCATTTTAGACGTCGTTTTTGTGTCTGTGTTTTATGCTTTGTTGGCTTGAAAACTTCATCCAATAAAACTTTAGTTATTTTTATTACCATTTCTTCCTTTATGACCCCACAGCATCCTCCATGTGCCAGGGTCCAAATCATCTTTAACCCGGACTATTCTATCAGTACCCAAATATATTCTTTCATCAAAATATATTCTTTCTCTTCTCTGGCTGTAATCTCATTCATTTCCAGGCTACTTCTTTTCAAACTAAAAAGCAAATATAATCACACTATTCTCTTTCTTCAAACACTTTCCCAATTCCTAGAGTAAAATCCCCCTTTTATAACATATAAGGCCTCAGTGACCTACCCTCAGGACTTCTTTAATTATTCTCCCATATTGTCCTATTATGTACCTGTTCCATCATCCTTACAACCCTCAGAACTCCCTAATCTGTTTTAATGCCACATTGTTATGCTCTTAATTTCCTTTGATAAAATGATTCTTTCCATTCATAAACTAGTTGATTACCACAACTTCTTAAGTATTCTATTGAAGTTTATCTTATTAGTCCATTTCACACTGCTATAAAGATACTACCTGAGAATGGATAATTTATAAACAAAAGAGGCTTACTTGACTCACAATTCCACATGGCTGAACTTATAAGTGAACTTATAATTAAACTTATAATCATGGTGGAAGGTGAAGGGAAAGCAAGGCAAGTCTTACACTGTGGCAGGTAAGAGAGAGAGCATGCAGGGGAAACTGCCACTTATAAAACCATCAGATCTCCTGAGAACCCCCTCACTATCACAAGAACAGCATAGAAAACCACCCTTTTGAGCTAATCACCTCCCACCAGGTCCCTCCCCATGACACATGGGGATTACAATTCGAGTTGAGATTTGGGTGGGGACACAGAGCCAAATCATAACATGTATCTTCTTTGCCAAGATTTTCCTTACAACGCAAAGTAGATTGACATATTTTAATTTCTTCCATCCCACCCCACCATAATATTCTTACCTCTATGACAGTGCTCATCAAAATTTGTAGCTATTATTTGTTTAAATGACTTCATTATGCTTCTTAAGAGGCATAAACTTTCTGCTATATTCATCTTTGTATGCCTGTCACACATTACATTGGCTGAGACAAGGTAAATATTTAATACATATCTATTAAATAAGAAACTTAAAAAAATAAAAGAGTGAATGAATAACTGTATCTAGGAAGTATGAAAGTGACTTATCTTTTAGCATTTTTCATCAAGGAATTAAGAAATGTGTGGGGAAAAAGTTAAGAGGCCCCAGTTAAAATGGCTTTTATCCCAAATTCAGGCAATAACAAAAGTTGGCGAGGATATACAGAAAAAGGAACCCTTGCACACTGTCAGTGGGAATGTACATTAGTATGACCCTTAAGGAGAACAGTCTGGAGGTTTCTCAAAAAGCAAAAATTGAGCTATCATATGATCCAGCAATCCCACTCCTGGGTGTATAACCAAAAGAAAGGACATAGTATATCAGAGAGATATCTGCACTCCATGTTTATTTCAGCACTACTCACAATAGCCAAAATTTGGAATCAACCTAAGTATCCATCAAGAGATGAATGAATAAAGAAAATATAGTACATATACAAAATGGAATACCATTCAGCCATAAAAAACAATGAGTTCCTGTCATCTGCTACAATGTGGATAGAACTGGAGGTCATTATGTTAAGTGAAACAAGCCAGGCGCAGAAAGACAAACTTCGGATGCTCTCACTTATTTGTGGGAGCTAAGGCTTAAAACAATTGAACTCATGGAGATAAACAGTATAAAGGTTAACAGGCTGAGAAGGGTAGTGAGGGTTTGGGAGGAAAGCGGGGCAGACTAATAGGTACAAAAACATAGTTAGAAAGAATGAATAAGACCTAGCATTTGCTAGCACAACAGGGTGACTATAGTCAAAAATAATTTAATCGTACATTTAAAAATAACTAGAAGAGTATAATCAGATTGTTTGTAACACAAAGGATAACTGTGTGAAGTGATGGATATTCAATTTACCCTGATGTGATTATTATGCATGTATCAAAACATCTCATGTACTCCATAAATTTTCAAAAGAAGTATGTATAGCATAACGCTTAAAATAATATACTGTAATAGTCTACAACTTGGCAAGAAATTAAGCTTTCGTTTATTTTTGTCACAACAGGTATACTACATGCAGATTAAAATATATATTTTATATATATATATATATATATATATATATACCATCTATTTTTTAAGGGCATTTTTCATAACCTTGAAATATAAACAATAAAAATTATGAAGCAATAATTTATTTTTTTAAAAAAATCCACTTGCCAAACAAACAAGATACTCCTTCCAGGATGTCAGTAATATCAAGATAAAATGCCAGAGAATTTTAGCTCAGTATAGGAAATCAAACAGCTAATTTTTAACTTTGATGGAGGAGAAAATTAGATAAATTCTGAAAATTCATCCATTTATTTTTCTCTCTCCATATATGTTAACAACAAGCAAACACATTAAATCCTTAAATTTGGTTACTAAGTTCACAAATGTCATGGACACAGTGAGGTAATATTTACAGACTGAATACTGATTTACTATCCTTTGAGTTTATTTCTACATTTCATAGAGTAGATGCTCTTTATAGATAAACTCTTTTGGAAAAAGTCCAGATAACTGGATAATTAACTATTAATATCACTTTTTGAAAATTAAATAGTAATATGTTTCTTCCAGGAAAAATTATTTAACAGGTTTTATTCAGACTACTAAGACATATGAAAACCTGACATTAACTCTTTGGTTTTCTAAAGATTCTCTTCAGGAAAATATGCCATCAGTCTTTCTAAATGTATTCAATTTTATCTCAGCAGTCTTGAGCCTCCATCTACATGATGTTAATATACCTCCAAACAGCCATTCACATTTCTTAAGGTGATGAAATATGTATTACCTATAATATTCTTAACTAAGTTATTGTAAGGCATATTTATCATGCCACATAATCCTGGGCGAAAATTGGATATAATAACAATTCCCAAAAATGCCTCTTGACAAAGAGTTGGAATTCAACTTTTTTCTTCTACTGCTAAGGATGTTTGCATCATGTCTTTGGAAAAATGTATCTCATAATTGCAAAGCCCTAATTCCTGATGCTCCATTAACAATATTACTCAAGATATTGTTGCTGATGTGGCTGCTTATATTATTCCCAAGTGAATTTGTAGATATTTAGCAATAGCTGAGGCCATCTACAACGTAAATTCCTATCTATGTTACTCCTCTTGAGAATCTACTCTTGGTACATTTAGCAAAGGAAGACACTTTTAGCAACACAGCAGTCCCCCCTTACCAGCGGTTTCACTTTCCCCAGTTTTAGCTATCAGGGGTCAATCATGTTTTGAAAAATATTAAATAAAAGTTATAGAAATAATAACTTTGAAATTGTGTACCATAACGTGATAAATTCTCAGGTTGTCCATCCTACTCCCTGTTTTCTTTATCACAAAAAGAAAAGTAGATAATAATAAGGTATTTCAAGAGAAAGAGAGACCACATTCACATAACTTTTACTACAGTATATTGTTATAATAATTCTATTATTAGTTATGTTCATATAATTATTAGTAAAAGGAATATAATTATATTCCTATATAATTATAGAAGTATACTACTCCTATACATAATATATTAGTATAACTAATATAATTCTATTATCATTAGTAGTGTTAGTTTAACTAATAAACTAATAGAATTATTAAACTAATATAATTAGCCTATTAGTTTAATACTACTCCCATAATGAGTATATTAGTTTAAACAAATACTACTACTATAATAATTAGTAGTAGTTTAACTAATAAACTACTATAATTATTAGTTAAATTTCACTATGCCTAATTTTTAAATTACAGTCTATTATAAGTATGTATGTGTAGGAAAAATAGTACATGTTTACTATCCACTGTTTCAGGCATCAACTGGGGGTCTTAATACATATCTTTTTACAGATAAGGGTGGAGCTACAGTTACCTTCCAAAAGGTAGTATTGCCACTGCCATTGTTGCCTGCTAATGTAAATTCCAAAGAAGTAGATGATTTTGGGAAGGGCAGAAAATAAAAATTTTCATCAATATTAATGATTTTGCCATTAATGCAGATTACCATTGCCATAGTCTGAGAAGTGACATGAAACTTGAGATTGCTAGAGCTCATAGGACAGTAGAACAGTGAAGACATTGAGGTTTAAAGTGTTAATGTTATGAAGATAGCTAAAAACAGGACTTGATCAGTATAATCCTCTACCTAACACAACTTGGAATGGGGCAGAGAGTAAAGAAATGGACCTCGGTAAGGACGTGCATGAGCACTAAGAGATAGTGCTTGATGCAAGAGCAATAATAACAACAATAACCACAACAAAGGTATATTATTGGGAGCATTAGAGAAGAACAACAGAAAACTAAAAATGTTGTGGATGTTACCTCCAAGCAAGAAAATGGGACTAGGGACACAGGCCCTTTTTGTTTTTTGCTTGCACATTCTGTAATTAGAAAATGTTATTTTATAGACACACATATCAAATAATAGGAGAAAAAAGATATTTCATGTAAGATTAGTTTATTCTCAATATTCTGAATTAGAATATTGGATTAAAACAATATTTAGAATGATAGAAGCTGGATTAAAACAACTTTAAAACAAGCATTTGTACTGCATTGACATCTCTATACAAGTTGCTGTCATACTAGTTGAGAAGAGCTTGGGGACCTGGACTTGGGAGATTTAATGGACCGATAAAATTACTCAGAGGGGTAACCTTATAAAGAATTCTGAAACCAAGAATTTGGAAGTCTAAGAAAAGAAGGGACAACAATGCAAGTTGTCCAACCAAAACCTCTCTTCCCTACTTTCTTGTTTCTGAATGCCATTTTTGTTTGAAAGAGCAATGTGTCCTGCCAAATAACTACAATGCCCAGTCTCCTTGCCCTTGTGGCTGGTGACATGTTATAGTCCTGTAGAAAGATACGTGGGCTGAAGTTGTTGAAAAGGACACTTTGTTCTTCAACTTCTCCCTTCCTGCCCTGATATAAAAACATGATAACACACTACTTATTACTCTAAATATGCATAACTTTTATATGCACTAGGAAGTGTATATATCAATACTTAGAGATACAATTTCAGAAATGGTCAAATTAAAGAAAACAAGTTAAAAGTTTACAAGTTCTTATAATAATTATAGAGGCAAGATAAATTACAGATTCAATTTTTTAAACTAGTAATTTAATTAATCACATCATGGATAATGTTTAGAGCTAAAATTTATTCTGTATTTACATAATCAATATTGTAATTAAAAACCACTGAGTATTTTTTGTTGCAACTGAATGTTGTGTCCCCTCAAAATTCATGTGATGAAAACTTAACCTTCAGTATGATGGTAGCAGGACCTATAAGCTGCATATTTATAATGAACTTTGGGAAGTAATTAGCTTATTATGGTGGAGGCTTCATAAATTAGATTGGTGCCCTTAAAAATGACTCTTGAGAGCTCTTTCTGTCCACCATGTGAAGCTGCATTGAGAAGGCAGCAGTCTGAAACCCAAGAGAGCTCTCTCACCAGAACCCAATTATGCTGGCACTCTGCTGTTGGACTTCCAGCCTCCAGAACTGTGAGATGTGCATTCCGTTATTTAAAAGCCACTCAGGTTATGGAACTTTATTAAAGCAGCCTGAACGGCTGAAGATGGAAATTGATCATGAGAAGTGGGAGTGCTGTTATTATAAATACCTAAAACAAAGTGAAAATGGTTTTGGGCTCAGTGATTGGCAGAGATTGATGAGGTTTTATGCAAAATGCTAGATTACTGTGGAAGAAATTTAAAAGCCAATTCTCGTGAGGGCTCGGAAAGAAATATAGAAGAAAACGCTGTCTTCTCAGAAAATAATTAAATAATCATGAACAGAATATTGATAAAATATGGACAGTAAAGGTCATTCTGTTGGAGTCTCAAATGGAAATGAAAATGTTATTGGAAAATGGAGCAAAAGCAATCCATGTTGAAAAGTGGAAACAAACTTCTTTGAATTGTATTCATGCTCTTGTGTTTTGCGGAAGGTGGAACTTGTGTGCAGTGAAATTGGACATTTAACCCAGCAGATTTCTCAGCAACATGTAGAAGCAGCAGCTTGGTTCCTTCTGAATCCGTAGAGTCAAATGTAGAAAAAGAAAAAGGTTTGAAGATGGAATTGTTAAGGAAAAAGTAACCATAATTTAAGATCTGGGAAATTCTCAGCCTGTCCATATTGCAAAAAAAGTGAGAAAGTGTGTTCTGAAGAGAACATGAAGAGTGTTTCGGACCCTTACTGATTTGATTAATATGGGTGTGAACCACAGGCTTAATCAAACATCTCAACACAAACCATGACTAGAAATGGGATTATACCAGGAGAAACACTGCCAGTTGGGACTAAAGGAAACAGAGATAATGGGACGAAATAAAGGAAGACATTCGGAATGCTTAAGCCCTACAGGCCCGGACCCGAGAGCTATTCAGTTGTGGATGTGTGCTATTCTCTCCTTCAAAATTACGGAAGAAGGGGCGCAAAGGGGATTTGGAGACAATTACAGCTGCTGCTTTTACCAAAAATCCAGAGGGTATGGCAAGGTGGGCCAAGGTTACCTCCATTTTGATTTCAAAGGACAGAAATGATGCTCAGAGGAGCTGTGTGGGAGGGCCATCCAGTGAAGCCCTGGGTGAGTGACCTCAGCCCTGACAAAAGACTGTGCCATAAGTGGGTCCAGTGCATAGAGTCAGCAGCGAGCAGTGCCTCACTGAGCTGTCGGGGACTGTCTGGAAGGTGAGTCATCAAGCCAAAGAGGATGCTTCTTGAACCTTAGGGTTTGATGGAGTTTGCCCTGTTAGGTTTTAGATTTACTTGGGATCCAGCATTCATATATTTTATTTTTTTCGAATAGTGGTTCTTTTTGGAATGGGAATGTTTATCCTATGCCTGTCTCACCATTGTATTTTGAGAGTTCATGTTGTTTGATTCCACAGGTTCACAGATGAAGAGAAATTTTGTGAGAATGAACTGTACCGTGAAGCTCACCTGCATCTGATTTAGGTAATATTTAAATAAGACCTTGGACTTTAGACTGGACTTGAGGCTGGAATGAGTTAAGATTTGTGGATTTGTTGGAATGGAATGACTGCATTTTGCATGTGAAGACATGAATTTTGGGGAACCTGGGGCAGAATGTTACGGACTGAATTTTTAAAGTGTACCCTCAAAATCTGTATATTGAAATCGTAACTGTCAATGTAATGGTATTAGTAGTGGGACCTTCAGGAGGTAATTAGGTTGTCATAGTAGAGGCCTCATGAATAGGCTTAGTGTTCTTATAAAAGGGACCTAAGAGAGCTCTCACTTCTTTCCCCATGTGCTTATACAAAAACCCAACAGTCTGCAACCGCAAAAGGGCCCTCCCCAAAACCAGAACATCCTGGCACTCTGACTTTGGACTTCCAACCCCTAGAACAGTAAGAAATACTTTTTTTGTTATTTGTAAGCCACTCAATCTATGGTATTTTGTATAGCAGCCCAAACTAAGACACTCCTCTACACTACAGTGTACACCACATTCTTCTGCCTCTTGGTATGCTTCAGTCACATTGAACTATATTTTGTTTACTAAACATGGCAAATTTATTACTGCACTATGGTTTTGCCATATAATTTTTCCTGTCTTTTCAAACAGAAATTATTTCACAGCATACGCAGCTATAGGCAATTATCTAGCTTATGTATAAAATTACTTTCCTGATATTTGTCTCATTTTTTGTTTTTAAATGTTTTAAATAAACAAATAATAATTGTTTTGAGGGGTACAGTATTATGTCTTCGTATATATTTATATTGTGGAATGATTAAATCAAGCTGCTTAACACATCTCTTATGTCACATATTTATCTTTTTGTTGTGAGAACACTGAAAATAGACTTTTTAGCAATCGAAAAAAGGCAAACCCTTAAAAGTAGAGAGTAGAATGCTAGTTAATGCTGGAGGCAAGGGATAGGGAATGGGGAGATGTTGTTCACAGGGTACAGTTTCAGTTAGACACAAAGATTGAGTTTTAGAGATTGACTTTATAGCAGAGTGACTATATTTAAAAATGACTTCTTGTACATTTCAAATTTTCTATTTAAAATACACGTAGTATCTGTATTCCCAGTTCTTAAAACATGACCTATTAAATAACAGATTTGCAAGACTGAATGATTTTTTTTTACCTTGTCCTGATCTCGATTTTTTTTAAACTTTATCTCATTAATTGCTAATTCTCTCTTTATGAATGTTAAATACTTAAAATAGCACCAAACATAACAAAACAAAACAAAAACAAAATTTGTTTTTTATTTCAAATGGCATGTTCCATTGCGTTCTAAGACTGGACTGTCTTGGAGATAAAGGAGACTTCATTATTTTATGTAATATTCCTTTGAGAAATCCTGAGCTTTGTGCAAAAATGACATACTTCATTTTTTTTTTGCATAATTTTGTCACTCCATAGAGCCCAGATCGAGTTCCTAAGTTCTCACTAAGGCACATGGGTCTAATTCCATTACATTTTTGGCCTGTGTCAATTAATTTTCTTTTCTCAGATAATAAATTTACACTCCTATTCCACTTCTGAGCAGTTAGACATTTTCAGCATGGAACATTCTATTAAAATGAAATGGCAAATTGCCTTGTAGCACACACATTTTCAAAGAATGTTTTGTCTGATAATGTAGTTCTTATGAGTTTCTTTCCAAAGTAATCCATTTACACAAAATACATTATTAATTTTGTGCATTTACAAACTACACATAATTTCAAAGTGATGTCATTGTTCCACAAATACATCTAGGTTTCAAAGTGATTGATTAAATTCTGTTTAAAATTTTGCACAGAAGTGCAGTATATAATCACATTTTATATCCCTCTGTGCAGGATATAGTTTTCTAAATCATACTCCGTTGTCAGGAGCATGTTCATCTTCCATACAGAACACACTGACTGAAAATAAGATCAAGTCTACACATTTGGGATATAAATTTTTGAGATTACTGCTCTTGGTATAATATATCTCTCTTGTACTTGAGCCTCTAGATCTTGCTGTTTTTAACACTTTTGTGCTCGCAAGATTTACGCTTCTGTATACTTTGTTTATATTCAGCAGCTAAGTATATTTTGTCCTGTTATCATGACTCAACCTGTGATTTGTTTCAAAAGTACAAGTAAGATTTTAAACATAATTATAGTGTAATCTCTTTAAATTTTGCTGCATTATCACTCAGAATGAGAAAAATATAAATTAAAAGTGTGTGCACATGTATACACATTGTTCAATATACAAACTTAGGTATCATGTTAGATTCATCACGATTTGAAAATGAAATCTGATTATAATACTTGCAAGATGACTTACAAGTTAATATTTATATGTACACTTACAATTTTTATAATTTTTAAAACCATCCAATATGTTAGTTTTCTTTGATTTCTAATGATAACAGTAGAAATATCTGGCCCTGGTTATCACATCTGGTTGTTATGATCAATAGAAACGATATATGCAAAAGCAAATACATTTTAAAACTTTTTAATATTAATTTTTATTGTTACATATTCTGAATAATGCAGTTTTATAGTTATTATTATAACATGACACAAATGGTAGAGATTTTGATGCCTACATTTTTAATAAAAATGTTCAAAACCATATTTCACAAGATGTATCATGCTGTAAGGTTGCAACAGCCCTCTCAAATAGAGTTCTGCCTTTCTCTTGCCATTTAAACTAATGCTATCTGAGAGTGCAACAGAAGGCCCTCATTACATGCTGGTATCTTGATCATTGACTTCCTTGCCTACAGAACTATCAGAAAATAATTTTCTATTTTTTATAAATTACCCAGTCTCAGGTATTTTGTTACAGCAGCACAAAACAGACTAAGACATAAAGTGTAAAATTATCCTTCCATATTGCTGCAAGTGAAATGATGTTATTTTTTATAGCTGTGTAGTATTCATTGTGCGTGTATGTGTGTGTATATATGTATATATGTATATCACATCATTTTCTTTATCCAGTTATTTGTTGATGGACACATGTTGATTCAATATCTTTGGTATTATGAATATTGCTGCTATAAATAAATGAGTGCAAATATCTTTTCTGGTATAATGATATTTTTTCTTTTGGGTATACACCCAGTATAGGATTGATAGAGTGAATTGTGGCTCTTTAATACTTGAAAAAATTTTCATACTGTTTTAATAGAGGTGGGACAAATTTACATTCCTTCTAATTATACTATAAGGCTATAGTAACAAAAACAATATGATAGTGATATAAAAATGGACACAATACTCAATAGAGCAAAATAGAAATTCCAGGAATAAAGTGACAAAGGCACTTTGTCACTTTATTAGTGGATATTTATAAAGGGACCTACCTACAGTCAATGGATGTTTGACAACATTGAAAAAAACATACACTGGGAAAAGGATATCCCCTTCAATAAATAGTGCAGGGAAAATTGGAAAGCCACATGCAGAGGAATAAAACTGGGCCCCTATCTGTTGCCATCCACAAAATTAACTCAGGATGAATTGAAGAATTAAATATAATACCTGAAGATATAAAAGTACTCATAGAATACCTGGAAAAACTCTTCTAGACATTGGCCTTGGCAAAAAATTTGTGACTAAGACCTCAAAAGCAAATTTAGCAAAAACAAAAGTAGACAAATGGGACTTAATTAAACAAAAAAGTTTCTGCACAGCAAAAGAAATAACTGAGAAAACAGATAACCTGAAGAATGTGAGAAAATATTTGCAAACTATGCATCCAACTAAGTACTAATATCCAGAATCGACAAGAAATTCAAACAACTCAACAACAACAACAAAATAGATAACCCCATTAAAAAATGGACAAAGTACATAAACAGGCATTTCTCAAAAGAAGACATACTAGTGGACAGCAAACATATGAAATAATGCTCAGTCTCATCATCAGAGAAATAAAAATTAAAACCACAACGAAATGTCACCTTATACTAGTCAGAATGGCTAGTTTTTAAAAGTCACAACACATCAGGTATTG
Organism: Homo sapiens; assembly: GCF_000001405.40. NCBI lineage: Eukaryota > Metazoa > Chordata > Mammalia > Primates > Hominidae > Homo > Homo sapiens. Next base: position 599,248 of record NW_003315917.2, read on the forward strand.
ATGAGAATGCAGAGAGAAGTGAGTGAATCCTTATATAGTATAGGTGACATTTTTATTTATAGAATATCAAAATAGTTACTTAAAATTCATTTGAATTATAAAATATTAAAATGTAGATTTATGAATACTTTGTACTTTCTAAAAGTTTAACCACAATAAAAATCCAAACTACCACTGTTGTGTCCATAATAATTCATAATTGTATGTGATGATGTTGAGAAATCTTCCTAAATATTAGGATGAGTCCCTCATTTATTTTAATGAAAATATCATTCTTAAAAGCATGTCAAGGAATATAGCTCAATAATTCAACAAATAACATTTGCAAATTGATAATCCATGGTTCAAAGATGTCAAGATGAACTCAAAGTCTACAGGGATACCCTTTTGATTCAAGGAAATAATGTTACCCTAAATGAGAGAAGATAGGGAAGACCATGTCAAATGAATCACTTTTTGATGTGGTTTGGCTGTGTCCCCACCCAGATCTCATTTTGAATTTTAGTTCTCATAATCCCCATGTGTCATGGGAGGCACCTGGTGGGAGGTAATTGAATCATGAGGGCGGTTACCCTCCGTGCTGTTCTTGTGATAGTGAGTGAGTCTCACAAGATCTGATGGTTTTATAAGGGGATTCCACATTTGCTCGGCTCTCATTCTTCTCCTTCCTGCTGCCATGTGAAGAAGGACTTGATTGCTTCCCCTTCCACCATGATTGTAAGTTTCCTGAATGTTCCCCAGCCGTACGGAACT